>NC_000020.11:40557143-40860173 GCF_000001405.40 Homo sapiens | reverse complement strand
GCAGAGAGAGAATTCATAGTCCTGTGTGTTCAAACAAACATGGTAGAGCCTTGGACAGCCCATGAACCCAAACAATACTCTGGTAGCTCTGGGTTGCCCAGGGCTGCTATACTCAAATACCATGTTATCAGGCATTACTCTGGTTTGTGAGTTTGACTCGGGCACCAATGTGCATGTTTGCTACCTCTCTGGCTCAGGGCAAGAAGGTGGAAAGGGAAATATGGGAGTCTGGCCTGTGGCTGAGCTCAGGATGCCCTCCTTCTCCTGATAATGGTGACCTTCTCGATGACAATGTTCCAAAGATTGCAGGCTCTGGGGAGCCGCCCCTATCCCAGTGGTCCCATCACCATCCTGTTTGACACTTTGCAGCCTGGAGCTGCTGGTAGTGGTGGGGAGGGGGTAGCGATCGGCGGGAGGGAAGAGTGCACGGTCAGCAATGGCTTTATGGGTGGCCACTGGACTGTGAGGCAAAAGGAACCTCCAGGCTCCTCCCCAGCAGCCCCGTTCTCTGCCTGGCTGGAAGCAGCCAAGATGGGCTCAACTAATTTAATTTAATTCAAGACCATTAACGATGAGCTATCGTCTCTCTTTTTTCTCTTCTCTTTTGCAGCGGGAGGACAATGCTCCGATTCAAGTGCTGAGTTTTGCTGGCCCCCATTTCCTTGGGTAAAATAAGCTCAGATGGGAGTCCAAATCAGGCAGCCCCAGATTCTAACTCCCACTGCATCCCTCATCTCCACCCAAACAAACAAGTCCCTAGGCTTCTTTTCATCTGCAAATTCTATCAACCATTTTCCTAATGAAGAAGAGAGCCCTGAAACTGTGGTGAAATTCCAGGGCTGATGTGAGAATGCAAGGCTTCTTAGCGACTCAGGTGCACTTGCTACAACCACACAGAACAGCCTTTAAAACAACCTACTCCGTTTTTCCTGCTGTGTCTGAGCCTACTGGAGGGTGGGAGAGGCTCCTGTTGCCCTGCTCTGGGGACTCCCTGCTCACAGCATTTATTTCTGACCTAAGTGGAATTTCTCAGTGGTCTTACAAAGTAGAGACGGGACTGCTGGAGTTGTCCTCATTTGGCAGAGGAAGAAAGTGAGGACCAGAGGGAGACCAAACTGAGCCCAGGACTCACGGCTCCTGAATCCAGGGCTACTGTCTCTTGAAACCACAGGGGGAAATTTCTGACTAATTATCTGATAGTAATTATTCTGTTTTTATGGGGCCTTGAACAAGGCAGGCCACAGGGATCCCTGTCCTCAGGGCTGGGTGTGACAGGCACTTCATTTCCGGAGTGCCATGAGTAGAAGTATAAACTGTCACCCAGGTGCAGTCCTCAGAGAGCAGATCAAATGCTTGTTGAGCAAGAGGTATGGGGAGAAGCCATGTGGGCCAGGGACTCGAGTCCAGAGGCCTGACCCGCAAAGCCTCTGTGACAATGCCCTTCCCCTCTCAGGCTCTGGTCTTTGCTTCTGGACACTGGGAATGATCTGGGAGATCTCTGTGAGCATTGGCCTTGAGACTCTGAGTGGGATCTTAAGGAAAGGGAAGCCCTTTGAGCACTGTGCCTCAGGCTGGGGCTCCCCGTCGGTCTGAGTCTCAGACCCTAGTCCCAGCTGGGTGAGGAGTGCAGGGGCAAGACCAGGGAAGCTGCCGAGCCCACCCAGTCCTCCAGCTCCTTATGCCTCCCCTGAACAGCGGCGACTCAATTCCACGGCTCTTGCTTTTTGCTCCTGGTTGGCGATGTTAAACTTGGGGGCATCTGAAACACTCACACACAAACCCACACAAATGATTTCTCCCAACATTAACATATTTCCTTTTGAAACCCTGTGAAGCTTTTCTCCAAAGTAATGGATTTCCATCCCAAACCCCCTTGTCTGGGCCAAATGTATTCAAATCTGGCCTCGGTTAAGTCAAAAGATTCCTATCGGCCCAGCAGGGCTTCCCTCCTGTTTCCTCGCAAATCAGCATCCTTTTTATTCTGCCCTCAGATCTCTGTGTAAAAGGGAGGCTTTCTTTGCAAAAGTTTCACTGGGACAGACAGACAGACGCAATGTTGCTGGGGCCTTTGATAGCCAAGAACACAAGATCCGACTTCAGGGGGCTCAGAAACTTCATCAGCCGAGGAGGGGGACGAAGAGAACAGGATCCTGCTGAAACAGCCCTTTGAAATCCCCCAAATGATGTTTGATGTGCTGGTGCCTTTCAGCCTAAGCCATACCTTTGGCATCAAAAGTACCTTTTGAAAAAAAAAATTAGCTATTTTTTAAGGCACAGAAGGAGTAAATTTAATATTAAGTCCTAATGGCAGAAGTCTTTGAAAAGGCATTTCTGGACTTGGGATCATTTAATACTCCCCGTGATCTAGCAGCACAAGTTCCCTTCCCTCTCCCCCCTTTAATTCTTAATCCTCCTCTTTCCAAATCTGGAGCCTCTGTGATGGCAGGTCAGGGCCTGGCATCCCGTAGGGGAGCAGTGACTTCCGGTGAGTGGAGCAGGAGTTTCATTCCTTTGGCCACCCAGATCCCCAGCTTTTAAAGCACCAGCCAGCCCCTGATATTTTCTTCTGGTTTTTAAAGGGCTAGTTCAGGCGTGGGGAGGAGATGCTGAAGGAATTGCTGGTGTTGGAGGCTGGAGCTGTATCCTGTTCTCCACATCAGTGCACAGACCCCGCAAGGTAGCCCCAGCCTAGAGGGCTGGAGTGAGAGAGGCGGGGCAGGCTCTGATGAATTGTGGACCACTTCAAGGCCCAGGGACTTGCCCAGTATATTAGTCCATTTTCACATTGCTATAAAGAAATACCCAAGACTCAAGATTTGTAAAGGAAAGAGGTTTAATTGGCTCACAGTTCCATGGCTGGGGAGGCCTCAGGAAGCTTACAATTATGACGGAAGGTGAAGGGGAAGCAATCGCCTTCTTCACAAGGTGGCAGGAGACAGAGGAGAGAGAGTGAGAGGGGATGAGCCCCTTATAAAACCATCAGCTCTCGTGAGAACTCACTCACTATTACGAGAACACCATGGGGGAAACCGCCCCCATGATCCAATCACCTCCCCTCCTCGACATGTGGGAATTAAGGTCCCTCCCTCTTCATGTGGGATTATAATTTGAGATGAGATTTGGGTGGGTACACAGAGCCGAACCATATCACCCAGTTCAGCCCATCTTGGCCGTCCCAGCTCAGACTGGCCCAGCTTCCCCAGAAGTGACTGATTTTGGAGGGGAATGCCTCGAACTCCACATGAAGGTTTCTGACCTATCTTGGGAAACACCTTTCCCTTCCTCTTCTGGAACCAACACAACCAGTACCATGGACAACTCTGGGCATGCCCCTGTCTGGTTGCAAGGAACTTTGTACCCTGACCTTCCTCTGAAAGAGTGAAGGGGGCCTCGTGGGGGACTAAAGTGAGCTTAACTTTTTGGGATGAGAAACCATGTTTGTCCAAACAGGATCTAGCATTCAGGCAGAAGATTTCTGAGGAAATTCTAGAAATTGCGGGGAATGGAAAAGGAAGGTGTGTAGAGGGACTCCTGGGCTTCCTGTCTGGGGGCATGTGGACACTGGTTGGGAACAGGGAATTTGGGGTGGGTGTGTTCAGTGTGGGGAGAGGGTGGTTGGGGGAATTCCTAGGGGAGTGGAGCTGTGTGGTTCCACCACCCTGGCTACATCATGGCTCACCTAAACCATTCTGACTGTCTCATCCCCACCAGCCCATCCCTCTCAAGGTCGCCTGATTGAACTTTTCCAAGTGCTGTTCTCCTCATATCAATCCCTTGATTAACACCTTCCGTGGCTCCCTATTTCTTTAAGGATAAAGGACAAGCTCCTTAGCCTAGCTGATGAGACTTTCAAAGCTCTAGCTTAGCCTGCTCCTCTCTGTTTCCTGACTCTGACTTGGGCCTTCTGTGCACCTTGAGGAAGCCTTGTCATGACTCTGGGCCTCTGAACTTGCAGCCCCCTCAGCTTATACACCTTTCCTTTCTCTTCTTGACCTGGCAAATACCTGCTCTTTGGTCAAAAGCTGTTCAAACTGCAGTGCCTTGGTGAAGCCCTCTCTTGGGCACTGTTTCTAGTACTGGCTTCAGACATCTTTAACAGTGCTAGCTTCTTGCCTTGTAGTTGTTTTCACCTGCTTTTCCCCTGGTGCCTCTAAAGTCTTTACAGATAAAGCCTGGGTCTTTTTAATCTTTGCATCTTTGTCACCCAGAAATCCAACCCAACCTCCCTCCTCTGAGCTTCAACAAATGCTATCATCACCATTTTACAGATGAAGAAACAAAAGGTCAGAGACCTTAAGTAACATGCTCAAGGTCACACAGCTAGTAAGTTGAATACCCCAAGAAAAAGGGTAAGAGAAAAGAAAGTTCTTGCAGCTCAAAGACCATTTTTGAAGCCAGAGCTTTCAGAGATGGTAGATGGCCAAGAGGCAGACTTTCTTCCAAGCAAAGCTTCCTCCCTTTGGACATTTTCTCCAATACAGTGGGGTGCCTGAAATGCCCTGAGGGTGATCTGAGCATCACAGGACCTGGCTGGTGGAGTCTGGGTCTTGAGACTGTGGAGGGGAGAGGAACCTGCAGACAGAGCAGAAACAAGGAAGTACATTCAGCATTTTCTGGGTCCTGCTAACTGCTCATACCTAGTTCTGAGAAGGTGTGGAAGGATGATGCCCCAGCCCACAGCTCCCACTGATTCATGTCGTCATCCCCCTTCCACCCCAAGGCATTAGCCCTTTATGACTTCATATTAATCTGCAGGCACTTATTGCTCTGCAAGGCTATTTTGACAAAAGTTCATTATCAAGACTGCTAAATGCTTTTAAAGCATTGATTGGGCAAATTATTACATCACTGGGGTAGACACTGTGTTTGAAGATGGATGGTGTTGCTCAGACCATCTGAAATTTTCCTTCTTTTAATTGGATCGATCCCCAGAATAAACGAAGTTTAATTGAATTTTGAGGAAAATTGAGCAGTTGTTTGTGAGTTTCTGTCGATAGGCATTATTTCAATTACATGGTGATAAGTGAGCGGGGGTGGGGCGGTGGTGGTGGGGTGGGGTAGGCGGGGGTTGAGCTCCGCTGCACACAGGCTGGATTCAACTTTCCCCGAAGTGAATCCCACTGCTGCCTCTGCTCATTCAGTAAATATTTATTGAAAGTCACCTTCGTGCCCCAGCCCAGCATTGGGCCAATTCCCTCCTGGCTGCCAGGTTCATTGGGCTCACACTATAGGTGGCCAGGAGCACAGGCTCTGGAACTTCATGCACCTGGATCCAAATTTCAGCTCATGAGTGATACAGTTCTGGGAAGATTACATACATTCCGAATGAGAGTACAGACTGAGGTCTCAGTTTCTCCATTTGTAAAATGGGAATATTATGGCCCCTATCACTTGGGGCTGATACAAGCATGAAATAAGATTATGCAGATGCCATCCCCCTTTCGCATCTGGAAGGTTAGGCAGGTCTATTTCCATACCAGAAGGAAAGCAGTTATGAACATACACAGATGCCAGACAACAAGGAAAAACCTTCCTGTTGCCGCTGATCTGTCTTTTAATCTCTATGGTTTTAAAATTTAAAGTGGAGTTATTTCCTTTGCTCTTTCTTGGGCAGGTTCTCTTAGGCTTACTTCTTTTTCTCTTTCCCCCAAATTCCCTCAACTTTTCCCCCCACCAATAGTTCTTTAATCGTGAATAGTACAGGTGCAGTGTGTATCATGGGTACCGAATTGTCCAGGGAATCAGGGAAAGCTTCTGTGAGGAGGTAACATTTAATCTGAGACCTGAAGAATGAGTACAGTGAATGAGCTAGGGTGTGTTTTTGTGTGTATGTTTGTGTGTGTGTGTGTGTGTCTAGTGTGGGGAATAGGGGAGAGGGGAGTATTCTAGATAGAGGTAACAGCATGTGCAAACGTCTTGAGGTGGCACGTGAGATGTATGAGAAGCCTACAGCCATACCGCCCTGAACACACCTGATCTTGTCTGATTTTGGAAGCTAGGCAGGGTCAGGCCTGATTTAATACTTGGATGGGAGATATATGAGGAGTTTTCAGCAGACCAGTGTGGCTAGAGCATGGAGAGAAGGGGAGTGTCCAGGTCAGCAAAGGACAGACCACGTGTGACAAAGTGAGGAGCTTGGGCTCAAACCCAGGCCTATAGAACTGTAAGTCCAGGCTCATTCCATGGCCCCATGGCATCTCATAGTTTTTCTTTAGTTTTTCTTGAAGTCCTGGGCAGATCAAAGTTAAGGGACAATGAGCTCTCCTGCTCCCCAGGTCCATTTTGGGAAGGCAATGGTGGGCTTTGTTGAGGTAGGCTGAGGATCTTCAGATTCCTCAGAATGAAGCATTTCTAAGCTGGACAAAACTTTCTCTTGAAAATCCTGGACTCCTCTTCCAACTCAACCAAGATTCAGAACTGGTAATTGAAGTCAAGCCAGAGCGTCTCAGTGGGAGGTGGTTTGTTCCTCTGGGAACATTTGCAGTGTCTGGAGACATTTTTGATTGTTAAAACTGGAGAGGAGTGCTACTAGCATCTAGTGGGTAGAGGCCAAAATGTCCTTTGATAAATATCCTTCAATGCACAGTATAGCACCCCTCACACAGAATTATCCAAACCTAAATGCCAATAGTGTTGAGGCTGAGGAACTCTGCCTTAGGCAATACTGGACAGTGACCACTGGCCTTTTTACCAGCTGGTGAATGGAGAAGTCAGAGGTCTCTCTTTTTCAAACCATAGGAAATTTCTTCCCAAAGCTCCTCCTGTGTTGCAGCTGATCTGGGTTCCCTTGACTCCTGGCTTGTCCTGTCTTTGGGGGAAATTTCCTTCACTGGTTTTCTCTACATCCCAAAAGTCAGCTGTACTTCCTGTCTTTCAATAATGCCTCTGCACTGGTTAAGAGCTTGAAGACTCCACGCACTTCATTCAGTTTCCTCTCTGGAGGTTCAAGTTCTTCATGGTTACATCTCCCCAGCCCCCATCCTCTCATCAGAGCTGAGTACTTGGATAACACACACCCTGTGCGATGTGGAGTGATTTGGATATTTTCCTCACTTGTCACTAATTGCAAACAATAAAATAAAACATCATATTGCCACCAAGGCTGCATTGCTGTTGAAATCAAGTCCATTTCCATTTAAACAAGTTTGTGGAACACGCTCCTTGGAAACAAATGTGTTTCCCGCACATGAATTCAGATGATGACAAATGGCTTCGTTATTTTCCTCAGTGCGTCTTTCTCTTCAATGGGAACTGTGAACTTCTTGCCAGTGCCTTTGTAACCTCTGGAGTCAGCTCCACTCTTGATTCCATTTCTCCTGGTGACTCCTGGGGATGGGATTCAGAAGAGGTCAGGCTGCTTTAGGGGTCCAGTGTCTCTGGCAAGAGTGTTAAATGAATGTAAAACCTCTAACATGTCACGTCCACACTCAAAACCATGACTACAGAATAAAGGCCTGTGGATTACAGAATAAAGGCCATTCTGCTAATGGCATTTGAGCCCTTTCACCATACAGCTCCTGTCTACCCACAGAGCTTTCTGGTTTCTTCTTCACCCCACTAGACTTTTCACTTTCTCCCGAATACTCTGTTTCTTTGCAGATATTATTTCTTCTACCAGAAATGCCCTTGCAATTCATGCCTATAAGGTGAACATATTCCTTTGCATTCAACTCAAACATGACTTCCTCTGGGAAACCTTCTTTTCTCTTCTGGGACTCCCTTATTCTCATATTCTCAAAGCACTGTGTCCACACCTCTGTCAGAGCGTGTTTCACAGGGTAGATTAAATGCATATTTACTCATGTAACCCAAATAAAACCAAGGCCCCATGTGGTCCAGTGCCAGCATGGTGTCATATTCAAAGAATCACATACAGCAATCAAAGGAATTTAGAGCAATTTAAATCTTTTATTGGTATCTCTTAAAGAATGTCAAAGAAGATCCAAATCATAATTCACAGTAACATTAAGATTTTCTTTCCTCATTTCTCTGGATTTTAACTTCTCCTTCCCTCCATAGCTGCCTAGAGGCTTCTCTTTGTTTCTCTTATAATTAACTCCCAACTAAAATTCTCTCAAGGCCAAACCACTCATGGCTCTTGGCTTTCTAGTTACTCCCCTTTCTCTCTCAAGTCCTTCTTTTTCTCTTAAGTGGTGTTTCCTTCCTTCCCAAATGTAAGTAAAAAAAAAAAATGCCAGGGAAATTACAGGCAGACTCAGAACCTCCCTCTGATGGCAAGAGAGAAAGAGAATCAGAATTGCCAAAGATAAGCCTAATTTTAGCAGTCTGGGAGGTGGAGATGTTGTAAAAATGCTTTTAATTTAATATCTGCTTTCCCCATGATGCTTGTCTGTATCTACTGCTAGAAGGTTGGATCCGTGTGCCTCATCTAGGTCTTGAGCTCTGTGCAGAGGACTTTTTACCCGATATTCACTTACTATTCTTTCCCACAACTCCTCTCACATAGAGAAACTAAAGCATCAAATTATGCAAATTGAAAAGGATACAGGTTCAACTCAGATCCCCTGGTTTCTGTACTGGGGGTGATGGGGCATATGTATACTGTGAGACTTGTTTCAGCCGCCATTCATTGGGGCCTGCATCCTGTTGGAGTTTGCTTTCTTTTCTTTCTTTCTTTCTTTTTTTTTTTCATGACTCACACTTATTTGTTTTTGTTTTTAATCTGTGAATGGATAAACTATTTTTACATGTTCTTTGCATTTTGAAACAGATTTTTAATTATACATTTTCAACTGTTTTAATGTGAACATATGAGCAGCTACTGCAAGTGCAGATAAATGTACCATGTTTCCAATTGTTTGTCACAATATTTGCTTTTTGCAAAACATTCTGGGGATATGGTCTCCCACATCCACATTTTGTAGGCTGTTTTGGAATTTCTGCCAACGCCGTGGCCACTGTTGTGAAAGCCGAGAAAGAAAGGGTCTGGAGCTTGCACAGTCATTGTCTGGGGTGGGTGGGTTTTACATTATGTCACAATATCTCTGCCCAAGCTGCGTGTACAGCAGAAATGGAGGTCTGATAGATAGAAGGCATCAAATAAACCAACGAATGATGTCCAAGGGGTGGGCTGGGCATTTGTTCATTCATTCATGCATTCATTCATTTACTCAACAAATCATTCTTGCATAGCTGCTATGTGCCTGGCAGTCCAGCTTAGGCCTAGGTTTTTAGGTGGTGAACATCCACACCTAGAAACAAGCACTGACCAGGGGATTTGGGATCTGGCTAATCCTGAGTCATTATCTAAATGATGTGGTATGCAGAAAGGCTGATAGATACACAGAGTGGAGGTCCGAGGCCTAGAATCTTGTGCATGAATGAGGAGTGGTCCTTAGACCTTCCCGTCTATCCCAAGGAGGGAGGAGTACTCCACTATGCCCAGGCAGAATTTTAAGGCATGTGATAGATTACACGGTGGTCAGGAAAATATTTCCTTCTTCCCTCCCTCCTTTCCATGTCCATGAGAGAGGTATACTTACCTGCTCCATTGAACTAGACTATGCCATGTGTCTTGCTTTGGACTGATGAAGGGCAGAATATACCCCTGCATTCACGGTCAGGGCCCACATACAAGGTACGAGGTGATATTTCCAGCCTGGTATTCGGAATCACACAGGGATTCAGCACCTAAGGGATAGACTCACCTTATACAGCTCAAGGCCACACTTGATCATGCCACCTCTATTTGGACTGCCTGTGGCGAGGGCCATTCTACCTTCCCAGGACTTGCCATCGTGGGCATCTGCAGGCATTCTATTTGGACTAAACTCCTCCCAGATACCCCAGAAGCTGGATCATGACTCCAGACATGTAGGCAGAGTCCTTCCTCCCACACCCTTGTCTTCTCAAAGCACTAACTCTACTCAAACTTTTGAGGTCAGTTTCCTCCAGGAAGCTTTCCATGAATTCCCTGATGAGACACATCTCTCCATATGTATTTATTTAGCATCTCTCAATCTTAGCACTTGTTTGGGAGATTATTCAATATAAATATAACATATAACATTATATTTTATTCATAATATAATTATATGATAAGGTCCATCTCCCCTACAATATTATAAACTCCATGAAGGCAGGGGCTAAGTCCCTTTTTGTTCACTATTTTATTCCTAATACCTGATAGAATAGTTTTCATATAGAAGACGATCAATAAATACTAGATGAATAAAGAAACTTTTAGTTTGGTGATGTGTATTATCTTACTAATTTTATCCTCACTGCAGGGTCTCAGAAAGAGCAGCAAGGGGCAATAACGACAACGACAGCCACGACAGTAAGTGCTACTTACTGAGCTCTTGCTATATGCTGAGCAGTGAGCTCAGCACTTTCCAGGCATTAGCTCATTTAATATTCACAATGGCCCCACAAATTAGGTTCTTCTATAATCCTCATTTTACAGATGTGGAAATTGGGGCTGAGAGAAGTTCAGCCACTTACCCAAAGTCACACAGCCAGGATGTGGTGAGGCCAGGCTGAGAACAATGAGATTCCATGTTAGTTTCCTATTGCTGCTGTGACAAATTGCTAAGTGGCTTAAAACAATGCAAATTTATAATCTTACAGTCTGGAGATCAGCAGTCAGAATAGGTCTTCCTGGATTTGTTTCATGGTGTTGGCAGGGCTGCACCCTTTGTTTTCTTGCCTTTTCCAGCTTCTGGAGCCCACCTGCACCTTCAGTGCCATCTTCAATGCCAGCTGACTAATAGCATTTTCATCTCTCTCCCTGGCCCTCTTCTAAGGACCTTGCAATGACATTGCAATCACTCTCACTCACTCCCCCCATCTCAATATCTTTAATCATATCTACAGAGTCCCCTTTGTCATGTACGGTTTTGGGGATTAGGACGAGGACATCTTCTGCCATGGCTTCCTCTGCTGTGCTGCCTTCCTTTTAGATTCTTCTTTGATTGCCTCAAACAAACTCCAAAGGCCCACCCCCCTCTTTCTGTCTAGGTCCATTAGACTTAACTCTCAGAGAAGGAACCCTCAAACCTATGGATAGGATGCGTCAGAGGTCTCAGGGCATTCTCTACCCCTTCCTTGGGAGCAGGGAGGCAGGTGGTGAAACCAAAAGGCAGTGGCTCTCTCTTCTGTATCAGCAAAGCGGTGAGGCCCCAGTCCTAGGACTGCAGATTCCTCTCTAGGCCAAGCAGATCCTCAAGGTAACGTTTGATATTTGCTGGCTGGCCTCCTGGGCTGTGCATCTTCAAGTGTAATTTAGGACAATTAAAATAAAGCATTAGCAAGCCGTGTTTCCCCCGCAATGACAAGTCTCTAGCATTGTGTCTGAGCAGCTGGGTCCCTTGATCCATCAGAGGCAGCCGATGCCAGCCTCTGAGCTCATGGCTGATCTCCCACGTGGAATGAATTAACATGGCAGATATAATTTACCCGGGTCAACGTGCTTCACCCAGCAGATCCATCTCGGTTCAGGCTCGGGGAAGGCTGACTGGAGCCACCTGCTTGCCTGGCCTTAGAGACCTTGTCTGGGCCTGTCTGCCCACCCCACCCAGCCTCTGCTTCTAGCTAAGAATCCGCCTCTCCTGCCTAATCACCAGGGGGAGGGGAACACAATCAACTTGGGTGTAAAATTCTAAAGTCCTCTGGAAAATGCAATTGGAACATAATCCTGCCTGTTAACATTTCCTAGTTAATTATCTTCGGCTGTATTTTTGGCATCAGGGCTGAGCTGGCTGTGGCGGGGGGGTAGGGTGGGATCTTCGTCACAATACCAGTTTTAGGAGTCGTTTATCTTGTCTTTTAGACTAATTATCCCAAACTCACCACTAGGCTGTCACACTTACATGCTCCAATAAATGTAGTTTTAAATCAGCCGCTGACTTTGCGGCAGGGGTAGCAGCGTCCCTGGTTCGTGTCTAACTAGGGCCATCCATCTGTAATCATGGCACTGAGGGGAGGTGCCACTGCTCGGGCCTCCATGAATGATCATGCTTATTTATATGCAAATACGTTTGACAAATCAATAATGTATGATTTAGCTGTTCAGTGTGTGTTAGTACTCGGTCTGGCTATTCCAGGTGGGGGTTCCATGGAGGGTCTCTTGTGGCCCCTGCCCCACCCCACCAGGCCTTTGCTTACAGCTGCCCTTCCCAGCTGCCTCTGGCTTCCAAGCTTTCCAAGTTTTTCTCTGTTCAGATCAAGGAACTTACCCTTGGGAGTGTCATTGTCCCTATCTGAGGCTCTGCCCCAGTTAGGACTTTGTCCCGTTCCTAGACTTAGCATATTAATTTGGCAAATATTTCTTGAACACCTACCATTTTATCTCTAGCTACATCTACCTATATCTACGTATAAAACAAACCCTTATATAGCACTTCCTATGTTCCAGCACTGTTCTTGAGTGCTTTACCCATAGTACCATTTAATCCTCCTAATGAGATTGCTACTTTTTTTTTTTTGAGACAGAATTTCACTTTTGTTGCCCAAGCCGGAGTGCAATGGCGTTATTTTGGCTCACTGCAACCTCCGCCTTGCAGGTTCTACTGCTTCTCCTGCCTCAGCCTCCCGAGTAACTGGGATTACATGCGCTTGCCACCACACCTGGCTAATTTTTGTATTTTTAGTAGAGATGGGGTTTCACCATGTTGGCCAGCTGGTCTGGAACTCAAGTGATCCACCTGTCTCGGCCTCCCAAAGTGCTGGGATTACAGGTGTGAGCCACTGCGCCCAGCCATGGGATCGCTACTATTATTGGCCCCATTTACAGAGGGGAAAACTGAGACACTGTGTTGTCCAAATTGTCTCTCTACAGTTAGATAGCACCAGCTCTGGGATTCAGACCCAGGAAGCCTGGCCCAGACTCTTTGCTTTTATCTGCTGGGTTTTATTGTCAAGTGCTGTGCTGGTGCTGGAGCTACAGAAGTAAAGAAGGCAGGCAGTTCCTGACCTCATAGAGTGTTCATTCTGGGGGAAAAAGAGCAAGAAGAAAATATAAAGCAATACAAAACAACAACAACAAAACCTATAAAGTACACAACTAGCTAAATAAAATATACAAGTTGTAATAATTTCTAGGAATGAAAATGACAGCATGATGGGAATGAGAATGGTGGAGTCAGAAAACTCACCGGGTTTAGCACTGCGCTGTCAGAGGGATGGTCCATCCACAAGCGGGGAATGAGTCTGGCTTTGCCCACTCCTTGGGGCTTCCAATGTGGTGGAGGCAGTAAGACCCTCAGGAGCAGAATCTCAGGTAGTGTTGAAAAGTAGGGGAGAAGGTTTGTAGTAAGAAGGGGGTGAAGGGATCCCAGGTCCTGGAGAGAAGATCTTTGACACAGATGGAGGCCTCATTCACTGCACTAGACTTTACTGAGTGGATACATGTGTCAGATGTCTTTTCTCAGTCAACACCCCCAACAACCTTATGAGGCTGGTGCTACTATTATTCTTACTTTACAGATGAGAAAATGGAGGCCCACTGATTGTTACCCATGGAGGGTAAGTGATTTGCCCAAGATCATATAAGCCAGCAAGTGAGTGGGGGGCTGACCTTTGAGACAGATCTGCTGCCTCTGGTGACCTCTCTCCAGTTCTCTAGCTCTGACTCTAACATTAACTTAACTCTAACCCTAAACTGAATCCTCTCTAGAGTACAGTATATCCCAGGGCTCACTTGGGGTTCTGTTTTCATCTCTCCAGAGCATTATCTCAAACCTACCCAGACTCGCCCACTATTGAAGGGATGTAACAGACTTGAGGCCCACCACACCCACAGGGCTATCTTCTCCTTTCACCCTCCAAAGGCTCCCCAGTGCCCTCAGGATGAAGCCTGGTATTCAAAGCCCCTTCTAAGCTCTAGCCAAATGGAACCCTGTGTTTTAGTTGCCTGGCTTCCCATGCACCAAGCTCAGGGCCATTGCACAGGTTGTTCCCTCTGCTGAACACTCTTCCCTCTTCCTCTTTGCTGAGATAGTTTTATTTTTTCATCTCTAATCAGATATCATTTCCTCAAGGATGCCTTCCTAGGTTCCCTTATACCAGACCAGCTGCCCCTCCTTACACCTCTACTTGCCGCATGTGTACCCATCCTCCAAGATGGTCCCCAATGATTCCTGCTCCTGTAGTCATGCTTTGTAGTGCCCTCCTATATTTATTGGGTTTATCCATGTGACAAACAAAATGCGAATGAAGTGATGGATTGTGCCTTCTGTGGGTAGGTCATAAAAGACATTGCTGCTTCCACTTCTTTCTCTTGGATAATTTGCTTGGAAAAGTCAGCTGCCATATTGTGAGGGAACTCAAGCAGCTCTATGGAGAGGTCAGTATGGTGAGGAACTGAGGCCTTCTGCCAACAACCCACAGCATCTTTCCACACATGTGAGTAAACTGCTTTGGAGTGGGATCCATCAGCTCAGTATAGCCTTTGGAAGACAGCAGCCCTGGCCGATATACTGACTGCAACCTTATGAGAATTCCCAAGCAAAAATCACGCAGTTATATCGCTTCTAAATTCCTGACTCGCAGGAACTGTGTTTGAGGCTGTGTCTATTGTTTTAAGCTGCTAAGTTTTGGGGTAGTTTGTTAAGCAGTCGTAAACACCTAGTACACCCAATCATTACGGTTCCCCATTTTCTTTTCTTTTTTTTTCTCACTCAACTGGAAGGTATATGAAGATGGGGGCTGTGTCTTTTTCATAGTTGTATCCTCATTACTTAGCTAGAAGCCTAGCACATGGCAGAGGATCAGAAGATAATTTTTTTTTTTTTGAGACAGGGTCTCACTGTGTCACCCAGGCTGGAGTGCAGGGCACAATCCTAGCTCACTGTAGCCTTGAACTCCTGGGCTTAAGCTATCCTTCCTCCTGAGCCTCCCAAGTAGCTGAAACTACAGGCATGCGCCACTGTGCCAGATCATTTAAAAATTTTTATTGTATAGATGGCCAGGTCTTGCTGTGTGCCTAGAATGGGCTTGAACTCCTGGCTTCAAGCCTCCCAAAATGCTAGGATCCTCTGGCCTCAGCCTTCCAAAATGCTGGGATTACAGGCATGAGCCACCTCATCCAGTGAGAAAATAATTATTAAGTGAATGACTCCTGTCAGTCCCTTTGAAGGGAGAAGGGGCTGGGCTGGGATTCCTGATTCATCTTCCAGCAAATTCTCAGAAAGGATGGGGCCCTTTCTCGATGGACTATGCTGTTTTCCACTGCATACTAACTTCTGTTCCATCCACATGACTTGGAAAGTCAGCGTGTGATGGCTTGAACAAACTCCCTTCTCTGCAGAAGTTTCTGGGAACCAGAAGGTACAGGCAGGAAGCAGATATTTTGCTGACTTGAAAAAGCACCAGCAGGCTGTGTCCAGATGATAGGGGGCTCATCAATTCCAGTTAGTGGCTCCCCTCCTGGCTTGGGGGATTATTCTTGCCTCGTCTCCTGGACTATTAATGCCAGTTCTCTCTTACACACATGGCCAGACCTAACTCTGGGCTGGGGACATTCGCTTCCTGTGGGGCTCATGGCCATGAAATATTCAGTGCCAGCCACTTCCCCTCTCATATTTCTTCATATTCAGAGTGGCCACTCAATTGATATGTAAATAAAGTGCACCAGCACTGAGCCTGTTCCACACTGCATTATTTAAGCTGCAAAACGATGCATCATCCGTCATGGGGCCCATTGGCGGGACCCTGCTGGGCGCCGGGCAATAAAGCCCACAAGAGCCTCATCAGAAGCAGCGGGTGGCCTAGTGGAAGTTCATTTATGCATGAAATATTCAGCCAGCAACAGTGCCAGCCTTAAACATCAGTAATTGGGGGGTTTCTATTGCTCCTAACTAGAGCCTCTAAATTATTGCAAAAGACTGGCCAATTTACAAATTACATATATTTGTCATGCTCTTGTACCTTTCCTGAACTAACTGAAATGGCCCCTGTGCTGTGGTTGTTTGCATACTCGCCATGGTGAGCTGTGCCCAGCAGAGCCGGGCTCCTCTGCAGAGCAGAACAGGGTGGAAGCTGCACCCAGCCCAGGAAGCCCCGTGTTGCCCATCCATCTCACTGCCGTGATTGCCGGCAGTGCCCCCTTTCTGGCCTTCTTAGTGGGGCCTCCTTGGTTCAGAGGCCAAGTGTCTGAAGCCCAGGGGCCAAATATTCCCCAGGGCTATCCTGAGAAGGGTTGGCTCTGATGTCTGCCCTTGTGGGGACTTGCCTAGTTCTGTGAGGTCAATTTCTCATTCAACAAATGTTTATGGAACATCTTCTCTGTTCCAGGCTCTGTGTGAGAAGTTGGGGTACAACAATGAACTAAAAGAGGGGTTGATCCAGCCTTGGATCAGCAAGTTTAGTAGCTTACAATCCCACTTAGATTACTAAATAGTTATCAAGCACTATCCTAAGTTGGAGTCCCCCTAGGCAAATTTTGAGACAGGATTCTGGATTGGGATGTGATCTCATGAAACAGTAGAGGAGACCAGAGGGGTGGGATGGGGAAGGGAAGAAAGTTAATACAGAAAGTGTTAGCCAGCAGGGCAACTGAGACTCAGTCCCACAAGGGCCTTCTGAGAGAGTGGAGAACATATCTCAAAGTTATTCCATTTGGGGGGTCAGGGAGCTGGGGTATTTATCCCATAACTCCTGTCAGTCCCTTTGAAGTACATTTCAGAGAGGCTTCCCCGGCTGTGGAGTGAGAGGGACACCAATGGAGGCAGTTTTCTTGGCACCTTCCCCAGTATCACCACTGGAAACTGGCAGCATCTTGCAACCATCTGGAAAGGGAGTTTTCATTTTTCTCTCTGAATTCTGGCACAGCCCCTGTGTGTGCAGGGCCTTGAGGTGTGCTGGGACAGAAGGCAAGGATGCCCCTGGGGAGGGACAGCCCAACCTGCCCAGGGGGCTGTGGACTTTTCAGGCAAAATGGCTCTTGCCTCAGTTGAGTAGCTGCCCGCATTGGGTGAAGGTGAGAAGGAAGGAGGAAGGAAGAGGGAAGGCACTAATCTCATGACCATTTACAAACCATTGCTGATGATCTCAAGAATGCCTTTCCTCTGGCACCTCTCAGCCTTCAGTCTTGGTAAAGTTTCACCTTCTCAGAGAGGTCTTCCCTGACCACCCATCCAAGTACGATCACCACCCCTTATTCTTTGTCATCTTCTGCCATTGTTTCATCCACAGCACTTACCACTTACCACAGTCTGTAATGCTCTCAGTTACTTATCTGCTTGTTTTTGTTGTCTTCTCCCACTAGGTGGTAAGTTCCAGGATGGAGGGACCATATTTGTTTCATTCACTGCTCTCCCCACAGGGACTCATCCAGCGTGTAGCTCACAGAGGGTCCTCAGTAAATGCTGTTGGGTGAGTGAGTGAGTAAAGGAAGGCTGTAAGATAGGTATTGTCACAGATGGGGATAATGAGGCCAAGAGACTCAGAAGGAATTGTCCAAGTGGTGGAACCAGGGCTGGAACCCACATCTTGACCCCTGATGTGCTCCAGCAATAACTTCCTCCCGCCCCTTTTCCCAACCCCTGGCATTTCACCACTCAATTTTCAGCATTATCCTCTTCCAAATCAAGTCTAGGGAACCTTGAGGCCAAAAGCAGCCTTGAGATACAAAGGAGGCAAGATTCCAAAAGTTGCATTGCCCATGTATGAAACAGCAGGAAGGGGTGGGCTGAAGGCTCCATTCTCCTGGTGGCTGTACCTGGCAGGTCCAGGGAGAGGTTGCATGTCTGGAAGCTCTGTTTCCTGCCACTCCAGGGACAGATGTCAGGTATTGCTTCCCAGGTCTCAGCTACCAAGAGAATTCAAGCTCTTGAGCAGGAGAAAATACCTAGAAAACCCTTCAGGGCCAAGGCCCTTTCCTGCTAAGCACCTCAGAGGCATTTCCTGTGCTAGTAGTGACCCTTTCTTTGTTGCTCTTTGCAATGGACTGGAAGTTTTTATTCTGCTTTTGAAAAATGAGACAGGTAAGTCCCAGCAAGATTAGGTAATTTTTAAAAACTTGAAAACTTGGCAATGTCAGATTTATAGGAAAGTTCTAAAAATAATTAAAATAATTGCTATTTACCCTGTACCCAGATTTCCTCAAAGTTAACATAGTACCACATTTATTTTATCTATGTGTATGTGCATATATATTTTTTTCTGAACTGTTTGACAGTAAGTGTGGACATAATGCCACTTTGCCTCTAAATATGTCAGTATGCATTCTCTAAAAACAAGGATATTCTTTTACATAACCATAATCACAGTAGAATTTTCAAAATCAAGAAATTTGCATTTATACAGCACTATAATTTATAGACCTATATTAATTGTGCCAGTTGTCCCACCAATGTAGATTGAGGGGACAAGTAGTGCTGAAGGAGCAGCACTAGGCAGGGGTTGAGGTTAAGGAGAACTCGTTCTAATCCTGCCTTCTTTCCTGTTTAATCTGAGGACTTTGAATAAATAATGTATTTCATCCTACCCTTGTTCTTTTCCTCTATAGCATGGAAGTGATAATAGAACTTTTCTTACAAGATTGTTTCAGAATTAAATGAGATAATCCATGCAAACTCTTACCCCTGCAACTGGCAGCCAATAAACATGCAATAAATTATAGTTTTTGCTATTAGTGGTACAGGAATGCCTAGTTGTATAATGTTATGTGTTATGACAATGGGATTTGACACTGCCTCTGCCTTCTCCAGGGTTGTGATGATGAATAGGCTTGTCTCTACTTCTGGGTCCACTCCCGATTTGTCTGCTCCCTCTACCAGAGGACAGCTGCAACAGGTGCCATTGGTGTCCCATGACACATACCTTTGTCCCATCTCTGACTTCTGCTTCAGTTGCATCTATGGTGGGGTAGGGGAGCTCCCATGTACACTGACAAGGTCCCATTTTAAATGCTTCCTGTATTTCTGAGCTCTCCTTTTTTAGGTCTTGCTCTAAAGCTTGGGGAATCTTCCTGATCCCCTCCCCAGGTGCAATCTGGAAGTGTAGGAGAGAAAACATCCCTAGTGGGCAACCCTCAGGAGTCCTGAGTAGATGCCCAGCCTCCCACCCTTTGGAGGGACAAGTCTGAGTACCTTATCACAATTCTCCAGAAAGTCCTCTGTGGAAATGAGCTCCAATTTCCCACAGTGGTAACCAGCTCAATCACTCACCTTGCGTTGGCTCTCTATCCTTCTCTGACTGTCTCCATTCCTCACTGCAGGGATCGCCTCCCAAATAAACTACTTGCATATAAGTTCTTGTCTTAGATTCTGCTTTTGGGGAAACTCAACTTAAGACAACAGCCTTTTGGAGCTTCGAAAATATCTACTAAGTCCCTTGTTCCTTCAACCCAGCTTTCAGGCCCAGGCTCATTGATCCTGTTCCTCAGACCCTCCTTCCTTCTGTTTTTCCTTGTCCTCTGGATGCCTCATGGTGACAGAGGAGTGCTGCACCCAGGTCGGGCCCTGCCATCATATCTCCCTCCAGAATACCACTGGACTTCACACCTGCTCTCTAACCTTGAGACCACGACCCTAGCTCAGGCCTCATCACCTCCTGGGAGGACTGTTGAAACAGTGTCCTAACTGCCTCCCTTCCTTCCTTGAATCTCTCCACTTCCATCTATTTGACCTGCAGGATGAAGCCTCATTCTGAAGCCTGGCACACAATGTTCTGGCCATCTTCTTTAGTCTCTCCTACTTCTTTGCTGGTTCTGTGTCCTCCAGGACTTCCAAGTTCTTTCAACTCCCAAACACATCAGGCTATCTCATGCTCCATGCCTTTCCACGTGCTGTTCCCTCTGCCAGGAAAATGCATCTACCCAGTGGGCTTGAGAAATTCCTATTTATCTTCAAGTTTCACCTCAAGCATCCCTGCCTCTTGAAAGCCCCAGAGCATGTCTCTCTCTCCTGTTTATTTATAACACAACATTTGCTGCCCTGAGCTGAAATTGCTCTTTATTTATCTAGACTGGAACTCCTTGAGGGCAGGCCTGAGTCTCATTCACACTGCATTCCTCAAGCTTAATACAGCACTTAGCTCAGATGCACACCTGGGAGATGTCTGTAGAGTGAATTAGAATCACGGTCTTTTTGACTCAGCTCAAAGATCTAGGATCCTTTTATTCAGGCTCACATGCCTAAGTTTTATATTCATTGGTTTACTAAGAGGTCTGGGGGCTGGGAAGCCCTGTAACATGAAAGGGAATCTCAGTAACATTGGTCTGATTTGAACAGAATCATTGATTGTCATTTTCCACCTCCCGTATTTCCCCAGTCTCCAAGTTTGTTCCATTTAGACTGACCTGGCCAACAACCAAGGTGCCTGCTTCTCTTCAATTCCTAAGCTTCCCAAACAAACTTCCCATTAATGCTTGTCTGATGCAAATGTCAAGTGGTCTTATGTGGATGCTATTAAAATAATGAATGCAGAAGGGGATAGATGAACATGGCTGGGAATCGATCTTGGACCCCTGATGAGATCATTAAGAACTGGGGGAATGGAGAGGGGCATCACTCTCACAGGTTGAAATTTCACTAGTGCCTCTTTCTCCCCTCCATCAACTCCTTTCCCCCTTCCCATCCCCCTGTTGATTTATGAGCTGGACTCCCCCCACTCCCCCATCCATTACCCTCAATGCAGGGCTAACTCACCATGGAAAATCTATTTGTGTCAAATGGAATTTTTATCTTTGTCTAGGAATTAATGCATTTTGTAAAAAGATGTTTTAATCATGCTTTCCTTATGGCAAACATTATTGCATGAAAAAAAATATCTGCCCCAAAGACTCATGGTGGTGTTGTGTAGAAAGTGTGCCTTGAGGCAGGGCACAGTGGCTTGTGCCTGTAATTCTAGCACTTTGGGAGGCCGAGGTGGGTGGATCACTTGAGCTCAAGAGTTCGAGACCAGCCTGGGCAATGTGGTGAAATCCTGTCTCTACAAAAAAAAAAAAAAAAAAAAAAATTTCCAGGCTTGGTGGTGCTTGCCTGTAGTCCCAGCTACTTGGGGAGCTGAGGCAGGAGGATCACTTGAGCCTGGGAGGCAGAGTACAGTGAGCTGAGATGATGCCACTGCACTCCAGCCTGGGCGACAGAGCGAAACCCTGTCTTGAAAAAACAAAAAACCAAAAAACAAAAAACCAAAAAACAAAACACAAAAATGTGCCTTGGCTCCTTGATGGGGGCCACTTGGCAAGGCATCTAGACTTGACCATACCTGAGGACTATATATTGTAGGGGAAGGAAGTTGCATGGAGGAGGTTTTGGCTGGGTGATGGAGAGGGGCATGGAGGGTTCCTTGGACTCAAGAGCAATTGCCTCTATTATTATTGTCCATCATTCATCTTGGAATTAAGTTCTCATATCCCAGTAAAATAAAAAAGATTTTAATTCGGATGATTTGATTCAGTTTGTAAAAGGTTGAGGAAGGAGCGTGACATGGGGATAAGAACCACACCTGCACAGGTCCCAATTCCAGCTGCATTACTTCCTGGATGTGTGGTGATGACTCCCTGGGCTGCAGTAAAAATGGGAATTACTCTAGTTACTAACTCCCTGCAGTACTATGAGGCTCGAGTGAACAAACATGCATGGAATTGTGCAGCTCATATCTGGCACATAGCAAGCCTTCAAAAATGCTAATTTTCCTATATTCCTTTCTTCCTTCCTCACTTGAGGCCACTGGACATTAAGTTTTAACATTGCCATTTAGAGCAGTCAGGCACACAGTAGGTGCTCTCTAAATATATGTTGAGTGAAAAATCAACTATCTCTTTGGCTTATGGAGATAAAAATTCTGCCAAACAGAGCTTCCAAAGTGAGTTGTAGATTTGCTATTCTCTCTGCAGCCTACCTGGAATTTTTTTCCTGTTCAATCACTTCTTTTTAAAAAAATCTTGCTTAAATTTATTTCTTTTGTTATCTGATTTTTTTGCTTTTATTTCCTTGTTTGCTCATTGCCTGCCTTTTCCACTATGTTATAAGCTTCATGGTGTCCCATTTCTTTTCCACATACCATTGTAACCCTGGAACTTGGCACCTAGTAGATACTCAATAAAATATTTGTTGAGCATATTTATACATACATGAATAAGTGGAATAAATGGAATTGCTTTCTTCTTTGTTGATCCCTGCCTGGTTGTATAGGTGCCAGGAAAGCAATACTGGGCTATTCCATTTCCAGAATGGTTTGTACAAAGGACTTCAAACTGTAGCCAAAGGAGTGGGTGTGGTTGTGGGGGACACTAGTGAGAAGAGGTGCATTTTGATCCAATGTAAGATCTCCGAACACTGCAAAAAATGCTCCTCTCTACTCTCCTTTGATCTGGGTGAAGGGGTGATTTGGATAACAAAGATCAGCTTGCAATAGGGAAATAGACTCTACCTCTTTAATGAGAGGAACTGCAAAGTCATAAGGCAAAGGGATGGGAAGGCATGGGAAAGCACAGGGATGCGACATGATTCATCTATTACAGCATATCCTGATCCTATATAATAAGGCAGGTGATTTAAAAAGGGTGGTGGTGGGAGGCATTTCTGAGGATGTGACATTTCAATTGAGCTATGCAGGGTAAGTAGGAATCAGCTAAGTAAAGAGAGATGGAGAACATTCCAGGCTGAGAGCATGTGCTCTCTGAGCTCTGAGGTGGGAATGAACTGGATAGAACCAAGAAACTAAAAACAGGCCAGCATGGCTGGAACATGGAGGGAAAGGCTTTAGGTTGAGATGATGTGGAGGGGAGGGTAGAGGCCAGCCGAGCTTGCTCCAGAGCAAACCCTGCTGCAGCAGAAGCTTTATTTGAAACAATAATTATAGCTCTAATTCATAAGGACTCTAGCTAATTGAGCATCTACTATGAGATAAGCCTGGGTGGGTAGGACTCACAGAAAAATGGGGAAGTAGGTGACATGGGTAAGTGACCTCACACATTGAGGAGTGTGATGAACCTAAGTTCAGAGAGCCCTGTGGGTCTTACATAGGGAGCAGGGGTGGGGGCCAGGAGCCAGTGGGGAGAAGGGTGAGCAGAGGTGCCAGATGATGAGGAAAGAGGGTCTTCCCCATGGAAGGAAGGCTCTGAGTGGCCCAGGTTTGTGCAATGAACCACCCAAGGGTCTGCATGGCTGGAATGCAGGGGGTTGTTAGGGCAGGAGCTGGGGCACACCTGAGGGGTTTGGGCTTTATGTTGAGGGCTCGGAGAGCCCCTGTGGCATCTGAGGTGTGGACAGAGTGGAGTTTGGATTTTACAGAAGGACCACTCCCATCGTGTATGTGGAGTTTAGGGTGGGGACTTGGAGCTGCTGCAGGAGTCCACACAAATGTGAAAAAGACCCAGGCAACAGCAATGGTGAGAGCGGTGCAGGCCGGGGAGGGGAGGTGTGAGTTCTCTCAGGCCCTGAGGGAGCCCAGAGGAGATTCAGTCTAGGGCGATGGAGGGATGGAAGGGGTTGTGGAGGCTGGAGGGGCTCTCCGGGAACTTTAGAGAAGTGGGAGTGGGCAGAACCTTCCTCTCTCGTTCTTGGTCTCAGCCTCAGATAACTGATGGAAGAGAGTTTCCTAGTTCAGTCCATGACAGTACAAAAGTGAGAAGGGGATGATGGGAGGACCAGAGTGTAGAGGAGGATAAAGGAGCCATGGAAGCCACCCTAGGCAGGGTCCTTTCTGCATGGCATCTAAGACAGGGAAGGGGCTTGAGGAGTTGAGGGGACCCTCAACTCCTGCTCTGTGAGGTTGGGCCAGTCAATCCTCCACCTCTCTGAGCCTGAGTTTCCTCCTCTACAAAATGGGTATTCATGATATTATTTACCTTTTTCCAAGATTTTGGGGAGAGGATGATGGAATAGTGCATGTGGAATACATAGCACAGCACAGAGGCCGGTGGTGGATGTCATCTAGAAATGCCAGTAGGGCTGCTGCACTGTGCAGCCCCAGGGAACATCTTTTATATGGAATACAAGGTGAATGCTGCCTTCTGAACTACACAATCCAGACAATGAGGATTGGAGGCATGACCTTTAGGGCTAGGTGGCTTTGTGGTAGTCAGTCTTATGGGGTAGGGTCTGGAAGGAGGCATGGCATTTGGAGGGCTACTGTCCCATCCCCACACTGCCCTCCCATTCTCGTAGGAGCTGCCCATCTGTCAAGGACTCAGACTATCAGGCAAGCTGGTGAGGGGGCCTGCAGGCAAGGAATGCTTCCTCTGACAGGGGAGTCCTTCACTGTCGGCGGCTTCACCTCGGTGGGTTAATAAAGCCATCCATCACCCTTCTCCATGCCAGGTATCTAAATGCCTGCTTAATACCACCCTGGGGGGTGGGAGTCTGCATCAGGGATGCTCAGCACCTGGGGGCCAGGGTGCTGGTATGTCAGGAACTGCCTCGTGGTTTGGAGCCTTGGTGCAATCCAGATGCAAACTCAGCTCAGGGTCTCCCTCTGCCTGGTTGGCTTGGGTATGGGATCACGCAGCTTGGGAGGCTGTGATCTGACAAACAGCACCGGAGCACACTTGGAGTAGACACACTGAAGTTCCTGTTTGCCATTTTACTGCTTGCAGAGGACAGATGTCAGAGTAGAAACAGGTATTTGCTACCCAGAACTTCCACGCTGCTGTCCCATGCATCTGCCTCTGACACAGGGTCGGAATGTGCAGGCTTCATGAGAGCACCACTAAGCACACACGTCTGGCTGTTCAGAGAAAGACGTTTGAAAACCACTGGTAGTTGCTTTGATGCCTGTGGGAGTTTAATGAGTTTGGGCTCCTGGAGAGGAAGTGAGCATCAATCAAACTCTTGTTTATTGAGCACTCACTATGTGCACTTCTTTGCCTTTACTATGCTAGGAACTGGGTGCAATTATTATTGCCATTGCGCAGATGGCAAGACTGAGGTCCAAAGAAGTGAGTTGTGTATGATAACACAGCAAGAAAACACAGAGCTGTAATTTGAACCCAGGTTCATCAGACTCTGGAGCCTCACTCTTATCTGGGCACAGTTTGCTGGCTTCACAGGCTAAGTAATCACCTTCGCAGTGTACCTAAAATCCTCCCAACAACTCCGTCAATCAGTGTTATTGCCTCTATTTTATCTGTGAAGAGAAGGAAGTTCAAAGAGGTGGTGGGAGCAGTGCAAGGTCACAGGGCCAGGAAGCTCAGAGCTGGGATTCAACACAGTTCTATATGACTCCCAACCTGTATTATTACTTTTTCCCCACGAGGATAGTGTGTTTTCAAACCTTTTAAGCCACAAACCCCTCCTTCCTCCAAAAAAAGAAATCTGATGTGGGATTCTGACATAAAGGGCAGATGAAAGAGGGCACCACTCTGGTTAAGTGGGGACCCTGTTCTGGTTATATATTGCTACATAACAAATCATCCCAAAGTGTAGGGGCCTAAAACACAACACTCATTTATAATCTGTCAAAGTTTTGTGAATCAGGAACTTGGATGGGGCACAGTGGGGATAGGTTGCCTCTGCTCCATGATGTCTGTTGGAAGACTGGAAGATGGGCTGGAATCACTCACAGGTATGGCAGAAGGTGCTGGCTGTCAGTTCTCCTTCATAGGGTCTCTCTGTGTGAGCTAGTTGGGCTTCCTCACAGCATGGTGGTTGGGTTGTAATGGCACAGGTAGAAGCATTGCCTTTCACAACCTGGCCCTGGAAGTCATGTGATATCACTTCCCATCTAGGTTTAAGAGTAGTGGAAAAATACTGGATGAGTGCATGGGGCTGAAAGTATTGCTGGGCTAGGAATGAACATACCTGGTCGGGGGGCTCAGGAGTGCTGAGGAGCTTCTCCCTCAGTTAGTCCTCACATTCTGGCCCTCCCGGTTTACCTCTCTGCAACTCCTAGTACCTTTCAGCTGTTTCCTGCTTTGCGGTGGGGATAGAAGCTTCTGCTTGGTTGGGCCCCTTTCTCCTCCTGGTGGGACCCCCTCCTGGCCAGCTCAAAATTAGCCCCCATCTCCAGCTCCTTCAGGGACCTCACAGGCCCAATCCGTCCACCTCCCTCTTACTCAATTTTTGACCAGCTGCTGTATTAGTTGAGATAATTCTGTCAATGCATGCCTTTTGTACCCAGAACGTGCCTGGTAAATTTGTTAAAGAATACCCCAGGCTAACACATCATTACACTTCCAAACTCATCTATCTTTTACTCCGGATTAATTCCTTTTTTCCCTCTCTCTTCACCTCCTCCATAAATCCTGGTGCACTTAATTAATTTCAGTTCCACTATAAGATCCATAATACAGAATTGTTCAAGCAAACAGAAAATTAATTATTCTATTTACAGCTTTCTCATTGAGAGGAGCATTTCATCTTTCATAATTACATTTTGGAACGTCCAATTATGAATTCAGGCGCCTGCTGTTTTGCATAAGGGGACAGTCCCCGAGTGTCCTCGAGGTAGAGGAGTCGGGCTGGTGGCCTCTTGTGCCGTCTGCCACTGACTCAGGCACTGCTGGTTCAGTCCCTGAAAGGCCTTTTAAGGAGACATTGAGGGAGGGGCAGGATGGGAAGGTCTGGAAGGGAGTGGAGCCCAGAGATGGGGTGAAGAGAAGGAGGAGGAGGTAAGAAGGGAAGAGGAAGGGTGGGGGATGTGCCAATTTAACTGAGAACCTATCATGATTAAGAGCTTTTCAAAGGGGACGAAACAGACTTCTTCATCTTACCAGGTTGCAGGGAAGATTCCTGCTTTTCTGCAAATCAGTGGTCCAGGCACATGGGCCCCATCTTATGCCTGGACTTTGCTCTGGTCTCAGATGTAAGCCCTGGAAGTCTGGGCTCTCTTCTTTCACTCTGACTTTGGGCCATAGAGGACCACTTTGGTGGCATGAGTCTCACCAAGCCATTGGGATTTCAGCCAGGACACTTTCAGCTTAGTGGGAAAGCCACTCTCTCTCCTCCCTAATGGATGGTCTCCACCTCTCAAAGCTTATGGGCCAGCAACACCTTTTAGATGGGAATGGAACAGACACCAGCTCTCTGTTCAGGGCCCTGCTCCAGATGCCCTGGGGTAGGCTCCAGAAGGCAGCTACTTGACTGCACCATGGTGCTTGACCCACTGGAGTTCTAAGATAGTACAAGAACCCCTGTTTAAAGTTTTTTTTGTTTTGTTTTTAATTATTTTTCATCTGACCCACTTTCAGATAAAATTAACATATTTGTTTAAAAATAAGTCAAATAATTTCTTTAAAAATTTTATTAAAATAAGGTCTGTTTTGTAAAGTAGGTGTGTTCTGCCGATCCCCAGAGGGGAATGGCTTCCTTCTTCCTTACCATCCCCTGCACACCTCACTTCAAAGCCAATGGAATTTCACCTTAACATAAATAGAAGTGTTCATTTTCTTAAAAAAAAAATCTATTGAGTTCCTGCTAAGTGCTAGACATCACACTGGGCACTGTGTGTTAGGGACTTTGTATATGTTGCTTATTTAGCTCTATGACAGCCACCTGATATCCTTCAGCGGGGACTGCCTGACACTCGGGAACCTCATCTCAAACAGGTGTGTGCAAGTGACCATAGGAGAGTTGAGTTCCAGGCCTGAGTGGGCTGTGAAATCTCAGGGAAAAAACTTACACTGTGGATACTGTAAGGTGTAGTGGCAAGAGCTTGACTCTGGGTTCAGACTGCCCATGTTTGAATCCCCACTCTGGTACTTGCCAACTGTGGGATCTTAGGCAAATCACTTAACTTCCCTGTTCCTCAGTTGCCTCATGTGTTAAATTGGGATACTACTACCGCCTCACTGGGCTGTTGTGAGGTTTCTGCAAGATTATGTGTGTAAAATCCTGGCTCATACTGGATGGGTACTCACTTAGTGATTGTGTCTCAGTTTCTCCATCTGTTGAATCTGTAAAGTTTGAGTAGCTAAGTAAGAGTGATGCATTTTGGAAATGAGTGCTCTGCCATCATTCCCAAAGGCTGGTACCTGAGGCATGCAAGGACTTCCAGGGTGGGGCAGGGGTTCACTTGGAGGGATGCGAAAGGCCCTGAGCACCCACTGCCCCTCCACTTACATTTGTATCCTGTCACTCTTGATTAACCCCCTCCAACAGTTTCCCAGTTCACTTAGAATAAAAACATAATATTTCTGGTGGCCTATAAGGCCAACCAGATCCCATTTCTGTCTGCTCTCCAAGTTTCCTACTTCCTACTTTCCTCTTCATTGTCTATGCTCCAGTTACACTGGTCTCTGTTCCTTGGACTGTTGGCATCTTTCCACCTTAGGGTCTTTGCACCAGCCATTCCCCCTGCCATGCACATTCTTTCCCCAGTTCTTAGCATGACTGGCTCAGTTTAAATGTCATCTCTTCAGAGAACCTTCCCTGATCATGCTACCTGTAAAGCAGCCCTTAGCCCACTCCTCCTCCTCACATTACCCTGTTTGTTGTCTTCATAGCCCTAATCATGATCTGAAATATCTTGTTTGTTTTCTTGTGTATTGTCTGTCTTCAAACCCCTAGAATATAAAGACCCAAGGAAGCAGGAGTCATGACTGTCTTGCCCAGTTCTCTATCCCTTGATTTGTGGTGGGTGCACAATAAATATTTTTTAAGTGAACAATTTACCTCCATCTCCAATGCGACTACAGCAAGCCTGGAAAAATGAATATTTAGGAATGTCTTCGTTTGTGATTAGCTGTAGGGGAAATGGACCAAGCTTAATTTTTCCTTTAAATCAATTTTCTGATCTTGAGGAGCCTTCCTTCATCCTAACAGGCCCTCAAGATGGGGGAGAGCCATTGATTTATCTCATAAGTGATTTTTTTCCAGACCTGCCCACACCGAATAATTACTTGCTTTTGTGGGCTGAGAATGTCTTTCTGCTGTTCCACCTGGTAGGTTTGTTTTGTTTGTTAATTAGCTATTAATTGCAAGGGCTCCTGGGATCTGGAGGTGCAGGGGAGGCCCCAGAGGTGGGTCAGGGGGTCTTGGGCAAGCTAGGACCCCAGACTGGAATGAGGGTGACCTCAATGGGCACTGGGCTAATTTATTTCAAATGGTGTCATGTCTGGGTAGTCAGTGAGCTCCCGGGATGATGAGTGATTTTGCTAATTAAGTCCTGTAAACACTACAGCTTAATTTTCAGCAGTGGGGCTGCAGCTGGTGGATGGGAGCTGCTGGCAGCTGCGACAGAGGCTGTCCTTGAAGGAATAGGCCACGGATGGATGGTGGGAAGGCTGAGAGGGAAGAAGGGGTGTTCAAAGGCAGGGACCTCACCGTGGGTGCATTCTTTTCTTCCTCATCCCTTTGTCCCTTTGCTGTCTCTCTAGGCCAGGCCCTGCCCATGGGAATATCCCAGGCTGGTGAAGAGATAATGCCTATAAGTGAATTGAAGGGAGTTTCTGGAACATAATCCCCATGCTCCCATAGGGCCAATCTGGAAACTTCCATCACTGTTTTTCATCTTCCTTGACTTCACCTCCTCTAGACCTCACTTCCATCATCTCTTCCATCTTTAAAGCCTAGATAATTTGTCTCCCAAGCCTTCTACCTCTTGACTTTGCCCATGTTGCTCCATTTCCTCCAGCAGCCCTGCTCCACCCCCACCTACTCTCCCCAGGAAGAACTCAAAAACCAATCGGCAGATCTCCTTGCTGCCTTTCTTGGCCCTACAATTCTTTCTCCACACAGCACCTCGCATGGTCTTTCTATAGTGTACATCTGACCAAGTCACTCCTGTGCTTAAAATTCTCTGGGGGCTTTTACTTTCCTTTAGATAAAGGCAAACATCCTTTCCAAGGTCTGTAAGACCCTACTGACTCCTGTGGCCCCATCTCTTACCACTCTCAATTGCACCCTTTGGGACCAATTTTCTTCTTCATTTAATTTTTTTATAACCAAACACATTTTTTTTTAAACCTTCAGGTCTTTGAACAAGATGTCCCTTCTACCAGGATCACATTCTATGCTCCCTATCATCTATCTTCCAATGCCTTTGCTTGGTTGACTCCCCATGTGTAGATTGCAGAAGTCCCTTCGCCAGGGCAATAGAGGACCCAGGCCCTTGCAGATCTGTGTTGGGCTGCATTAGGTTGCGTTAGGCTGACTGCATGGAGGACCTACCTGCGTCCAAGTGCCCACATTACTGTGTGTAATAATGTGTTTATTGTGAGACTCCCTACAGGGACAGGGATCATGACTGTCTGACTCATTTCTATGCTCCCAGTGCCCAGCACTGTGCCTGCCATATAGTTGATGCTTAATATATGTTTGTTGAATTGCATTAACGAGGTGCTATGATGGACAGAGTACAGTGGAGTGCAAAATGCAAAGTGATTGTTTCCCCAGAGCAAGGGTGAGGAGGGCTGTAAGGAAGGACTTCAGAGAGGTGGAGGTTTGGAGTGGTGTCTTGAGAGAAATGGGCATGGGGATGACTGGGTGCAAATCATAAGGGCACCTCTAGAACATCAATTCCTCAGCAGAGTGAGGGGAGTCAGGTGGAGGCATGAGGCGACAAAATCAGCACTAATGATTCAGGGACAGGCTGGGATGGGGGGCAGGAGTGGGGAGGAACCATGTGAGGGTTATCCTAGACCTAGGAACCAGGGATGGCATGCCAAGGTGAGCTGCTGTGCCTCCCTCGCTTCTCCCCATAGCTTGATTTTGGGATGCCTGCTGCCCTCACCTGGGCCACCCCTTGAGAGATGCTCTAGGGTTGTCTACATCAAAGGGAGCCTAAATTCAGTTCTTTGAGCTGGTTTCCAGGAGAGTACTGGCTTCCCTTGAGGCAGCTTGCTTCCCTCTGATGAGGAAAGAAGTATAGCCCAGGATGCCACAGCCTGTCGCATTTCTGTGGCCGTGATGTTGCAGTTTACAAAGTGACTTCAAATGGCAGACTGATGAGATCCCTATAGCTAGGTAGACCTGGGAGGATCTGGCACACTTCCTTTTGGTCTGGGCTGACCCCTTTTCCTGGGATGCTGTTCTGGCTGCTATTGCTGTGTCCTACCCAAATACTTACTGGTGTAAAACAACAACCATTTTATTCTGCACACAGATTTTGTGGGTTAGGCATTAGGAACGGGCATAGCAAGGATGGCTTTTCTCTACTCTGTGCTCTCTGGGGCCTCAGCTGGGATAACTAGAATGGCAGGGGCTGGGGAATCTATTAGTACTCCCAAGATGGCTTCTGCACTCTGCGGTCCAGTTCCTGGGCTGGGATGGCTGATGGCTGGGCTCTCATGGAACTGTCATTGAGAGCACCTACATATGACCTGTAGTATTGCAGTCTTAATTTCTTACTTTGGCACCCTTATATTGTGATTTTAATTAATTCCTTCCCTTCCACTAACTCATTATATGGCCCTAGTCAAGTTATTTAATCTCTTTTGGGGCTTCAGTTCCTCATCTATGAAATGGGGATTATGATAGTGGCTATCTCATACCACCTTGGTGAGCATTAAGTGAGAATTTGTATGTGAAGTGCACAGAAGGAACTCTCAGTGCATGTTAACGTTATCGCTGCTTCCTCGTATTTAACATGTGGAAGTAGATGACTCCAGGTGTCTTTAATCTCTAGGATTTCCTTTTTTATAGAGGCAATGATGGTCCAGACACACCAGGAGATTTTTATCAGACCACACGACTCGTAAGTCTCAAAACCAGGATTGGAACCTGAATATCTCCCCATGGAGTTTGTTATTCTTTCCATTGTACCACATTGCCCCTTCGGTGGCCATTTGCTTTGAATCAGCTCAATAAAAATGTTGGCTGTGTATTAGTCAGCTTGGGCTGCCATAACAGAATACCATAGGCTGGGTAGTTTAAACAACAAAAATTTATTTTCTCACAGTCCTAGAGTCTGGAAGTCTGAGATTGGAGTCATTGGGTTCTGGTGAGGGCTCTCTTCCTGGCTTGCAGACTTCTTGCCATGTGCTCACCTGGCCTTTTCTTGGTGTGCACACTCAGAGAGAGACAGAACCAGCTCTCTGGTATCTCTTCTTATATGGACAATAATCCTGTCAGGTCAGGGCTCTATTCTTATGACCTCATTTAACCTTAATTACCTTCCAAAGGCCCTATCTCCAATATAGCCACTTTGGGGGTTAGGGATTCGACATACGAATTCTGGGGGGAAAGGGGTACACAATTTAGTCCATAGAGGGTTGGTTGCTGGGATGCACCATAACTAGAGTGGAGCACGATCTCTACTGATCTGTTTACTTGTTTCACCAGTTTATTGTCCATCCAGTCATTTAGTTATTACCCTCGTGGCCACTTGTCTTCTGGAGGTGCCAACATCAACAGCAAAATATACCTAAGATATTGTACTACAGCAAAGCTGGCAGTATTTAAAAGTGATTATATCCTTGAATCTGAAGTTTGTTTGGGTTCAATCTCAGTTCTGTGACGGGCTTTATGTCCTTGGATGGCTCACTTAACCTCCTTATGCCTCTGTGTCTTCATCTATAAAATGGGTGTAATAATAGCCTCTGCTTCACAGGGTTTCTGTAGGATTAAATGCGATAATATGGCAAAAATTTTAGCTTAGTATCATTATCATCCCACCCCATCTCCAACCCCATCATCATTACCATTATCATCATCATCATTTCTCTCAACTACATTAAAAAAAGAATGGAAGCTAGTATTTACTGAGAACATATTGTATGCTGGGCACTTTCATAAATGTTACCTCATTTGATTCTTTCTAGGTAGACATTTGCAGTCTCTCTCTCTCTTTCTCTCTCCTTATATTACTATATAAAGTAACTAAAACTAAGAGAGTAGAATTGTCCAAAACCATGAATACACAGCTAGTTAGCAGCTAAGACATACTATGAATCTCAGTCTATCTTACTCCAAAGCCTGGTTGATGGAGGAGAAAATGAGAAAATGAAGAAGTATTGAGGAGGATGTTATAAGGAGAGAACATGCCTACAAACAAATTTTATTTTTGTCAATTTTTTCTAATATAGTTTATTATCATTTTCTGAAGGAAATTTCAGTTTTCTCTTCAGTTTTGCTTTTTTTTGTTCAAGTTTTATATGCACTTAAAGGGTCAGAAGTTCCACAGGATTTGTTACAAACCCCTCCAGCAATTTCTCCCACATTTCACCTTCCCTAGAGGCAACCACCTTCCCCACCTTTGGCAGATTTTGATATTTACCTCTGTGTTTCAACAAAACATGTTTGCAATAGTACTTATTGTTTCTTCAAGTCTAGGTATTACATCTTGATTTCCCACCATGGAAGATGAGGATTTAGCTTTCTTTCCTTTACCTGTCCTACCACACTTCTACATCCTTCTCACTTACCCCATCCTCCCAGTATAGTTGTATCATAATTTTATATTGTAATTTGCTAAGACCAATTCTTAACACTTATATTGTTATTGCTGTGTAAACACTCTTCACAGCTGAGCAAGGTAGTAAACTATTATTACTTTTCTTTTCCCATGCAACTTTTAATTTCCTTGAAGCTAGTATTTGTCTGTTTGGTTTTTGAAGCTTGCTTTGCTATTGTTAATCATTAGTTTAACCCCAAACTTCTTGCTTGTTGCCTAATTCACCTATCCAGGCACTCAAACACATCAGATATTCTGTCAATCTCTTCTTCTGAATAAGTCCCTCCCAGTGGCTGTGGCTTGCTCCAATCTGGCCTGGTTGCCTTCTAAGCCTAACGCACAGCTGTTGACCTGGGGCCTCCTTCCCCTATCCCACCGGAAATTCTCTGTCCTTCACTCCTGAGTTATATTTCTTATTTTCTGAATCTCATCTTCCTCTTTCTTGTTTTACAAACTCATTTTGGTGGAGCACCTTCTGTAATTGTGTCTTAAGAGGAGGTACCTGAGAGGTAAAATATTTAAAGACTTCTCATGTCTGAAATATCCCTATCTTATTCTCACACTTGATGAATATTTGGCTTGCAGTAGATTCTTTTTTTGTTTAGAATTCATTTTTCTTCATAATTTCAAAGCCATTATTTGGTAACCAGCTTCCAAAATAGCCCCCAATACTTCTCTTCTCTGATATTCATGCCCTATAGAGTCCCCTCCTGCATTTAATAGGCATGACCTGGGTTATCAATGGAATAGTGTAGAAATAATGGCCACAAAAGACATTGTGGCTTCTGACACTATGGCTTGTTTTCCTAGGATTACTGTTTCTCAGAGAAGCCTGCTGCCATGTCATGAGGACACTTGGCAGCCTTTTGGAGAGGTTCACATGGTGAGAAACTGAGGTATCCAGCCACAGCCAATATCAACTTGCTGGCCGTGTGAGTGAGGCAACTTGGAAATGGATTCATCAGGCCCAGTCAAGCCTTCGATGGCTGCAACTCTGGCTGACATTTCAATTATAACCTTAAGGAAGACTCTGAGCCAGAACCAAAGAAACTGTATGAGATACATTCTTAAAAAAATTACTTTAAGCTGCTAAGTTTCAGGTTAATTTGTTATGTGGCAATAGATAACCAATACCTACTGTGCCATTGTCTTCTAGTTGAGAAGTCTGAAGCATTTCTGATTTTCGACTCTTTATTCGATCTCTTTTGTTTTGTATTTTTCTCTAGAAGCTTGCAGGATCTTCCCTTTGTATCCAGGGTTTGCACATTTTCCTAACATTTCATTATAATATGCCTAGTGTCAGAACATGTTCATCCTCTCTATCAAACCTTTTCATTGGAAATTTATATTCTTCAGTTCTGGGAAGTTGTCTTGAGTAATTTTGGTGACTTTCTCCTTCCATTGTCTCTGCTCTCTCTTCTAGAACTCCCATCATTTGGATGCTGGTCATCTTTGACTGATTCTCTAATTTTCTCATCATTCCTTTTCTATTTCCACATCTTTGTCTTTTTTCTCTGTCTTCTGGAGAGTATATTTATATTTGGATCCTTCTTTTGAGTTTTTATTTAAACTCTGCTGCATTCAGAATTTCTAAGGCATCTTTTTATGTGTGCTGAATGTTCTTTTTTATATTATTTTACATTTATTTCATGAAATCTCTTTTGTTATCTCTCTGAAGATATGTGCGTTTGCATATACATATGTAACAGCTTTATTGAGATATACTTCATACAACATGGAATTTACCCATGTAAGTATGCAGTTCAATGGTTTTTAGTATAATCACAGAGTTGTATAATCATCACCACAATCAATTTGGAATATTTTTGTCACCCCAAAAAGGAATTTTGTACCCTTTAGCTGTCACTCCTCAATTTCCTCCTCTCCACCCTGCCTAGGCAACCACCAATCTTCTTCCTATCTTTGTCTGTTCTAGACATTTCATATGCATGGAATGACATTTCTTCATTTCTTAAATAGCATAGTTCTGTTTTTCCTAGTTGCTCCCTGCCCTGCAGTCATTTCCTTTGATCTTCCGGGTCAGGGGCCTTCCTCAGATGTCTGTTAATCCTTGGAAGTTTGTTCTGATTGAAAAAGGAAGGATAAACCAGCTGACTGTCATGGGTGGGGCTTGCTGACTCTGAGCTTCCCCACAGGGTGACCAATGCCTGTGGAGCATTGTCTGAGGTCATAATTTTAAAATCTCTTTAGGTTGGTTGGATTCTTAGATAAGATTATTTTAGTCTCCTGCTTGTAGGTAAAATTTTGGCTGTCAATGCTTTGAGAATTGACTGAGAGAAAATCACGGGGAGATGTCAACATTTAATGCGTGAATGTTCACTTGATTCCATGTTCCATAAGGAACCCTGCTCTCAACAGTGCCTGGTCCTTTGCCTTAAACTCCCTGGAGAAAAATTCTCCACCCATCTGCTGAGAGGAGGGAGGGGCAATTGCTTCCCTGTGAAAGAGTTGGGGAGAACATCTAGTGATCTGACTGCTTTTAAACACATTTTACACCAATTTTGTTTATATTTATGCATCAAACATTTATATAACCACTACTGTGTGCCAGGTACTTTTCTAAACTGTTGATAGATTCTCCTTCTTTGAGAATGTCTCCCACTCCCTATTTGTAGTGCTCCCGGATGCCTCTAATTCCTAAGCCTTTCAGAAATTCCAGTGAATCAAGTTGTTTCTCAGCTCTCCCACTGCTGGGTTAGGATCCGGTTATTTCATATGTGTCAGTTTGGGCCCTTCAAGAAGTAGACACCAACGTGGAATTAAATGCACAAAAGCTTTATTGGGAAAAACACTTGTGAAGGAAAAATGGGGAGAAAGCTGGAGGAGGCTGGGAGAGCTGTCAGACTATGATGCATGTCTAACATTTTGGAGGAGAGAGGGAAGGGAGGAAGATTGGGTAGAAAAAACTATTAGAATGCTGCGCTGTTCCAAGAAAGTTTCAGCAAAGCTGATGAGGCAGTCTCCAGCTAAAATCATCTGTCAAAGGATTCTCATGTCTCCCGACAACGGACCTGCCTTACTATCTCAGCTGTGCTCAGCCAGAGGCTGGGAGTGAATGCGGTGGTGGAGTCAGAGCATAGCACCTGGGGCAGTTGATCAATTACACTGAAGTTGGAGATCTGAAAGGCACGTTCTTGTGGTTTCTGCATAGCCATGTCAGGTGTGCTAATTCCTCCCCAAACTTCCAGTGAAACAACAGCAAAGGGATTTTTTTAAAGGGCATAAGCCACAAAGACGAGGAGAATAGGAAAGGCAATAGCGACAAAATTTTGGAAGCTGGATATATATTTTCAGTCCATCATGCTTACCCAGACTTCCTTTGAGATATTTATTTTTAGTCCTTCTTGTTCTTCAATGGATGCTTTCAAGAATACAAATTTTCCTCTGAGTACTGCTTTGGCTTCACCATCACAATAAGCATGGCAAATATGTAATCCTTTCATTTCATGGCATGTACAGCTACTTAGTGACAGTGGTATGGAATAGCCTACATAACCTGAAGCTTTTATGTCTGGTTATGGTGTTGTATAAATTAATGACAAGGGCTATAGTACATCTGCTCAGAATGGGTGACCAGAACAAATGGTCGTTTCCTTTCAGTTCAACAAATATTCACTGGGCCTTACCAAGTGCCTGTCTCATGTTAGGAGCTGGAAACATAGAATGAACCAGGGAGATGTACCTTGACTTTAATCACATAATACACTAAGTGCTATGATGGAGGTAGTACAAGGTACTGTAGCAGAATACACGGTGGGCCCCTGGGGTTCATGGAAGACTTAGAGGAGATAGTGGAGTCCTAGTGGACAACTAGGAATAGGCCAGGAGATGTGGGGTAAAGTGTTTCAAATAGAGGAAACAGTGAATGAAGAGGCAAGATGTGAAATGGCAGATTGTATTCTGGAAGCTCTGAGTTGTTCAGTATTATTGGCACATAGAGTCAAGTAATAGAGGGGTGAGACATGTGGCAGGCCTGACGGTAAGGCCCACAGATGATTTAAGGAGCTGGGACTTGTTCTGAAGGCAACAACTTAGACATCCATTTCTGGTAGTTTGGGTAGTTCCCCAAGGCTGCCATTAGTCCTCTTCCCAGTACCCCAGGTCCTTCTTGAGATTTTGCAGGTGCTGGGGGTGCAGGGCTTGGGTGACCATGGACACCTTCCTACGAGGGTACTCTGTTAACATTTCACCCTGCTAGATGAAGCTTGTGCCATCTTGTCCTGATTCCCCTTCCCAATTGTATAGCCCAGCAATACCATCCTCTGACTGGCATCACTTCTTTCTGAAGTCCCACATCTATGGCTGCTTAATTGTGCTCCACACTCTACTTTGCAGGAAGCAGGAAGCTGGGGACCCCCTGCAGACCCCAGACTCTGCCGTCTGGCTTTGAAGGCAAAACATTTGCTCAGATTTTCCCAACTACCCCAGGAATCACCTGCTTAGGAGAAGGGTGTTGGGGAGGGAGGTGTGATGAGAGTCAGATGGATCTGGTGCTAATGCTGGTTGAGATGCTTACCTGCTGGGTGACCTTAGGCAAATGCTCTCTTTAACAAGCAAGCATGGGACGATGCCCTCTCTGTGCACAGCCATATGCTGGGCTCTGAAGGGACAAGACACTGTAGGGGAGAAAGACAGAAAAGAGGAGGACTTAGGATCTGTGTAAACCCAGGGAGACTTAAGCCCTCGTGACACATTATTAATAAGTATACGTTATTATGGCTCTTCAGTGGAAGAAGTTGGGGCTTAAAGAGATTACATGGCTTGCCCAAAGTCTCTGTAGCCGTAATCCCCTGTACTGTAACCACTGTTCCCAAGGTCTGCCCAATAATGTGATAGCAGCAACAGCACACAGACCCACTCCCTCTGGTCATTGCCAGCTTCCTCCTGCCTGTAGAAGGACCAGAAGTACTGGTGAGCCTGTGGAGATGAAGAATGCCCCAGGCCTTCAGATGGACCCACCTAGAGAGTGCAAGGAGGCTGGCTTGGTAGCCTGAGATCATTCCAACCCCTTTTCTTTCTTCACCTGCAGGACAGGAACTCCCATGTAGGTTGGGTGGTACCCACAGTCAAGGTCTTTGGGAGGGCCACTGGAGCCTCTCTTCTCAGCAAATCTGAACAGTGGGGCTGGGCATGTGTGCTAGGCTGTCAGGAAGAGTTATATCCAGGCCGCCCCTCGGCCTGCCTGCTTTCTCCTCCACAGTCCCCTCCTAATTCATTTTCCGCCTTTAATGTACTGTTGTGGAGCTTCCTCTCCCATTAGGGCCTGTAATGTGCACCGATTCCCTTCAGCTTGACTGCCTTTAATAGGCAGCGTAAATAGAATTTAGTGTGGCATGCACTAACATCTCTATCCATTGTCCAGAGATTAAATACTTGCCACCGATGGTTCATGCATCATCAGCCTCGAGCCCAGCTTCATAGCTCCCAACCAAAGGAGGATATTAAATTAATTTGCAGGTTGCTTTAGCAAAACCTAACAAAAAAACCTCCACAGGAGGAGAGGGGAGGGGGCAGGATGCATCTGCTCACCATCAATCATGGGGTGGGAGTGGGAGTTGTTAGGAACCAGGAATGGGGCTCTTGTCCATCTCAGGCTGGGTCCTTCTTGGGGGCCACACTGCTTGGCCATCTACTTCCATCTTAGTCCCCAGGCTCTGGCCCATGGGCAGCTCTTCTCTCAGCTTTGGAATCAGCTTTCTGTTCTGACAAGTAGAGTGAGTGATGGAGAAGAGGGTGTGGGGACTGTGGAGCTTGAGTCCAGACCACAGGGGTGACTTCTTCCTTTTTAGGGGTGTAGCCAAAGGACAACAGGTAAAATGCCCCTGTGGTCCCAGTTAGGGAGACCTCTGAAACCTCCCTTTGAACCATTAGGGTCCCTTTGGTGTCCCTTCTTGTTGGGTCCCCAGCTGGGTGGGTGTGGGAGACAGGGGGTGAGGGTCGGTGTAGGCCTTGCCTCTGGGATCCAGTGGGGGAATTTACTGCCCTTTTTGTGTCAGATGGTGTGGTCTGTGTCGTTCACCACAGTCATGTGGGGAAGATCTGCAAATGGACAATGAGGATCCAGGTACAAGGGGCTTTGGAAGCCCAGATAGCAGCTTGTGCCGACTTAGGGGATCACAGTGGTCATGGGGGAGCAGGTCATCTCTTGAGTTGGACCTTCAAGGATAAGCAGGAGTTAGCTGTCGGGGTGGAGGGGACAGGGTTGTTCCAAGTGAAGGGCTTGGAGGTGTCTCCACGCACACCACTGTCAGAGAACACAGGGAGTGCAGTGACTGGAAGGCGTGGTGAACATGGGGAGAGACTAGAGGTGAGGCTGGGAGGGGAACTTTATGTGGAGACACTGGAGAACCATGGGAGGTCTTCAGCAGGAGCAGGAGAGGCTCAGGGCCAGGGCTGTGCTCTGTGGAGACCATTCTGAGACAAGGAAACATGGAGAGCCCTTGCCTGAGTCAGGGAAGACGGGGCTCAGACTGTGATACCAGTGGAGACCAGAGAACGTTAGTACCAATCCTGGCCTGAAAGTCTCTGAGACAAAGGATAAAAAGATCCCATCCCTTATCTTAGTTCTGGCATAGCTGGGAACAATAAAACTGAGTCTTTGTGCTCAGATGTGCTTTGAGAAGAAATGTTGAATCCAGGTCCCTGTCCCGTGGGCCCTATCTGCCCAGAAGCAAGGCTCTGGACGAAAGGAGGCAGGTAGGAAGAGTTTGGCTCACTTGAGCATAGTTGGAATCTGTCCTCTCCTTTCCATTGAGTGGGTGGTTTGGGGGCTGGCCTTTGGACAGCAAATGGACCAAAGGGAGTCCATTTGTCCATTTGCTGGGAGTTCCTCTCCTACCAGGTTTAGGCAGGCATGGTGGATACAGGACAAGCATGCCACCACCTTCTAAGTCATTGCCCTGGCAGACATCACTAATCAATCAAGCCACATTTCCCCATGAGGGGCAAAATCCCTAGGATCCTTTTCAGCACAGACTGTGTAGGACCACAAAGGATGACCTGAGCCTGATAAAACTGATAGAATCAGCCAATTATTTAACTTCCAACCAGGGTCTTGTGTCTTTGCAGACCTGAGCAGGCATGGTGCTCAGATCTTAGCAGATTTTTCCAGTCTGTGGTTCTGCCTTTCCCTACATCGTGGGAATGTAGTGGGTCTCATGGCAGAGGCTTTTGAGGCAAAGTGGGTGAGGAGAGACCTCAGCAGTGCGTAAGACTCCATTGTGGGCTGCCAATTCCTCCCTGATGAACTCCTCCACCAGTGACCTCCACTTGCGGTGGTTTATTAATAGCTTTTAACATGATCATTTGGACTAATTGAAAATGGGAGCAGCGCTAATATGCCCCTTACATTTCATTTCTTTTTTATTTAAAAAAGATGCTAAAAGCATTTATCGAGTAGTTTCTGGGGAAACCTAATAAAAAGGTCTCCCCTCTTGCCATTGCAATGGTGTGGTCTCCTGCCAGCACCCCATGCAGGGGGTTCTCATGGTTCATTAGTGTGATTTAAGGTGTCCAAGCAGCCCTGTTATAAAGCCATCACTGGGAGCTGCTCCAAGACATCTCTCACTCATGGCAAGCTCCACTTGGTACTGAAGGTGGAGAATGGATAGGACAGGATGAGAGTTTTTGGCTGGCATCCTTTCACCATACCCAGTCTGTGGACTGTAGTGTGGGCACTGCTATGGGAATAAATTGATTATTTCCCACCTCCCACCCCACTGTTCTTCTGTCTTATTGGCTGGGATTAAAAATCATGGAGGAGCAAGGTCTAATTAGCCTCATTTAGGATTACTGCCCATCTGTCAGTCAAAGAGGACAGATGTGCTGCTCATTCTTCATTTTTCCTCCCCTTCTTCCTAGTTTGTTTCTCTGCCATTCTCTGTACCCCAAAAGACTCACCCTTGGACTTGCCCTGTGGCTTCCCATTGAGTTTGGCCAATGGGAGGTATTGGCAGGAGATCAGAGGGTGGAAGAGGAGAGAGGATGGGATCTCTATTCCCTACTCCCTTCCTGCTTGGTGTTACACTAGTTCTAGAGTCATTGACCCCATCTGACTCTGTGTCCCGCTGGACAGGCTCTCTCCATAGTCGCATTTCTCCCTTCAGACCTAAGGTTGGTGCTATGGTTTGGCTGTGTCCCATTCAAATCTCATCTTGAATTGAAGCTCCTGTAATTTCTATGTATCATGGGAAGTACCTGGTGGGAGGTAATTGAATCATGGGGGTGGGTTTTTCCCTTGCTGTTCTCTTGATAGTGAATAAGTCTCACAAGATCTGATGGTTTTATAAAAGGGTGGTTTCCCTGTACATGCTCTCTTTCCTGCCACCATGTAAGATGTGCCTTTGCTCCTCTTTTGCCTTCTGCCATGATTGTCTTGGGCATTTCTTCATAGCAGTATGAAAATGGACTAATACAGGTGGTAACTTCTTGCCACTAGGGCTAGTTTTGGGCCAGTGTTTGTTTCCTTAACACTGTCTGCACCTCTGCAAGTAGTCCCTTCATTAAAGACTTCTTGGCCTTTGATTTCACTTCTTACACACTTCCCTGAAAGGCAATCCTTTGATGTCATTATTCAAAGAAAGGAGAATGGATGCTGGATGGCCCCCAAAGGTTCAACTGTCCTTTAGATTCTCGCCTTACTCTTGGCCACAGGCTGAGCCACAGATATCTGGCCTCTCCTTTCCATTGAGTGGGTGGTTTGGGGGCTGGTCTTTGGCACACTCTGCTTCTGGCCAATGAGTAAAGGCTCTGCTTATCTGAGTCCCCATTCCACTCTTGGTTCTCTGGCCCTATCCCTAGCATGGGATCTTGTGCCTGTGGTCCCAGCCAGAGGTGACCCTAGGTCCCTATCAGCTCCTCCAAAACCACTTCACAAAACCTTCACCTCCATATATGGCTCCTTCTTAGAACTTTTCTGAGAAGGACTGATCTAGTCTGTACTCCATTGAGCTTACCATACTAGATGCCAGAAGCTGTTTCCAAAGGCACATCACCTCTCAAAGGATCAATGTTTGCCCTTGACAAGGCCTCCTGTAAAACTCCGAAGGCCACTGGCAGCACTGTCAGAATAAATTCAGGGCTTTGCAAGGGGATCCCTTTGAGGCCAACTGGCCTATGGATGAGCTTGTGGCTATTAACCAAGTAGCCACAGCTCAGGCTATGCCTGAAAGTGTGTGTGCTCTTGATAAGAGCTCTTGAAGGGAGGGGAGAGGTTACCGAAGGAAAGCTCTCTGGACTCATTCAGATCTTCCAGGGGAAGAAAGTCCCTAGGACCCACATCCAGATCTCACCTTGTCCTGGTTGGGGGAGGCAGCTGATGACAAGCTGAGGACCTTCTAGAAGCAGCCAGATGCTGGGTCAAGCCAAGCACCTGCTCTGTGCTGTACCAGACTCTGGAGGTAAATATGGACTTGGACTTGGATACTGGCTATTTCTAACCTGGCAGTGACTTTGAGGCCTTCTTGGGTCCTCAGTATCTTCATCTATAATAGATGTAATAGAACAAATGTTCTCTATGAGTCCTGAGATTCTGTAACCTAAGTTTCTCAATCTTGGCACTGTTGGCGTTTCAGGTGGGATAATTCCTTGTGGAGGACTGTCCTGTACATGGTAGGATGTTTAGCAGCATCCTTGGCCTCTATCCATTAGATGCCAGTAGCATCTTCTCTCCCCAGTTTTGATAATAAAAAATGTCTCTAGACCTTGCCAAATGTCTTCCAGGGAGCAAAACTGCCCTAGTTGAGAACTACTGATTTAAAATAATGGTTAAGAATCACCATGTGGCTGGCCAGGCCTTTCACAAGACTCTCTTAGACTCCAGCTTGGTCATAGGCATTATGATCCTCATTCTGAGGCTGGGGGCATGGGCCTGCACTATCCTAGCTCCATAAGGTAGTGGCATCTTATCTTCCAAGCCTTTCCTGCTCCAGGGATTGGGCTCTCATTTATTCAATGATCCGATAAGGTCTGAACCTGACAGCTGGAAGCCCAGCCCTTTGGAGTGAGACAGGGACCCAAGGAGTCTAGGGACAAAGCCTGTGTGAAGAGGGTTCCAAGGGAGTGTGGGGAGAAGAAACTGGGCTTTAGGTGACCAGGAGTGGTCACCTCTTGGTGTGCTCTTGGGTGAGTTACTGAACTCTTTGTGTCTGAGTTTCTCATCTTCTCAATGGGGGTGATAATGGTAACCTCTCTCATAGGATTCTTAGATCAGTCAGGATTTTGGCAGGAAACAAATGGCACATCCAAAAGGATTTCTCTAAAAAGAACATTATAAAGGGACAATTTTCAAATTAAGGCAAATTAAGGAAACAGAAAGGGATGGTGAGGCATACCTCGGTTAGCAAGAGCAGAAAACGATGACCCCCTCCTCCTGCCAGACTGAAGGGGCAAGGGAAGGAAAGGTTGTTTCAGGAGGCCTATGAGAGTGGAGTCTTGGAACCCCTCCTCCATGCCCCATTCAGATATGCAGCCACAGAGAAATGCAGTCATGGCTAGAGTCACAACTGGTGGGCTCCCAGAACCCAAACTACAGCTGGGGGTGAGGGAGTGGGGGGTGATGCAGCAGGTAGAGGTCAGCTTCCCTTGCACAGAACATGGAACACGGCAGAGAAGGTCAGAAACTAGAGCTGGGTGCAGGATGGGAGTGGGGCAAGAGGAGAGCCACCAGCAGTTGTTAGGAAAACGAATGAGTGGATATTTGTCAAATCCTTAAAACAGTGCTCAGCATGTAATAAGTGCTTGCCAAATGAAATCCTGTGCTAGACTCTGCGGGGTACAAGACATAGTAAATAAACTTCAGCAGCCCCTCCTGGGCCCAGGACAGGGCTCCCCTATGGAGAGGTCCCAGGCTCTTCAGTTTGTGTCTGTGGAGGACTAGTTTGGGCTGACTGTGGTGTGGCCCCCCTTGGGAGACTTTTGCCTAAGCAGCCCCTGCCCACCACCTCACAGACACATCCAGGGGAAGCCCACCCTGAGCCTCCCTACCCTGGCCTGACATCACCGTCTGGCTTCAGCCACGGCATTCGCTTGACTCCCCTGGCTTCACGTCTCATGCCCTTTGGCTATGACTAATCTGGAACCAGAGGCTGGGAGGCCTGGAAAGCCCTGCCTGGGGGGAAGTAGGGGGCAGCTTTTGTCTTCCCCTGAGACCCCTCAGCACTGAAGTTTTCATAGTTCATGGAACGGATCATCCTTTGCTTTTGTGGGTCCCTTCTGTGTAGGCCTGCAGATATATAGGATGGTGAGCCCCAAAGGGGCTCTGTGGGGCCTGTGCTCCTAGCTGCCTTTAGGGATGCTCCATTAAGGGACTCAAGGCCAGAAGAGTTTGCCATAGAGGTGGGGAGAGGCAGAGGGGGACAAGGAGGCAACATTTCATGAACTTCCACGCTTCCTCTGTCATGGCTCTGATTGCCACGCTGGCCTGCAGGTGGAAGCTGGGCTCCTCCCAGTCCCAGGAACCAACAATCTGAAGGGATCTGGGGGTGCAGCGAGCTGGGCCAGAGTCCTTTTCCACTTGGCTCTGATGGAGGGTTTGTGGGGTAGGGAGTGGGCCTGGGCTGAGCTCCTAGGGCTGGCACAAGGAGGGAGAGATTACTAGTCCTCTCTCCAGCCCATCCATGGCTGGTTGCCCATGTCCAGGGGGTTCAAGGGAGCCCTGTGTACTCTCCCAGCTCCAGCGTGTACAGACATTCCACTTAGGTTTGCTAGAGAAAATATATAATGCCCAATTAATTTGGATTTCAGATGAATCATTGTTTAGCATAAGTATGTCTCAAAGATTGCATGGAACATACACTAAACAGTAATTTGCTATTTATCTGAAATACAAATTTAACTGGACACCCTGTATTTTTTTTTCCTTTTTTTCTTTATCCGGCAACCCTGTCCAGTGCCATCTCCAGCCTCCACCTCCTCCCTCCACGGGCCCCCAGAAGTAGGGGTTTTACTGCATCTTGTTGTTCCTTCGTGGTTCCCCTGTAAGTGAAATCCAGGATCCAAGCTTGAAGAGCTCTGAGATGGGGCTGTTTCAGACCCATGAAGCCCCCAGGGGATGAGGGGCTGAGCCATGGCTCCTATTGGCCTTTGTTAGGGTTAGGGTGGTGAGGTTCATGAGTGGGGGCTGGACAATGACTGTGATAGCACAGCTGGCCCTCCACACTGCAGCTGGCCTCAGGGACCCATGATTTGAATTGGGCATGTGCAAACCCTGTGCTCAGCACGTGACTTGCTTTGTTCCATTTCATCCTCCCACACTGCAGCCCCATGAGGCTGGGGTCCATAGTATCATTTTGTAAATGAGGACACCAAGGCACAGAGAGGTTAAGGGCTGGGCCAAGTCACACAGCTAATCTATGCTAGAGTTAGGGTTTGACCCCAGGGCAGAGCTCTCAGCTGCTGTCCCACACGCTTCCTCTCCTGGGTCCTGGCCTTTCCTAAGGGTGTCAATCAGGCCTGGGTCGCTGGGTGGAGGGGGCTACAGCTCGAGAATGCTGCTGGCTTGGGAATGTTTTCCACACAACACCCCCACCCTGCCGCCCCCATCCCCGCCCCGTGCAGCTGTGTAATGAGCCCACATCTGTTACCACCACATGTTGCTCAGCGCTACGCAGATGTAAAGTCTCAATTTTTCTAATTAGCAGCAACACGAAGTCTATCTTAATTTTCTCCTCCCCTCCCTCTAATAAATGTGATATTAACAAGGTTACACGTCTGCATTTTTGCTGGGTGTAATTGAATCAGGTCGCAGATTTGATTAGTGGGTGTGGGGTGCCTGGGTCTGGTCAGGCTGAAGGGCTGGGGGAAGGAAGAGGCTGCATCCCAGCCCTGGACCAGCCTTGGGATGGACAGAAAGAAAGAGAAAGAGGAAAGCGGGAGGAGAGAAAAGGGAGGGAGACAGGGAAAGAGACAAATAGAGAATGTGAGGGAGAAAAAGAAAGACAGAAAGGCAAAGATGGGTAACAGAGAGACCAAGAATGAGAGAGAGAGAGAGAGAGAGAGGAAAGGGAAAGAGAGAAAGAAAAAAGAGAGTGAGAAAGAGAGAGACAGAAAGTAGGAGAGAGACGAAGACACAGTAAGATGGGAGAAGCAGAGACAGAGTGGAGAGAGAGAAAGTCAACCCCCACCCCACCCTCTCTGCCATAAACACACAGAGCAAGTAAATGAGCAAGGGACAAAGAGAGAGGTAAAGACAGAGAAGAAGAGTGGTAAAGGGACAGACAGAGTGGGAGTGGGCAACACCTTACCCTGCTCAGACCTTCCTGCAGAGGTACCTGCGCAGGGCCTCCATCTGAGGGCTCAGGGAGGGCCTGGATTGAGGTGGGGCTGGCAGTCACAGACCCTCTCAGCCTGCATTGTACTGCTAAGCCTGGGGGCTGCAGGCCTGAGTTCTGGTCCTGGGTCTGAGTGACTGAGGCTCAGCCCGTTCCTCTCTCTGGATCTCAGTTTCTCCATCCGTAAAACGTGGTCAGTAAGTCTTGCTCCTTGGTTGGGGGAACCCCAGCCCACCTTCCCCTTGGATTGGGAAATCTTGGAGGGAAAAATGGCGAAGCCCCTGCCACTTACAAAAGCCTCATGATTCATGAGCCTGCTGAGATGGTCTCTGGCCTCTTGCCAAAGGGCGCCCTGGACAGAGCCAGGTGAGGAGGTTGTAAACCAGTGTCTGGAATGGGACCCCCTTTCCCCCAGTGGGGTCCCAGGCCCCACAAGCCCATTTCAGCCACAGTGTCCCACAGGGGCACTCCCACATTCTCACTGGCTCCCCACTGGGTAAGCCCAGGCTCTGAGTCATCCAGTCTCTGCTCCCTGCCACCATCCCTCTCCCATCCCAGTGCCCTCGGGTGCCTGGTGCTCTTCCACGCCTCCGCACCTTTGCTCCTGCAGTTCCCTATGCTTGGACTACCCTTCCCCACTTTCTCTGTCTTTTCCTCTGACAAGTCGTAACTCAAATGTCATTTTTACTGGGGACCTTCCCTGATGGACTGAGGGACTGTCTCTTCCTCTGTGTGATCCACACTTCTTCCCTTTTATGTATCTGAGTGCTCTGTGTGTGTGTGTGTGGAAGTGTGAGCGGGTGTGTGCATGCACAAGTGACGGTGTGTGCAGGAGGAGGCCCGTGGTGGTTGCAGCAGCCACGCCAGTGACACATTCCTGCTGTGACAATTTCTCCCGCTGATGACTCCGTCCCCAGGGCCTTGGGAGGCGCTGAGAAGCTTCTTTCAAGGGGCAGTGGCTTTTCCCCCTTGCTTAAATGAGATATGAATAATTGATTCACCTTCTGAATAATTAATCAGATATTCAATAAGTAAAGTAATTGTTTGGCACATCCCCCAAGGATGTCCTGGCTCAGCTGCTGCCCCACTCAGGAGGGGAGGCTGGTGGGGGTTCTGGGCCCATAAGGAGACCAGTGCCAGGTGGGGGAGGAGGTCACCTTGTCTGACACTTCTGGCAATCCCCTGCAGCTCACTGACCCCTGGGAGGCACTCCTAGGCTTCATATGTCGGCCAAATTTCGGGTCCTACAGTCCTTCCACCCAAGTTATCCACGGGTCTGCCTTCTTCCCTACCCCTCCCAGCTTTGCAATGGGCACCCTTCATCTGTGTGGGGCAGCACCACCTGGACACCATCCCCTCCAGGGATGCTGTGGCCTGGGTGCTGGCAGGGAGTGGGGGCTGCAGTGGGCCTCACTTCTCTGTTGCCAGCTCCCCTCACCTTCCCCACTAGAGCAGGCCTGCGTGGCGTTGCCCACTTTCTATGCTGTGGGGCAGGGCTCCTTAGAGGAATTATGAGAGGAGGGTTACATAGGTGGTTCACCAAGGGCCACTCTGTCCCACTTCCGGAGAGAAGCTCTGGAGAAGTGCCTTTGAACTGGGTCCCTTGTGGGCCTCTGTGGGCTTGCCCTCTCCTCCAGAGAGCCATCTTCTTGTAGGTTACCTGCGTGACTTTCCACCCACCTTTCAGACACCCCCACCCACTCTGTCTGTAGGCCCCATCCCCTTTCCCTGGAGTTTATTCCCCCAGACTGAGTCTGAGGGAGTAGCTCCCCTGGTGGCTTTAGTCAGCAGTGACGGCCTTGAATGCTCCAGTCCTCACTGCACAATTTGGGGGTGCTTTGGGGGCCCAGTTCTGTCCTCATCTGGGTGGGCTGTCCTAGTGGGGTACCCTTTGTTATTTTCATTATGAGTGGCAGGTACTTCTGTGTGTTAGACCAAGCACATATACACATGCCACACACACCACATGCAAACCACACAAACACGCATATTGAATGCACACAAGCACAGAGACACACGTGGACACACATGACAACCATACATAGTACACAAACACACACCCCTACCCACATAGATATGCACACCATACACACAAACATACCACAGATGTAAACAGACATATCACATACATATCACCTAAACACACCCCCATCTACACAAGCACACGTACACCAGCCACAGCTATATGACCCCCTGCCAGAGTATCTATGTTAATCTTCAGAGTCAGAACAGTAAATCTATAAAAAGGAAGAGGTTTTCCTACCTGCCTCCAAGAGCTCTTAGTAAGTCACAGGACTGTGGAGAGGGGGTTAGATCTTTTCCTTCATCTTCTTCACATGCAACCCATGGTATGTGTGCACATGTGTATGTGTTGAATGGTACACATGTGTGCACACACGTGTGTGAGTGTGCATGCATGTGTGCAATATGTGTGCCCACACGTGCATGTATGCAGGTGCACACATGTAGCTATGCGCATATGTATAAGTATGCATGCATGCGTGTAGGTGTACATACATAAGTGTGGGTGTGTGCATGTGTGCATACATGTGTAGGTGTGTGTGTGTGCACATGCATGTGTGTAGGTGTCTTAGTCCTTTTCCACTGCTTAAACAAAATACATTGAACTGGATAATTTATAAACAATAGAAACTTATTTCTCACAGTTCTGGAGGCTGGGAAGTCCAGGATCAAGATGCCAGCAGATTCGGTGTCTGGTGAGGACCCATTCCTCAAAGACAGCACCCTCTTGGTGTCTTCACAACGGAGAAGAGACAGAAGGGCCAGGCAGCTCTCTGCAGCTTCTTTCCTAAGGGCTCTGATCCCATTCATGAGGGCAGAACCCTCACAATTTCATCACTTCCCCAAAGGCCTCATCTCTGAATACCACCGCCTTGGGATTTATGTTCCAACATGTACATTTTGGAGGAACACACACATCCAAACCATAGCACTAGGTTTGTGTGCAAGTGTGAGAATGTGCATACACATGCACACACCAAGCCCCTCAGGGCTGGAACAGCCCAGCAGCTTGACTTGCCTTTCACTGGCTTCCTCTGTCCTGCTTCTCTCTGGCTTTCTGTGCTTCCTCCAGGGCAGGGTGGTAAAGGTCACTGGTATCCCCGGTGAGTCCCCCTGACTGCACTCCCACATGGACTGGGTGTGTCAGGAGACTATAGGTGGGTGACTGGCATTGGGCATGGAGTTCCAGAGCATGGAGACAGAAGGGCAGCTGGGCTGGGGAGTGAGTCAGCAATGGGAACCTGCATGAGGCACCCACGTTCCAGTCTGGGTCCAAAATGGAGTATCCAGTATGTTGTGCATTTAATTATCTGACAAATACTTTTTGAACATCTTCTGTGTGCTGGGGGAATGTTTAAGGCTCTAGGGATATAGCAGTGAACAAAACGGGAAAATCCTCATCTTGCCTTTTTTGAGACAGGGCTTCACTATGTTCCCTGAGCTTGTCTTAGATCCCTGGGCTTAAGTGGTCCTCCCACCTCAGCTTCCCACGTAGCTGGGACTGCTGCTACTACTACTGCCACTGCATCCAGTTCCTGGTCTTGTTTTAGTGAGGGAGACAGAAAATAAATGAGAGAAATCAGTAAAATATATAGAATGTTGGACAGTGATCATGCTAAGCAAGGAAGGGCATATAAGATTTTGGGGCAGGGCAATAGTTTAGACAGGGCTGGGAATCATCCAGGAGCCACACAGGAGAACAGAAATCACTCTAGGGATTTCAAACACTTTGGTTCAAAAGCGCTGAGGAATTTAAAACAGGGAATTGGTTTCACTGAGGGAAGAGTGGAGACTTCCAACAGGGAATTCGAGACCCCTGGAGATTAGCAACAGAGAAAAGTGACCCCCACTCCTAGGCCTGCAGGGATATAATTTGGGCTATAGCCATCCCCAGATGGCTTTCAAGGGTCTACTGCTACTGGTGACTTTCACCCTGGGAGCAGCTTTAGGGTGCCACTGGGTTCTGACTGAAGCCCCGTAGGTGTGCCCTGTCACACATCATTTCATCTCTTTGAACCTCAATATCTTTATTAGGAAAAAGTAGATCACAACGCCGGCCTCACAAGTGGACCATGAACATAAATGGTTCTGCATACATAGCTAGGGATTTGTCCCCCCAGCCTCAAAGAAATGTCTCCGAGCCTGCCACTATGGGCCAGTCCTGGACAAAGGATCTTTCTTAGCATCAGATTGGCTGGAAAGTCCTCAAGGCATACTTGGCTCTAATTTCAGATTCACCTGGCTCTTTCCACGGGAGATGGCAGCCGGCGAACCCAAACAGAGCCGTGGTTTTCCAAGGCACTTGGTGTTTCTGCAGCAGAGGAACAGGGCGGGTGGTCAGGCAGGCCTGGTGGATGCTGAGGTTGGGTCCTATAGAAGATGTGATTGATGTCTTCCCCTCAGATACCCGTGGTCCCCCCCATCCCCGCATCCACTTGCTGCTGTGGACAGTTCCCTTTATCTCTTGCTTAAGAGTCTCTTTTTTCCCATGCCTTGGGGCTTTCCCTGGTCCCAGAGGAACTTGCTCAGCCTCCAACAGGCCCCACTTTGAAGTGTGTGTCGGGGAATAATGCCCTGGGCATGACCATCAACCTGCCCTTAGTTGGCTTTTCTCTCTCACTTTTGCTTTCTGGGCTCACCTCCCAGTCAAGAGACCTCCTTCCAAGGCCTCGTCTTAGGGACTCCATTTGGGAGGATCTCAAGCTAACACCAGCCTTGTCTGAGATGAGGAGAGAGAGGGTCTTGAGTCGGCCCCTTCCTTGATTCCATCTCATTGTGTTACTTCTGAGAGTCCAGATGCCATGTGTTCTGCCTCTGACCCCGGGAACAATCTCAATGCCTGAGACAGCAGAGTATTTTTGTATCCAAGCTTTTCATCACCATCAGTAGAACAAAAATCCTGCGTATTTGGTTTGAAAGATTATGGTCAGTGTAGCTAAGACAAAATCTGCATTCCCTAATGTTCCCACAGGCTTTTTCTCATTCAAGTGTCAGCAGAAGCAGTTCTCAATAGTCCAAGTTCCTAGGACACTGTTAAAACCCTCCCAACTGTTTAGACAACCTATGCCTGGCAACTTGTCTTGTCCCCTCTGATTTCAACTGGAATCTACTGGAAAGATTCTCAGTGTTCACTTCTGTAGTAGGTTGCTTCTCTCCATTGTCCACCTGGCACTGCCTCTTTGTTGGGACTGTTGCATATGCCTGTGAAGTTGTCATGCTGCACAGCTCCAGAGAGTACCATTCCCATAGATTTGTTGTGAATGACATCCCTTAGACTTGTGCAGTATACAGCCTGAACAACTGTACACAGTGGCCCTGCTTTTGAAAACAGTAGGCTACCTTACTATGCTCTTTGGCTGCTGTCTCTACCTGCTTCTGGATTCTTGTTCTGCCATGACTCCTGGCATGAGGGTAGGATAGCAACCTGAATTCTGATGAATGATCTTAGTCAAAAGCCCTCCCACCAGTATTTGTTGTTAGTAAGCATAGCAGGTGAGAGGCTCAGAGGAAGAGGCTCCAGAGGCTCACTGGAGAGGTCAGGAGGAACCTCAAGAAGGCATCCCCAGTCCCTAGATGCTGAGCTCAGGGAATGCTTCCTTTAGGACTGAGCTTTCAGAGGCATCTCACCTGCTGCAGCGAAGCCTCAGACTCCTGGCTGGCTGCCTTTCTTGGGTCTGGGCTGTTTCCTGGCTCGCTGATCTCTTTGGATCCCAGAGGCTCCTGGTGCAGACTTGCTGCCTGACCTTTCTCAGATTTGCTGAGGGCCAGAAGATGAGGCCCCTGGAAAGATTTAGGGGAAACCTGGCTGTTTGAACCTTTTGGAAGCCAAGAATACAGAGAAAGGCGAGTAGCAGCATTTAAATCCGAGGGAGGAAATGCCACCCGGGACCTAAGCTCTAGGTTATTTATGCATGTTCAGAAATGGCTTCATGCATCCAGGTGCAATCCAATGATTTGTCAGTGAAGGCCTCCTCAAGCCCCGTGCCCCCGCCCTTGCCTCTGATAACATTTACAGTAAATCTATTGCACTGACCATTAAATCCGAGGCCGCCTCAAGCGATCGCTTCAGTGGGGTGCTGACAGGCTGAGAGTTAATAATGACGCAGACGCTAACCTGTTTATTGATTTGCTTTTTGTACCCTTCATCCTCGCTCACTCCTTTTCCCTCTTGGAGGAGAAATCTTGGAATTAGTAATCAGGTGACAACCTCACCCCCCTTCTGTTCCCAGCCATGTCATCCTGCTTAAACTCTTGGAGATAAATTACCGCTACCTCCCCGGCCCCTGCCAGCCATTCACTCTCCAGTTACTCAGCACAAGATGCCGCATCTGTCACTGGAGCCAGCAGACAGAAAAAAACATTAACACAGACATGAAAAGCTTTTAACTTTGACAAGAGGAGCGCAGGAAAGTTTTATATTTAGCCCCTCCAGCAGAGGCCACGGTCAATCCATTAGGGTGGCTTGTCAGACTCAGGGTGAGGTGGGAGAGGGCTGGGACCAGGGGCTGGGAGGGTGTGGGCGTCGCTGGCTCCGGCTTGAGGAGAATGGACATGCGCCCAGGACACCCACTGCCCCTCCTGTCCCTCAGCTCAGGAAAGAGGGAGGCAGGACAATTGGACAGTGAAGTCATTAGGAACTTGGGGAAGATTGGGCCTCTGTTTCTGGTGAAAATAGAGATTTTAACCTCCATTTAAAGATTTCAAGATGTGGGGTCGCATAAAGCTGACCCGTTTTGTGACCGTGGCATTGCCAACGTCCACAAAAAAAGAGGATCTTTTTATGGAAGCCTCAAAAAGTAGCAAAGAGAGGCTGGCTTCACAGGAGGCAAAACTTAAAAAAAAATTCATTTTCTCCCCAAAGCCAATCATTTCAGGCTGAGAATGATCCCTGACTCCTCTTGTTCCGCCTCATCTCCCATTCACCCACACACCACCTCCCAATTCTTTCTCAAACTGAACCCTTTCTGGCTCTGGCCCCTTCTCTCCCTCTCCTAAATCTATCCTTTTCTCTTCCTCAAGAAAGGGTTTTAGAAGTAAAGAAATCACATGTTTCTCAGCATTTTCACCCCCACCCCCACACCGCCCCACAACTATCCCTGTGTCTTTCTTCAATCTATGCAGCAAGGGTTAGCGTTCTCAGCATGCTGGGATGGGGGAGAGATGATAAGTGCACACCTACAAATATACATGTGCATTACTGCTCCAGGGCAGGAGTGGCTGGAATGGCTCTGTGGAAGCAACAGAAGTTGAACTTGCCTTAGAGGAAATAGAGGATTTTTTTTTTTTTTTTTTTTTTTTGAGATGGAGTCTCACTCTGTCGCCCAGGCTGGAGTGCAATGGTGTGGCGATCTTGGTTCACTGCAACCTCTGCCTCCTGGGTTCAAGTAATTCTCTTGCCTCAGCTTCCCAAGTAGCTGGGATTACAGGCATCACCACCATGCCCAGCTAATTTTTTATTTTTTAGTAGAGACGGGGTTTCACCTTGTTGGGCAGTCTGGTCCCAAACTCCTGACCTCAAGTGGTCCACTCACCTTTGCTTCCCAAGGTGCTGGGATTACAGGCATGAGCTAGCTCTCTCAGCCTACAGGATTCTTTGAGTAGTGTTTGCAAGTGGTGTATGGAGGGGCTGGGGTGGAGGCTCCAGGTTGGATCCACAGTGCAGTCCAAGCTCAGGCAATGCCTTTGGTGTGCTTAAGGAAGAGAATGTAGCCCGCTGGGGCAGAGAACCATGTGGGTGGAGACCAGGATGTGGGGACGCCTTCAGAATCTTCCTTAGGCTGGGCTCCTCCCACAGCAGCCTTGACAGAAGAATTCAGGTGCAAGGGGTTTATTTGGAAGGTGATCCCAGGAAGCGTGGGTTGGGAGTTGTGAGTAAGACAGGGAAGGAATGGAAGCCAATATAAGGTGAATTAATGAGCAGGTTGTTGCTTTGGGCAACTGGGACACCATCTTGCTGGGGACTGCAAGGCAGAACACACCTCAGAGTTGCCCTAGCCCTCTGCCACTGGGAGAGATTAAGCTGGAACACTTAGTTGCTAACTTCCTCCCATCACTGGTTGAGGGCTGGTCTGGGGTGGGAGGGACATAAATTCTCTGGTTCTTCTGGTCTACCCTACCTAGGCCAGGGAAGATGCGCAGGAGAGCATCTCAAGTACTTGCAGTAAGAAGCTTTGATGTTTACAGACACAAGTGAGGCACCAACAGCACTGCTAGAAAACTCCCAACCATCAGAAAATGTCTTCCATGCTTCAGACAAACAACCCCCTGGAAGGTTTTGGAGCAAGGGTGGTTTTTGCTCTCCATAGTTTCTTGGGATGAACTTGCAGCAGAATGAGAGATAGTATACTGACGTTTCTTCTCCACAGACTGAGTCATATTCATCTTTATATTGTGGTGCATATTTTACAGGGTCTGGCTCATAGTAGGTGCTCAAAAAATATTGAACACGACTTCATTAATGTCACTGTTTTTGCATTTATCTCCTTTCTTTGAGTTTAAGAGCTTCTGGAGGGCAGAGAGTAGGTACTGGTAGATTTTTACCTTCAGAACTGAGCATGGGGCTGTGTACAAATTAGGGGTTCAGAGAGGGTTTGTCAAAGGAATGAAGAAATAAAAATATTTAGGACTTTTCAGGGGACTCGGTAAGTGGGTTTGAACAGACAGGCCCTATGGATCCTCGCCTGAAGCTATAAGAAGGAGGATGCCTCAGACCAGGTAAACTGAGGGTCCTTTCTCAGGCTGTAGGGAAAGGACAGGGTGGTGGAGGAGAAGATGGATTTGGATTATGGGAGTGAGGAGGGGCTAGGGCAAAGGTGAGCTGCACACAATATATGGACTGTTCAGGGATCCCTGACAGTAGGAGCCAGAAGCTCAGCCCCAGATTGAGATGGAGTCCTGGAGGCAGGAGATCAGCTGTGGATAGGTGGTGCTGGAGGCACCATCCTTCCTCCCTGTCTCCCTGATTCCCCTCACCTTCCTTCACCCAGCCTCAGGGTCCCAACCAAGGCTGGCAGGATCTGGTAGGCTCTGACTAGAGTCTTGCATTTTTAATACGGACTCAGGATCGCCAAGTGTGGAGACTAAATCCCCCCCGGAAGGCAGTCATTCCTTCTCAGCAGCAGCTCAAACTATTCCAGGAGCTCCTGGAGAGGCTTTTCCCCCCAACTTCTCAGGGCTCAGGCAAGTGTGGAGATGGGGGTTTGTCTCCAGAATATGTTAGCTCTGTTACAGTCCTCTCTATGGGGCCCAAAGCTGGCTCAGTTTCTAGAAGAGACTTCTCCAGGAGCCCTACATGGCAAGAATGGTGTCTATCCTGCATGGGAACAGCTTCCCCCGGGCAGGTGAGGGTTCCAGCCACAATAGTGTTGGAAGAAGAAGCTGTCTGGGGCCCTGCAGGCTAAGATATCATTTCCCCAATGCCAGACGAGGTGAGTCCTTGGCCGCCGGACAGGGCATAATAGCTCTTGCTTTGTGTATGGTGATAAAGGCTGAGAGAAATTAAGCTGGTGCAGATCTGTGTCTCCTGTAGCAGCCACAGTTGCTGAATCCGCTGTTTCTGAGAAAGTGAAATTTCAGTCCCTCCGCTCCCTCTTATCAGCGGGGCTGTCAGGGCATGTGGGGAAGGGTCAGCCAACCTCCCATGCCTCTTGGTAGAAAGTGGACATTCTTGTGCAACACATATCTACACTGATGTGGCCAGTCTGGCTGGTGATGTGGTCTAGACACATGTAGACCTTGGTGTGAGGGAAGCTGCAAAGAACTCCTCTGTGTGCCCACCTGACACCTGGCTGCTGCTACAGTCTGAATGTTTGTGTCCCTCCACTCCTCAAATTCATGTTTAGAAATCCTAACGCCCAAGGTGATGGCATTGGGAGGTGGGGCCTTTGGGAAGTGATTAGGTCATGAGGGTGGAGACTTCATGATAATCCCATGAATGGGGTTATCACCCTTATAAGAGGGGTCCCAGAGAGCTGCCTTACCCCTTCCACCATGTCAGGACACAGGGAGAAGTCACTGTCAATGAGGAGGTAGGCCCTCACCAGACACCCAGTCTGCTGGCACCTTGTCCTTGCACTTCCCAGCCTCCGGAACGGTGAGAAATAAATTTCTGTTGTTTATAAGCCACCGAGTTGATGGTATTTTGTTACAGCAGCTTAAATGGACTAAGACAGCTGTGTTGGGAGTGGGCAGGGGGAGGGTGCGGAGGGGGATAGTTCATGCCTTGCCCTCCAAGGAAATGATGCTGCTGCTCTCTCCCTTACCTCCCACCTCTTATGACACAGATAAGAACAGTTTTACATTGGGAAAGGTCAAGACGCAGAGAAAATGGGCTAGAGGGCTGTGGACAAGGAGGCAGGGGAGAGAAGAAGAGTCCACTCTGGTGAAGTGCTGAGGAGGCTTTTGTGGAGTTTGGAGTTAGGTGTGGATGGAAAACGCTGAGGCCTTGCCAGAGTCTGCCATGTGTCTACCCAGTCCCAATTCCTCTATCTCCTAGGCTTGCAGCTTTCCTTGCAGCTAGATGGGGCCATGGTCTGATTCTGGCTGATAGACAATGGATGGCAGTGATGTACACTGCTTCCAGACCCTACAGCTCCCCATGCAAAGATCCATCCTCTCTTTCTTCATCTGCTGGCTGGGTGGAGAGGACTTTAAGGATCTCGGGAAGGCCAGAGATACAGGTGGAAGGGCTCTCAGCCCTGAGCCATGACCTGGAGGAGAACGATTAAGCCAGAAATACCCACATTGCTCTCTTGCAGTTCATTCATTTTTTCCCCTCATTCACTTATTTCCCAGTTCTTGATGAGTGCCTTCTCTCTTCTAGGAACTGGCAGGGGAGGGCATGGTCCCTGCCCTCAGATATAACTGGAGTGTGTGTTTATCAAAAGAGATGCAGAAAGAGATAAGACAGGGGCTGGGTCTAGGGCAAATGGAAAGGGGCCTTGGTGAGCATGGTGAAAAATTTGCATTTTATTCTGAATGACAGTGCAATGCTACTGAAGAATTCAGGCAGAAGAGTGAGGTGCTCAGAGCTGCCTTTTTGAAAGACCCTTTGGCTGCTCTGGGAAGAAATACCAGAGTGAGCAAGAGAAGGGGACCACTTACGAGGGCTGTTGTCACATTTGTGTTTGCTCCTGCAGCATTTTCCTCTCTTCCATTCAAAGAATGACTCCAATCTTTGAGATTCCTTATCTCAGGGGAGATTGGGAACTGGGTTGGGTTGAGATAGAGAAGCTGCCGGAAAACAGAGAACATCTCAGTGAATTTTCTGAAAACTCCATTTGCCAAACTTTCAAGTCTACAATTTTTGGAATCTATACTTACACTGAAGGCAGTGATTTTCATGCTCCAGACTTTTGGAATCTCTCTCATTTGCCTACATTTCTTGGAGATTAGGGATAGGAACTCTTCAAGGAAAGTGGAGTAAATAAATAACATACGCTTTGAAGGTGGATAGATTGGATTTGAATCCTGCTCCATCAACTTTCCAGCCTTGTGACACAGTGTAAATTGCTTGGCTTCTCTGATTCTGTCTTTATAAACAGGGTTGTAGTAACGATCACACAAGACAAGGCACGGGAAAGCCACAGGCTCACAGTAAAGTGCTAATACAGAGTGATCTACTCTCTCCTTCCTTTCCTTCAGCTTGGGTTGGAGGCATGAGATTTGGCCATGAGGCCACTGTATACTGAGCCTGGACTTTGATACTTTATACTGTAGTCTAAAAGCTCTGGAGGATTCCTTTGTTGCCTCAATTGGGTAAGGAAGGTAGGGAGAGTGAAAACAGACAGTGAGATGCAAAGTAGAGAGAAGACCACAACACTGACCAGAAAGACAAACCACTCCTGAAAACTAGCAGCAGAAGGTCTGTGTAGAGTGTGCCTTCGTTATGGGCTGAAATGTGTCCTCCACCTCCCCCAAATTCATATGCTAGAGTCCTAACCCCCAACCCAGTGCCTACAAATAGGACCTTGCTTGGAGATTATGGTTTTACAGAGGTAATGAAGTTAAAATGAGATCATGAGGATGGGCTGCAATCCGATATGACTGGTGTTCTTACAGGAAGAGGAAATTTGGATATGTACAGAGGGAAGATGATGTGAAAAGGTACAGAGAAGATGACCTTCTACAAGCCAAGGAGAGGCATCAGAAGGAACCAAACCTGCACACACCTTGATTTTGGACTTCCAGGCTCCAGAATGGTGACAAGATAAATTTCTGTTGTTTAACCATCCAAATCCTCCTTCTCCTTGTGCTTACCTGTCCTCTTTTTTGCCCCCAAAAGACCCTCCAGCCAGGTGTCTACATCAGCCCCTGTGACACTTTGGGGGCACACAGATGTCTTCTCTGTCGATCCTTTGAGGTCAGGAACTGTGTCTCACTTGTCTTTGAATCCCCAAAGCCTAGCACAGTGCCAGATACATGATGGGACCTTCAGAAATGTACCAGGCCATTTACATGTGTTCTCTTTATTCAACCCTTAGAGCAATGCTATGAAGCAGACACTATTCTTATTTCCATTTTATAGCAGAGCAAACTGAGGCTGAGATAGGTTATTCAACTGCCTAATGTCATAAACTAGTATAAGTCAATCTTAAAACTGAGGCTTTCTGACTCCAGTTCTGACATCATTCTAGATCCTGCTGCCACTACATGGCACCACCCCCAGACTGTATGATTTTTGCCCCCAGAGTCTCACCTTGTTTGGGGTTGGACCCTCTTCCCACTGTGATTTATTTTCTAAGAACCTGAGATTTAGTAGAAAAAACAAGGGTTTTGGAGCAAGGGTGTGAAATTTGAGTTTTGCCTCCATTACCTGACTCTTTGGACTGTACAACCTCCATGATCCTCAGTTTTCCCATCCACCAGTTTGTTGATAAAACCTGATTCTCAGGTATATGTACCTTAACATGCAAATATTTTCCTGAGAAAACAAGTCACAAGCAATTGTGTAAGTGATTCCATTCTTATAAAAATTATTAGTAATAAATGTTGATAAATATATAGTAAAGTGCCTTGGGTATATCCACCAAAGTATTAATAGTGATTGTCTCTGAAGGTAAAATGGGGCATTTTCACCCACAATATTGTTTGGTTCTTGTCCCTATTTTGTGGTCAAGGAAACTGAAGGTTATGTAACTTGTCCAAGGTCATGTATGTAGGGTTAAAATTTTTTTTAAAATAAAATAAGCATGCATTATTTTTAAAATAATAAAAGCAATAAAAAATAAATAAGATGAGTTGAAATGGCTTGCTTGAAATTGCCGAGTACAGTGCCTAGCACTTAACTTAAGGTCTCAGTAGTTGTTGCATGTTGCCCCACAGATGCAGACTCTTCTCTAGGAAGGAAAGGGAGAAGAGCTCGAGCACAGAAAGCCACAGCCAGACAGAGGAGAAAAAAATCAGAGCACCGTAGGGCTCCTACCTGATGGCTGGGGAACAGCAAAGGAGCCTTCAATCCTGGAATCCCAAAATAGTCCTGTTTCTTGACCTCAAAGATTTTAGAGAAAACCTCTCCTCCCATGGGCTCTGGGTAGAGCACTTGTCTGGGACAGAGAGGATATAAAACGCATATCATCAGATTCCTTGTTAATATTAATCTCTTAATTCCCACCATCTTGTCTTAACAACAAGGAATGGAATTTAAAAAACGATCTTTGGGGCTGGGCATGGTGGCTTACGCCTGTAATCCCAGCACTTTGGGAGGCTGAGGCAGGCAGATCATGAGATCAAGAGATGGAGACCATCCTGTCCAACATGGTAAAACCCCGTCTCTACTAAAAACGCAAAAAAATTAGCTGGGCATGGTGGTGTGTGCCTGTAGTCCCAGCCATTCAGGAGGCCGAGGCAGGAGAATCACTTTGACCCAGGAAGTGGAGGTTGCAGTGAGCTGAGATCACACCACTGCACTCCAGCCTGGGAGACAGAGTGAGACTCTGTCTCAAAAAAAAAAAAAAAATATTTGGAGGATAAGCTTTTTTCAATCTCAGGGGTTCACAGCAAGCTGCTAGTGCATGTAAAGGCTTTTGCCAATTCATTCTTGGTTTGAGCCCTGGAATGGCAGGCGTGAAGCGGCCCTTACTAAGACAGCAAGAATCCCATGTGTCTCTGCTACCCCCATATGCAGTCACAATGATGGGCTGGATTATCCCTGCTCTTTTTCAAACGTCAAGGTTTCAGCAAGAGGTCCTACAGTAGTTTCCAACATTTTGGACTTCATGGACCAGGGAATATTAAAAGAATATTTTGAGGACGAACACGAGGCTGCCAACTTTTTTTTCTTTTTTCTTTTACTTTTTCTTTTTTTTCTTTTTTTTTTGAGATGGAGTCTTGCTCTGTTGCCAGGCTGGAGGGCAGTGGCACGATCTTGGCTCACTGCAAGCTCTGCCTCCCGGGCTCAAGTGATTCTCCTATCTCAGCCTCCCGAGTAGCTGGGACTATAGGAGAGTGCCACCACTCCCAGCTAATTTTTGTATGTTTAGTAGAGACAGGGTTTCACCATGTTGGCCAGGGTGGTCTCCATCTCTTGACTTTGTGATCCCCCTGCCTCAGCCTCCCAAAGCGCTGGGATTACAGGTGTGAGCCACCGCACCCGGCCAGCTGCCGGCTTTTTATTTTGCCAAGTAAGGACATGAAGCACAAAGAAATCAAACAACCGTATTGCAGCAGAATCGTTTTAATGCTTCCTGCCCATAGGAAGAGCATGATTTCAAAGAAAAGTCCATCTCAAGAAAAGGTGGTTAATAGTCATGCAAGAGTATAAGACATTTGGCTCATTTGATTATAGACCAGCAGTACTTTGTGGCAGACATTTGGGAGTCATGATGTCATGGCTAAGGCCTTGGGATGAAGTCGATCTGGCTTCAAAACATACCTGAGCAACCTATTTGCTTTGTGGCCTTAAGGAAGCTAAGAGACCTCTTTGAGCCTTAAACTTCTCATCTACAAAATGGGGAAAATAAGACTGCATGACTGTTGTAAGGACTGCTTGATTGAGTTAACTCATGGAAAGTGCCCATGCACAGGGTGGTCCCTTGCTTAGATAATTGCTGAATCCATGTTCATTCCCTTGACTTACTTTTTTTCTAACTAAAAAATTATTAGAAACATGTGAAGATGCAAGGAAATGAAGGTACCATAGTTATGGCCTCTAGAATTCTGGAGGAATTTCTTCAAAGTTTTAAGTAAGACTTTGGGGCTTAAGTGAATGTACTCCACCCTCCACTGGGCATCTGGAAGGATAAGAAAAATGTAGTGATGGGAGAAGGTTCTTGGGGTCTTGGTTGTTATTTCATGATGGGGCACTTTAAAGTGGGACATGAGAGTGCACCACTCAAATGTTCCCAAGAATCTTATCCTAGGTAGGTGATTTCAGTTCCACCCTATCTCCTGAGCTCTTACTCTATATCCAACTGCCTGTTAGATATCTCCATTTGGATATCTCACAGACACCTCAAACCAGTGTCACTTTTCTCTCTAAGCTTGCTTCTCCTCTGTTCATCTCACATCAAATGACACTACCATTCACTTATTCTCTTAGGCTAGGAATTCTCTTATTCTCCATATCCTGCCTTTCCACCTTTCCTACTTTCATTCCCCAAGGCCAATCAGGCACAAGGCCCAGCCTTACTAAATCTCTCTTGAATCTGTTAACTCTCATTAATCCCACTGGCCCTTCCTTAGCTAATTGTTTCAGCTTTCAGATCTCCCACCCTAAATCCATCACTGCCACAGTGACTTTTCTAAAGACAATCATATGGCTCTCCTGCCTAAAAACCTTCCATGGCTCCCCATCACTTCTGGGGTTAGAAGAAAGCACCCTAGCAAGAAAGCACTCAAGATCTGACTTCTGTCCCTCACCCCTGGCCCTTTGACACAGCTCTCCCCATATGCATCCATGGCTAAAATCATTGTGCTAGAAAATCACTTTTCCTCTGAATATTAGGAGCTCTCTCGTGAGCCAATGCCCTTTGTCTCCCCCTCTTGTCCACCTGGTGAACTTCCTATCCTTAAAGATATAACTCAAAAGTCACTTCTGTGGCGCCTTCCTGCCTGCTCTTCTACCAGGTAGAGAGAGCATTCTCCCTCCGTTGAGTCTTCACAACATTTTGTTTGGATTGCATCCTAGCAGAACACAGTAGTTAACAGAATGAGTTTTGTGGTTAGCTGAGGTTCGAATCCAGCTCCAGTGCTTGCTAGCACTGTGAGCAGATGATTTAACTGGCCTAAGCCTTAGCTTTCTCAGGTAGAAAATGAGGAATAATAATACTCGTACACCTATCTCCTAGGGCTACTGTGAGGATTAAAAGAAATAATGCATTTAAAGCACATAGCACAGTGTCTGCTACAAAAGTATGCTCTCAATAAATATTAGCTATTATAATATTTTATTATAATTACTTGTGTACCATCCATCTTCCTACCTCCCTCATGCTCTTAGCCCTGAACTCCTTAAGGGTTGGGCCATATTTTATTTATCTTTGTGCCCCGTATCTAAGCAGCCAGCTCAGGAACTGTTACAAAATAGGCACTCTCTTTTAAAATTTTTATTCATTTGTTTTTCTCTTTTGCTTTGTTAAAAAGTGTTGTGGAGGAGGAGGTGAGTACAATCATGAGAGGAAAGGCTGGTAAAAAAACAAGGAGAACTTGGCTGATTTTTGGAGGCTGAAAAGAGCTGTATTCATTGGTTGACGGGTGAAAATACTCTAGACTTGGGAGGAGCAGGAGAGCTTCTATGGCTCAAAACATACCTGAGGGAAGGAGGGCAGGGAGGGAGGGCAGGAGCAGCAGCAGAGTGGGGGTGTGGTGTGAAATCTCTTCTGGGATCCTGTAGGAAAGAAGGGGATCTGGGGGCCTAGGTTTGGACAGTGATAAAAACCAATGCCCTCTGTGATCCTAAGTTTTCCATGACTTGTATCCCAGGGAGGTGAGAACTGCTTGATTTGTTCCCTACCTACATCTAGGGTGACCAACTTGTCCTAGTTTGCCTAGAACTTTCCCAGTTTTTGTACTAAAAGTCCTACATCCTACAGCTCTTTATCACAGGCAGCCCAGGATAGTTGATCATCCTGTATATAGCTGTGGAGGCGATTAGACATGCAGAAGATACAAAATTTTATCAGAAATCCAGAAAGATCAATCACAGATTTCCTGAATCTTAGCAGATGACAAATGACAGAGGTCCCATGGTGTTGTCTTCTAAAATACACAACCTTGCTCTTTTCAGGGTATTCTCCCACCTCTTATCTCATTTGATCCTAATAGGTTTTTAATTATAAAAATATTGTATATTTATGGAAACATATATAAATGTTATGCATATGTATTAAGAGCCAAATAATGTACATATTTATGCTTGATTACTTAGAAATTCATATTTTCATTTTTCCCCTATTACTAGGTGAACAAGACTATCACAAAAATGGCATAAAAGTGCCTAAAACTGGTGAGAAAAATGGATTTTCACTTAGAAGCCAACCGTGATCAATTGGTAGAAGCTGCCTACGATGATATGTAGAAATGTTCAAAGGCAGCCTCTGGGCTTGGTGATGCAAGAGCCATAGTTGTTTAGTAATGTCTGTCATGAATAAGAGAGAGAGAAATGGCAGTAGGAATATTACATATTTGGTATCCATGGTTTAATGACTGAACACACTTAAATTTTCAATGCTTTCTTCCACTTCTTCAACCAGCTTCCTTCCACAGGGAACTGTACCTTCTGGTCAGATCTCATGATTCTTGATCTTATTCAGAAGTTGTGGCCATTTCTATTTTCCCTGGAAAACTTTATCCTAAGTCACAATTCTCTTCTTTCTCACTTTCCTCTTTCCTATAAATGAGCATCTACATCTCTTTTTCTTTTTGATCGTTGTAGCTTATTGACTCATCTTTTCACTAGAATCTTGGCTGACTGGCTTCCACAGACCTTCCTTTGCTGCGACATGTTCAGAAACTTAGAGGTATTGCTAGCATGACTATACTTCCTTTTCCTCCTGTCCTAGGCAGCGGCTATCTCTCCCAATAAAATATTTAAATTGTCTTTAGTCAATTACTGGTTAACTTTAACTCAACAATGTTTATTAATCATTTATGTTGTTCTATTTGCATTCCATCTTACTTTGTCCATCTTTTCTTGTGTTCTGTTGTTTTAAAATATCCTCCTGGGGAGATTTTTGATTTGGTCATGATGGGACTGGATTTCCCTTCTTGCTTTAAATAATTAAACACCCAAATAAATTAAAGTTTTCAGATTTTGGATGTCAGATAGTGCAGGACAGTATTCCTTACAGAAAGGAAGCAAATGAGGTGAGGCCTATGATTGTTTCAGATCATTTCCTGGAGAGTTCTTCAAACTAGTGCAGGGAAGCAAAACCCAGTCAGAGACCAGAGATTTCACTGAGTTGAGAAGACAGAGTTTAGATTTCAGGGAGGCCAATTTTGCTAGAATTTTCAGGGAGAAACTACTAGAAAGAGTGAGAGAGAGTACACATGTAGGGGTGTGTGTGTGTGTGTGTGTGTGTGTGTGACAGAGAGAGAGAGAGATATTGATTACAGAAGGATTTTTTGAATCTTTAATTGATTAATGATCTGCAAGTATGTATAAGGAAGCTACCTGTGGCTGGGGAATAACCACTGGAAAGGAATAAGCTTTATAACTCATACAGGGCTGGAAACAGTTTGTGCTTCCATCAGCCACAGTGGAAAGAATTCCTAATATACATGGATGAGGAAAACATGAACTATTCCAAGCCCTGTATGAGCTATAAAGATTGCTATACCCATTTCTTTCCAGAGGAAAAAAAAGAATGAACATAAGAATTACATCATACTTCTTGTCAGAAATCATGCAAGCTAAAAGATAGTAGAACAATATCTTTAAAGTGCTGAAAGGATAAACAAGAAAACTCTCAACCTAAAATTTTATACTCAGCAAAAGTATCTAGTGAAAATAAAAATGAAATAATGACATTTTCCAGGCAAACCAAAGCTAAAAGATTTTATCACCATCAGGTCATCACTAAAAGAAAGCAAGTTCTTTAGGAAGAAGTAAAATAATAGCAAATGTAAATTTAGATCTACACAGAGAAATAAAGAATACCGACAATCGCAAATATGGCTTTCTTTCTAATTTAAAAATTTTATCTAAAAGATAATTGACTTCTCAAAAACAACAACGATTTGTTGTGAGGTTTATAATATAGCAATAAAATCAAGACAAAAAACACAAATAGGAAAATGGAAGCCTACTGTTGTAAGGTTCTAAAAATATACATGAAGTGGTGTAATATTATTTGAAAGTAGACCATGATAATTTAAGATGTATATTTTAAACCTTAGAGCAGCCATTAAAAGAAAAAAAGCCAACAAAACAGAGAGGCTAAGCCTAGAAACAAAAAATAAAGATAAAATGGAATGATAAAAAGTACTCAATTACTGCAAAAGAAGGCAGAAAAAGAAGAAAAAGAAGCAAAAAACAGTTGGGACAGATAGAAAACAAATAGCAATATGGTAGAGTTAAACACACCTATATTAATAATGTCTTTAAATGTCCGTGCTCTGAACACTCCAATTAAAAGGCAGAGAGGATGGGTGTGGTGGCTTATGCCGGTAATACCAGCACTTTGAGAGGTCAAGGCAGGAGGATTGCTTGAGGCCAGTGGTTCAAGACCAGCCTGGGCAAAATAGTGAGACCCTGTCTCTAAAAAAAATAGCTGGACATGGTGGCATGCACCTGGAATTCTGGCTAATTGGGAGACTGAGGTGGGAGGATTGCTTGAGGCCAGGAATTCAAGGCTGCAGCAAGCCATGATCATGTCACTGCACTCCAGCCTGGATGACAGGGGAGACCCTGTCACAAACAGACAAACAAACAAACAAACAATAAAAGGCAGAGATGATCAGACTGACTAAAAAAGCAAGATGACCCCAGGAATATTCTCTCTACAAGAAACCCATTTTAAGTATAAAGAAACAAATAAATTAAAAGTAAAAGGATAGAAGGTATTTCATACAAACAGCAATTAGAAAAAAAGTGAGTAGTTACAACAACATTCACAAAGTAGATTTCGGAGCTAGGAATATGTTTTAGTCAACTTCTGCTGCTGTAACAAAATACCATAAACTGGGAGCTTATAAAGAACAGAATTTATTAGTCACAGTTTTGGAGGCTAGAAAGTCTAAGATCAAGGCACTGGCAGAGTCAGTGTCTAGTAAGGGGTCATTATTTTCTGGTTCATAGATAGCACATTCTCACAGTTTCCTCACTTTAGTGAAAGGAGTGAACAAGCTACCTTGGGCCTCTTTTATAAGGCAATAATTCCATTTGTGAGGGCTCTGGCCTCATTACCTGTTCAGGTCCCAAAAGGCTCCTCTCTTTATACTATCACCTTGGGGGTTAGGCTTTCAATATAAAAATTTTGGGGGGACATATGTCTTCAGACCATAGAAGAATATTAGGAAAGAAAAGAGCCATTTAATAGCAATAAAGGAATCTATTCTTTAAGAGCTCATAACAATCCAACATATGTATGCACTTAATAACAGATCTTCAAAATATTTGAAGCAAACATGACTAGAACTGAAAGGAAAATAGACATATCCACCGTTATAGTTGGAGATTTCAATATTATTCTCTCGATAATTCATAGAACAAATAGACAGTAAATCAGTAAGATATATAAGATCTTAACAACATAATCAACCAGCTTGGTCTAACTGATATTTATTAAGCACACCACATAAAACCAGAAGAATACCAGATTCCTTGTAAGCTTAAACAGAATATTCATCAAGATAAGCCATATTCTGGGTCATAAAACACATTTTAATAAATGTAATAGAATTGAAATTATACAAAATAGTTCTCTGACCACAAAAGAATTAAACTTCTAATCAATAACAAAAAGATATCTGGAAATTCCCAAAATATTTGGAAATTAAACAACACATTAAGAATAATCCATAAATTAAAGAAGAAACTTAAAAAGTAAAAATTTTAAACTGACAGCAAATAGAAACATCCAATTTTTGGGATGCAGCTAAAGCTGTGCTTAGAGAGATATTTATTGCATTAAACACTTATATTGGGAAAAAAAAATCTTTGAATCAATGATGTCAGTTTCCATTACAAGAAAATACAAAAAAGTAAATTGAACTTAAAGTAAGCAGGAGAAAGAAAATAGCAAATATGAGAGCAAAACCCAATGAATCAATAGAGAAATAGAGAAAAATCAATGAAGCCAAATGCTGGTTCTTTGCATACACTAAGAAGGTTAATAGACTTTTAGCCAGACTGACCAGGAACTTAAAAAGAGAGCATCCTATGGACATTAAAATGGCAACAGAAGAATGTTATGAACGGTTACATGCCAATAAATTCTATAACTTAGACGAAAGAGACAACTTTCTTTAAATATACATACTCCCAAAACTCACACAAAAATAAATAATCTGAATAGCTATATATCTATTAGAGAAACTGGCTTCACAGTTAAACACCTTTTCACATGGAAAACACCTTTTCACATGGAAAACTCCAGATCTGAATGGCTACTATGAAACATTTAAATAGTTTTCTACAAACAATTTTACAAAACACTTATGAAAAAAAAATAGTGACTTTACACAAACTCTTTCAGAAAAGATAAGAGGAAGAAAACCTGTCACCAACCATTTTATGAAGCCAGTATTGTCCTGAAAATGAAATCAGAAAAAGAGATCTTACAGGAAAATAAGCCCACAGGCCAACATCCCTCATAAACATATATCAATAAATATTTAACAAAAATTTAGCCAGTCAAGTCCAGCAATACACAAAGAGAACAATATATTATGGCCAAGTGGGGTTTAACCTAGAAATGCAATTATGGTTTAATATTCAAATATCAATCAATGTAATTTACCATATAAATCAGAGCTAAAACTATAAAACTTCTAGAAGAAAACAGGAGAAAATCTAAGTGATCTTGGGTTAGGAAAATATTTCTTAAATAGGATGCAAAAGTATGAACTACAAAAAAAATGATAAACTAGACTATCAAATTTAAAGATCTTTGTTTTTTAAAAGACACTTTCAAGGGCAAAAGCTTCGAATAAACACCTTATCAAAGAAGATCTGTGAATGACAAATAAGTATATGAAAAGATGTTCAACTCATTAGGGGAATGAAAATTAAAAACAAAATGAGTTACCACTACACCCACTGGAATGACTAAAGTTAATAACTGACAATACCAAGCACTGAAAAGGATGTGAAGCAACTGGAACTCACATACATTGCTGCTGGCAATTTAAAAAATGTTCGATTCACTTTGAAAACTGTTTAGTATTTGATTCTAAAGTTAAATGTACCTTTATCCAAGAAAATTTACCAAATTCAATTGTAGGTGTTTACCCAAGAAAAATGAATACAGTTGTCCATAGATTTGTATTTAAACATGCATAGCAGCTTTTTTTTTTTTTTTTTTTTTTAAATAACACCTCCCAAACTGGAAACAACCCAAATATCCACCAGGTGGTAAATAAACAAATTATGGTACATCCACACAATGGAATACTACTCAGCAACTAAACTGAATGACAAATGCAGCAACATGAATGAATCCCAAAAGCTTTATGCTGAGTGAAAGATGCCATACATAGTAGAGAATGTGCTTTATAATTCTATCTATATAAAATTCTACAAAAGTCAAAGCTGTAGAGATAGAAAGAAGATCAGCAGTTTCCAGGGGCCTCTTGGTGGGGACTGATAACCTCTTGGTTTGATTGAAATGTTTTATATCTTGATTTTGGTGATTTTTACATGACTGTATTCATTTGTCAAATTTCATCTAATTTTACCAGTGAAATTGATAGATTTCCTTTTATGTAAAATTATACTTTAATATAGACAGTCATTTTTTTCTCCTTTTCAAATTCAAGTTTGATTTCTTTACATTTGAGCTCTTCACTTTTACCCATCTGAAAATAAGAACCACCACTATTGCAATTTACTAAAAAGTTACTATTTGCCGGCAACTGTGCTGAGAAAGTTACATATATTTCTCTCATTTAATTCCATCTTCTGCTCTTTCACATGGGCATTTCAATTTTGAGGGTTTTTAAAATTTAAATTTTGAGGTTTTTGTAAACCATTTCTCTTCAGAGGACTGGCCTTTTCCAGTCTGCGTTCACGGACAGATGTGATTAGAAGATTTTCCCTTAATTGATGCCAATGTTTGTCTTCTTATCCTGGAAATACTTAATAAAAAATCATAGACTAATATTCATGTTGAGCACTTACTATGTGTCAAGCACTGTGCTAAGTGTTTTATAGATAATATATTGTTGAATCTTCATTACTGATGAAGAAACTGAGGCTGAAAGAGATGAAATGATTTGCTAAGATGATCCACTGGAAAATGGCAAATCTAGGATCCCAAATCAGGTCTTTTGGATTTGCCTTCCTGTTACTCAAAAGATCTCTTTTTGTCCCAGGAATGTACTCCCACGGCCTTTGACTTTATCCTTACCTTCCTCTGTGCTCCATATTATGCACATCAAAAATCTTCCCGGTACTATTAATGCTTACCCCCACTGGTGTGCTGGAACAAACGAACAAACAAGCAAAGAAGCCCACCCCAATTTGTAGCGTTTTCCAATTTCCCAGGTGTAAATGCTTCCACCATGGTCAATTTCAAGCTTTCAACTTATTGTCCCTAAACGAGAGTTGGAGAAATACACATAATTGGGTTCTCTCAAGCAGGTATTAGCTGGCACCAGCTCACCACTGCATTGTTCACTTGAAATGCTTCTGTGCGTTCTGTAGGATCAGTGCCTTTGTCATATGCTCTGAGAAAGCTTCCCCAATCCCTCTTGGCTGGTTTAGGATAGGCTTTAATCAGCATTTACCACCATGTTCGCTAGTGATGGCTTTCTGCTGTGCCTACTCCTCTGACCTGAGAGTTCTTCAAAGGCAGCTTTGAGCCCAGCATCTGGACACAGCATACATCAGCCAATGTTTACTGAATGAGTAAATGAACCAGGGATTCAAATCCCTTCCATGGCTCCCGATTTCCCTCAGCATGAAATCCAAACTTCTTACTTTTATAAGGCCTTGCATGATCGGGCTGCTTCCTCTCTCTCCAGCCTTATTCCAAGCTCCTCTTCCCTTCCTTCACTACACTCCAGCCTCCATGGCATCCTTTCAGCGTCAGCCACATCAAGCTCTTATTGCCTTGAAAACTTGGCACATCTTTTCTGTGTGCCTAGAATCCCTTTCCCCCAGTTTCCACAGCTGGCTCCTTTCCATCCTGCAAATCTGTTCTTATTATCTTCTCCAACATTCCAGCTAAATGATCCACATCACAGTGCTGTGTTCATCCTCATTCCATCTTTCTTATTTTGTAATTACATATCTATTTGGCTGTTTCCCATATATTACCTATCTTTCCCACTAGACTATAAGCACCATGAGGGCAATAATTGTGTCTGTTTCTATCACTCCTTGTACCTAGCAATACCTCCATTAATGTTTGTCAAAGAATTATGTGTATAGTTGAAAGGTCAGTGTGGTTTCAAAGGTTGATGAACAAGCATATGCATTGTGGAGGGAAAATTATTTCTTCATCAATTCATTCATTCACACAAAAATTTATTGTCCTAGGTTCTGAGCTGCATGATCAAGGCACAGAGGAAAATTAGATGCTGTGTTCTGTAAGAGGCTCACAGTCTAGCAGTGCAACAAAGGCTTTATTTGGGAATGTACAATGTGCAGTGGGGCATTGGAGAAGAAGAACCTAAGTCTACTGGGGGAGTAAAGGAAGGCTTCACAGGGTTGACTCTTGAGTTAGGTTTTGAGGGCTGAGTAGGAGTTTGTCACTTGGGCAGGTTGAGAAAAGCTGTTCTAGGTAGAGCGGTCTGAAAAACACAAAGTGTATGGGGTAAATTAAAGTAGTTCGGTGCTGCTAGGGTGTAACATATGAAGGGAGTGATAGATGGTGAGGCTAGAGAGAGAGGCAGGAGCAGCCATGAAGGGCTGTGTATTTTGTCCTACAGGTAAATTGAAGGGTATTGAACTGGGGGATAATAGGACTGTATCTCTGCGAGGTGGCAAGAGGAAAGGAGAGAGTGGAAGGTAGTAGACAGTTAAAGAGTTTTCATAAGCCTTTCTGCCAAGTTGCTCTCCTGCCTAAAGCAGACCTTACTGATAGAATGCTACACTTTTCCCCACGGAGCCTAGATTCTACCTCAGAATCTTTTTCAACACATCCTTCCAGGCAGGGACAACCAATCAGTAGGACTTGGCTTACTGGACGTACGTTGTATGTTCTTCTTGCACTGCATACTTCTGGGGACTCTTAACAGCTCCGATATGATGACTTTAAGAAAATCTTAACTCGACCAATAATATTTTCACTTTTACATGAGATAACGCCTTAACTCAAGAGTGTATAGCTCTAATTGTGAAATTTCTGGCACTGGAATATGTAGGAGGAAGTACTTTGAAGGAACCTGCTAGGTCCTTGTAAAAGTGTCCATTCTTTTGTTGACTTTTTTTGTAAATATAAAATATTGCTCCTTTGTCCCATGTGTACACAGGAGATATAATTATCCCACTTTCTGAAGGTGATTGGTTTCAGAGAGACTGATAAAAAGGCAAGTTCTGCAGGGAAAGAATATGAGTCTTAAAGTCACCCAAACTTATCTTCAAAACACTGCTTTGCACTTTTCTGATTTTAGGAGGCTAGCAAACATTTCCTGAGTACCTACTCTGTGCCAGTCGTGGGCTAAGCACTTCCAGCTTTATTCTATGGATGGGGAAACTGAGGCTCAGAGAAAGTAATTAGTAACTTACAAGCTGTGAGGCTTTGAATAAATTCTTAACCTCTCTAATTTTGCATTTGTTCATTTGTAAAATGTGGCCGATAAAGCCTACCTGCTGGGGTTAAATAAGACAATACTTGTGAAAGCACCTAGCAGCTGGTAGAGGCTCTCCAATGTTATCTCTTTCTTTCCTTTTCTTGGCAGAAAGGCTGGCTGAGCAAAGAAAGCCTCAGTTTAAGGTCCTCAGGGAGAAACATGTCTTTGCTCTGGGCTCTGAAATCCCTGGAGCCCACAACTTAATAGACTTACAATTGGTTAATTTTCTCTTGACATTGATCAGCAATGGGTCATGTCTGGCACCCGCTGGCCTGGCCCTGAGGGGGAGCCACAAGATGCCTGGCCTGGCCTCCCTAACCAGAAATTCAATAACTTTTTCATATAAATTGTTCGTAAGAGAAAACTTCTTGTTTTCAGCAGTTGTCGCTGTTTCAGCATATTTCTGTACGAGATGAAAAACTTTTGCATTGAGCAAAATACAGATTTATGGTCAATAAAGTGAAGTTTAACAGTTTATAGAGGCTATACTTTCTTTCTTAAAAACTGATATTAAAAGCCATTTTTCCCAGTCTTTGTAAAAATGGTTCCTCTATCAATCAGGATCCCAGTTTGTTTAAATGATAGAAGAATTAGGAAAAACTCTCTCATCAGAGGGCTTTCAAACATATGCCCATCATCGACTTCTGTCCTAGGGCTTTGGATAGATTGGGGATATTTCTTGAAAATGGAGACAGTCAAGCTGGAAACCAGAAGTTTCTTGGAGCCAGGGCAAGCTGAATCTCAGATGGGGGGTGAAGAGGGGGATGCTCCTCTTTTATCCAATATCTCTCTGGTGTCATTTATTTACTCAGCAAATGTTTGCTGAGGACCTACTATGTATTAGAGCCTGAGCTGGGCACTGGGATGACAAAGTTATGCTTCCTACCCTCAAGGTGCTCACTGTTGAGGAAGTGAGTCAAGCAGGCAGACGGTGACAGTGGAGTCAGGAGTGGTTATTAAAAAATGTTGAGGAAGAGCACCTCACCCAGACTGAGGGCATCTGTGGCGACTTCCTGGAAAAGGTGATGTCTCAACTGAGTCCCGAAGACAAGTGAGAGAGGTGGCAGCCAGGGAAGGAAGGGCAGTCCATGCAGAAGAGGCAGCAGGATGGGGTAAGAGCTGGTCTCCCTTCCAGGATCAGTTTTCTCCAGGGTAGACGAGGAAGCCGAGGTTTGCCTGGCAGCTGCTCCCAGCGTCCCATTCATTTGCAGCTCCCTGCTCAGGGCTCCTCCTGGCTGCTCCCGGCTGTGCCATGGACCCCTGCTCATCCCTGGAGTCTGAGAGGTGTGTCTGTATCAATGCGGGGCGCCAGAGCGAGGAGACCATTCTTCCCTTTCCTGCTCTCTGTAACTCCGTTCCTTTTCACCTGGCCCCGCTACAAGGCTATCAGAGGATGGTAGGCTTTACTGAAGTGTTGGTGGAACCGGACAGAAATAGCAAAATAGGATAAAATATTTAAAATTATGTAAAGTGTGACTGTCCAGGGAGTTCCAGAAAGAATAGTGTATCAATAATAAGAAGGGTGCTCTGAGGGGGCTTCTAAGGCTTGCTGCCTTTCTTAAGGTCTATTCCTTCCTTCTTGCCATTTGTATTTTATTTTATTTTATTTTCGAGATCAAGTTTCACTCTGTTGCCCAGGCTGGAGTGCAGTGGTACACTCTCGGCTCACTGGAACCTCCATCTCCTGGGTTCAAGTGATTCTCCTGCCTCAGCCTCCTGAGCAGCTGGGATTACAGGTGTGTGCCACCACACACAGATAATTTTTGTAATTTTAGTAGAGTTGGGGTTTTGCCATGTTGGCCATACTGGTCTTGAACTCCTGACCTCAGGTGCTCCACCTACCTCAGCCTCCCAAAGTGCTGGGATTACAGGCATGAGCCACCATGCCAGGCCTATTCCTTACTTCTTGTAAGAGAAAAAAGTCATTCTCTTTAAGTCTCTCTAGAGTCCAGTACCAGCTACTCCCCATGTTCAGGCAACCCCATATCCCTGATCTGAGGACACTGAATTCCCCACTCCCACCCCCATGAACGCCACACCCACTCCCACATAACACTCATCTACCAACAACTAGTAATTCTCAGAGATACAACTGCCTAGCTCTTTCCTCATTCCAGCACATGCTGCACAGCTTTCCTGGCTCACAGAGCGGACAGCCCTTGAAATTTTTGTGTAGAACTCTGTAGCCTCTCTTTGGTTCCTTCTGCTTTTAGTCTGGCCAGGGCTTACCAGTGCCTGAAAAGGGAAGGCCCCATTGCTGGCTACCTCTTAACCGTACAAAGACAGGGGCTAAAGCTCTGAAATATAATTTACTTTAGGTCAATTTAAATTCTTAGGGGAATTTCTTGCTCCCTGAGCTGAGAAAACTCCTAGGTATTGATGGAATGGCAGGATGCTCTTCCAACACCATCCAATAGAGATGGAATGTGGGTTACACTTGTCATTAAAAAATTTCTGGTGTTCCAATAGCCAAGATTTGGAAGCAACCTGAGTGTCCATCAACAGATGAATTAGATAAAGGAAATGTGGTACTTACATACAATGGAGTACTACTCAGCCATAAAAAAGAATGAGATTCAGTCATTTGCAACAACAGGATGGAACTGGAGGTCATTAGGTTAAGTGAAATAGGCCAGGCACAGAAAGACAAACATTGCATGTTCTCACTTACTTGTGGGATCTAAAAATCAAAACAATTGAATCCATGGAGACAGAGAATAGAAGCATGGTTACCAGAGGTGGAGGAGGGTAGTGGTGAGGTTGAAGTGGGAGGTGGGGATCATTAACGGTACAAAAAATAGTTAGAATGAATGAATGATACCTACTATTTGACAGTACAACAGAGTGACTATAGGCAATAATAATCTAATTGTACATTTTAAAATAATGAAGAGTATAATTAGATTGTTTGTAACACAAGGATAAATGCTTGAGGGAATGGGTACCCCATTTTCCATGACATAATTATTATGCATTGCATGCCTGTATCAAAATATCTCATGTACCCCCTAAATATATACATCTACTATGTATCCACAAAAATAAAGAATAAAAATAAAAAACCCAGGGATAATAAGAACCTGCACATTAAAAACAACATTTCTAGTGTCCACACATTTAAAAAAGTAAGAAGAAACAAGTGAAATTGATTAATCAAATGTGAATATAAATTAGTCTGAATATCATCATTGAAACATGTAATCAGTAAAAAATTCCCAGTGGAGATATTTTGCATTCTTTGTTTTCATACTGAGTGTTCAAAATCCAGGGACCATTTTACTTACAGGGACCCAAAATCCAGGGACATTTACACTTACAGTACCGTTTGATTTAGACTAGGCACATTTCAACGTGCCCAGTTGCTCTGTGTGTCTCATGGACTCGGGATTGGACAGCAACGAGATAGAGTCTAAGTACCTGTGTGTGTACAGGCTATGGTGAAGAGGGAGGGATGCAGGGCGAGGAGAGAGGATATCTAGAAATGAGGCTTCAGAGAGATAGTTTTGCTGTGGGAAACCATTTGGACTTTATCCTGAAGACAATGGAGCAGATGTAGAAGGGTTTTACATAGAGGAGAGTTGTGATCTGGCTCACATTTTAGAAAGATCTTCTGGCTCCCCAAAGAGAGGATATTGGAGGAGGCAAATAAGTTTGAAGGCAGGAAGATTTAACTGGGAGAATTGCTTCCTGGAGAGAAGGGAGGCTTACTGGTTGTGGAGGGAGGTATCTGGATTCTAGACCTGTGAGGGAGGTAGAACCCATAGGACATGTTGGGTGTGGGGGTGTGAGAGGGAGCTGGAGTCACAGATGACACGTTCTGCCCTGTGCAGTGAGGTGGATGGCAGTGCCATTTACTGAAACACAGAACAGGAGGAATGCCCAGGTTTGAGGGAGGAAGATGAGTGGGGCAGTTTAGGACATGGGAGTTCGAGAGTCCTTCACACATCCAAGCAGGGGGGTCCTTCAGGAAAATGCACCTGGAGCTCTGGAGAGAAGCGAGAGTTGGAGACAAGGTTGGGCACCCACTGGTTATGAGGGATCCCAACAATGTCTCTGACTCCAGTGGGCCTTTTGAAGGTTTCTACCTCCTAAGCCTGTCCTGAAAGTTGGTAGTGACAGCAGTGACCTTATGGTGTGTAGCACAGAGTCCTGAACATGCTGGGTGCACTGCAAATGTGAGCTGTCAGATGGTGATGCTGATTGTATGGGGTGCCTCCTGTTCAGGCCCTGCCTCCTAGATGTTTGCTTTCACTCAGCTTGGCCATTTGGCAAGTGAGACAGGTGGTTGGTTTGGGGGAACTGGGGCCTGGAATGAAGGGACCCAAGCTGAGGCTGCCTCTGTCTTGGAACCCAGCAGTGCATTGGCTCCTCCAGCCTGAACATCAGCCTCCTGGCCTACACTTGATTCTTTCACACCTTAGGTCATTCACTGGCTTCCACTCAATTTTATTTCTCCTTGCCCTCAAATCCTTTACTTGTTATTGGGGATGCTCTACTACACTGCCCAGACCCCTCATTCAGGAACGAAGGACTGATTCTACCAGCTGCTGGAAAGTGGTCAGCTGATAGCTCTCAGCTGTCAGCCCTCTGTAGAAATTGCCCTGGCTGAAGACCGTCCTAGCATCCAAGGTCACACTCCTTCCCAGGTCAGCCCACATCCAATGACCGGTCAAGGTAGGGCTATAACAACCTGACCCACTTACCCTAACTTGGGATGGCTTTAACGGATCGTCCAGCTTTAGAGTTCTACTTGGGATCAGCTGTGACTGCCCTGTTGTGACTGCATTGCTGTCTGTCTCTCCCTCTGCCCATTCCTGCTGCCTTTCCCTGTAGATGTGGACCCAAGAGCACTCCCCGATAAACTTGTATTCAAATCTGTATCTCAGGGTCTGTCTCCTCGAGAACTAAGCCTTCGACACTTGACTTTGTCATTAGTTGCAGCCATGAAATTACAGTCTTGGTCAGATGCTATTGGTAAATACTCTCTCTCTCTCTCTCTCCCCCTCCTTCTCCCACTTCCTCTCTTTCTTTTTCTCTGACACACACACACACACACACACACACACACACACGCTCTCACCTAATCTTAGGCATTCACTTATTTGGCCACTAGGTTTCATCTCTGGACATCCCATCACACTGCGCTATTCTTAAATGTATCTCCTTGCTCCCTTCTTCCCACCCCATCTCCGTCTCTTTCTCTCTCTCTCCTTTCCCAAGATTAAGCTACGACCCATAACAAAACAACTCTTAACCTCTAGGTTTTTTTTCCTTTCTCAGAGTTCTGTGCCCCCTGCAAATTGGGCCAGAGTCAGAAGAGAAATCTTGACATTCTCAGCATTGGTCCCCTCATCCGTCTCATCCCCTCCGACGCACCCTGAGCCTGTGAGGTGGAAAGGGCATTTGAGGGCTGTGTCCCTGTAGTCCCTCAAGCCGGGCCTTGGGGGGCGGGCTAAGATTTCTGCAAGGATCTCGAATCTGAAGAGCCTAAGTCGTAGCTCACGTCCCCACTGAACAATGAGGCTTGATGAACGGGGTGTGATGTGCAATTGCTGATGAATATCAAGCTGATTCCCTATGACTCTCAACGTGGTGCATGTGCGAGTGCAAAGCTGTGTTGTCCCGGGAGGGCTCAATATGAGCTCCAAGTTTCCCAACTTCCTGGCCTCAAAATTGATGTGTACAAAGGAAAAAAGGAGAAGATGCAAAACCCGCAAAGCAATATTTCCCAAGGCGAAGCCTGACATTATGACCGCCTCTTTAAGCACTTGTATTGCATATATATATATTTTTTCCCCTCAACTGCATCTTCTGACTGACAAAGCTCTTTCTTGCCAAAAGCGACCGTTATAAAATTATGACTTGCGCATATATAATGTTTGTGTTCAACAAGAAAACAGAAATGCCACCTTATTTTGTGGTTACAGCTGCACAATTCACATCCGGCAAGATTGATCATATTAAGGTTATGCAATCATCTAATTGCAGAGACAAGCCTTGAGTAATAACTCCAAATGCTCGCACTTCAATCTGCACAGCAGAGTCATTGCCGAGTCCTGATTAGCGCCTGACAGCGTTCGGGCACCATTATCCACTCTGGCATTGTCTAAATCTCCATTTCCAGCCGAAGCAATCTACCCACTAACTGATCTATGACAAACAGGCCCATAAGAGCAAAGCTGTTTGGGTTGCAGATACATATCTAACAAAACATGACTCTTTGGGCTGTTTCCAGCTTTTTGTAGCAAAGTTTTCCCCTTTCCCAGGAGAAGGCAGCCTCTTCCTCTCCCATTCCGTTCCCTCCCCTCCTCTCATTGTCAGGAGGCTGCAGATGACTAGACAGGGAATCTGTAAAATCTTTATCAAATTAACTCCTACTTGGATCTCAGATTTTGGCCCCAAGGTCGCTTTCTTAGAAAAGCAGCCTCTACTCACCAGTGATACACAGTATCCCTGTGCTTTTTCTCTGTAACACTTCACATTGTTTGCAACCATGCCTGTAAGTCCTATGGGCTTCACTTTCAAACTATATCCAGAATCCAATCACTTTTCACCACCTTCATCACCAGGGCTCATGCCACCCACGTCTCTCCCCTGTATTATCACATCACTGTCCTCTCTGGCCTCCTAGCTTTCTCCTTTGTCCTCCATCTACTCTACAATCTATTCTCAACTGAGTCACAAAGTACTTTGTAAAAATGTCAATCAGATAACAGCATTCTACTCAAAACTGTAATTCTTCCCTGTCTCGCTCAGAGTAAAAGCTAAAGTCTTTTCAATGGCTTTATAAGGCCCCACATGATCTCACAGTATCCTCTCTCTGGCTGCATTGCCTATCTCTGCATTGCCTAGCTCTTTCTAACCTTCTCATGCTACTCTAGCCATGTTAGTCTCCTTGCTCTTCTTTGAACACGCCAGACACACTCCGGCCTCAGGGCCTTTGGACTTGCTGTTCCCTTTTCCTGGAGCTCTCTTCCTTCAGATAATCTACATGGTTTGCTTCCTTTCTTCCTATGGGTCACTGTTGAAATGTCACTTTAGCAGACACCTTTCCTGGCTACCTTATCCAAATGGTAAACCCTCCCCACCCCAGTACTCCCTGGCTCCCTTACTGTGATCTGTTTCTATAGCAGATACCTTCCTCTAACATACTGTACTTAGTTATTTTGTGTATTGCCTTTTTGTCCTCTCTTGAGTGTAGAGCAGCTCTCTCCAATAGAGCTTTCTATGCTGGTGGAAATGTTTTATATCTGCTTTGTCTAGTATAGTTGTCACTAGCACATGTGGCTATTGAGCACTTGAAATTCAACTAGGGAGACTGAGGAACTGAGTTTTTAATTGGATTTAATTTAGATTTAAATAATCACATGTGGCCAGTGGCTGCCATATTGAATAGCACAGGGCTAGACTCTCTGTTCCACAAGGATGGAGATCTTCTGAAAAGGAGTTTAGAAGCATATGTCATAAGCCTTAAAAATATTCATAGCCTGCCGGGCGCAGTGGCTCATGCCTATAATCCCAGCACTTTGGGAGGCTGAGGCGGGCGGATCACCTGAGGTCAGGAGTTCAAGACCAGCCTGACAAACATGAAGAAACCCTGTCTCTACTAAAAATACAAAATTAGTTGGGCATGGTGGCTCATGCCTGTAATCCCAGCTACTTAGGAGGTTGAGGCAGAAGAATCGCTTGAACTCGGGAGGTGGAGGTTGCGGTGAGCCGAGATCACACCATTGCACTCCAACCTGGGCAACAAGAGCGAAACTCCATCTCAAATAAAAAAAAAAAAAGAAAAAATTCATAGCCTTTGACCCAGTAATCTCAGGAAAAGTTGTGTGTAGAAGAATGTTCACTCCACTGATATGGATAATAGTAAAAAACTGTAAATAATCTAAAAGTCCAGCAACAGGGAATTGAGCAAAGCAAATATAGTGTCCATATGATGGAAATTGAACAACTTCTTAAATGAACACAGATTAATAATTAGTGACATGGGCAAAATGTCTGTGATATCTTATTGAATGAAGAAGCTAAGAAAACTGTGTTTATGTCACAATCCCAATTTTAGGGAAAGTGTATATGATACATATAGTGATTAAAAAAGAAGAAAATCTACAGATGGAATTTCCTGTGATTTTTACTTTCTTTGATGTGTTTTTCTGTGTATTTCACATCTTCTGCAATGAATGTGTATCATCCAATTATCAGAGAAATGAAGTAAACCTAAACTTTTGTTAATAAATAGTTTTCACCCTGTATTTCTGATTGGACATTGCCATTTGTAGCTATAGAGTATGGGAACAAAGCTGATGTGAGCCCTTTGCCCTCCTTTTCAGTGATATAAGTCCTGCCCAGGCTGCTGCTGAGTGTCAACTTCTCTTTTTAAGAGATTCTGTTTCATTGGTTCTTAATTCCTTTTCTGAGCTTTGAGCAACCACAAGAATGTCCTAATTCTTCCCCTTCCCTCCTAGAATGTGGTGCATGGGGAGCTTTGTCCACCTTAGAGACGCACAGTGATCAGTGATCACAGAAACTGCCAGCTTTGGGCTGGAAGACTCTTGAGCAGATGACAATCCCACTGAGCTCAGTGACTAGCTACAGTTTCTTTATGCAAATGTAAGCTCACACAAATATATTCTCACCTCCTTCCCTTTTTACACAAAGAGGTACATACTGCTTACTGTTTTGAACCTTGCTTTTCCTACCTAATGAGCTCAGTGGGGTTGTCATCTGCTCAAGAGTCTAGCACTGCATATCTCCTTCTGAGCTTGGATGACTTTGTTCTGGGCAGAAGCATCTTCTCCCACTCGAAGTCCTGATGGCTCATCTGGACCTACTGAAGCTTTTGGAAAAGTCCTTCCCTGTGTGCACTGTGGCAATGCCATTCCTTGGCCTGGAGACCTTCATGGTTTGGTTCCTACTCAACTCTCCAGCATCATCTCTCACTGCTGCCCATTTGCACATACACAATTCCTTGGGGGTTCCCTCAAAACCTACGTCTGTGCCTTTTCATAACCAGTTCTCCTGCCTGGAATTCCATTTCTGCATTGGCTATTGCCTCTGTTCTCCTGAGAACAATTTCATTTCTAGAGTTACTTTGTAGTTCAATGCAACTTGATAGAGCACTTACCTGTCTCGTGGACTGTGCTTGCAGGGAGCACGAAGGAGAGGAAACAAGCATTTGCTAATTCCTTGCAATGTGTTAGGCACTTGAGAAAAGGCTCACAGTTGATCAGAGGAGACAGACAGGTGAAAGGGTTATTACAATGCAGCATGACAAACATCTTAACTAAAGTATAGACAAGATGATAAGGGAACAGTAATTTCTGCTGGGATGGGATGAGCAATGAGTAGTTTCAGGGAAAAGGTCAAGTTGGACCTTAGAAGGGAGATAATTTTCATTTTAAGTAGCTACCTAGCTATATGATAGTGGACCAAACTCCTTGCCTCTCTGAGCCTCAGTGGCCTTACTTCTAAAATGGACATCATAACTCATGCTCTGGCCACCTCCCCAGGCTGTTTTTATAGAGTCCATAGTATAGAAGGTGCTGCTGATGTCTCTTCCTTGGTATTCTCTGTTCCAGTACATGTGACTCTCTGCCTGAGTGTTGGTGGGTCAGGAGTGCTATAGAGTTAATGAGGATCTTCGGCCAATGATGGATGGGAGTGAGTAAATAAATACCCCAGTTCCCTCTCCCTGTAGATGGAATAACTTGGAGGAGCACATCTATACTGGCTCCTAGAGGTTTCCAGGAAGTTGGAGTCCTACTTACCCAAGGTGGTAACTTTCTCAACCATGCATCCTTGACTGACTTCCTTCCCCTCCCAGTCTCACTTGCCCAGTCCCCTACTGGTGCTTCCTGGGACCACTCCTAAATATACTACTTGCCCTGGAATCCTGTTCTCAGATTCTGCTACTAGGGCACCCAACTGGTTTCCTATGGAAATGTGAGACATTGTTCCCAACCTCTCCCTCTGACATGCCCTGCCCCTCTCACCCTTCCCCTCTCTTTCCCTAATTATACTGTGTTTTCATGCAGGCTTGGGTTCATGATTATGACAAAAAAAAAAAAAGCTTTTGGAGCACAAAACCCACAGACAATAGGAACTCAGAGAACACCTAGGCTCAGCAAAATGCAAAGAAAGGGTGGATTTTATTTTACAGTGTGTGTGGGAGCGATTCTCAGTGGCTGCCACCTAACATCAGTCCATCACCTCATTAGTTCTCCAGCCCTGGGGCATTTGGAGTTGGCTGCAGTGGGGGTGGGGTGGGAGGGTGGGGGTATGATGGGAGCCAGATCCATGTGTCCTTTGTCATAGCCCCAGTTACTTCAGGCTGGGATGAAAAGAAGGTCTATGCATCTGGCCCTGCCCTCCCTGCCCCTCCTCCGTCCCAGGCCAGGATTCCCCTCCTGGGTGGGGCCTTTGGAGAAGGGGCCCAATCTGTGGCTCTCACTCTCTGGCATGGGAAAACTGCTGGCTCAGCCACCCACATCAGCTTCTGCCACTTAGCCAGCTCAGCTCTCGCAGCCAACCTCTCCCAGCCTACTCCCAGGGGCCTAGATCTTTGGAATCAATTAGAATCAACAGGCACTAAGCATCTCCATGGACAGTCGTCGGTTGCCTTACCTCACAGAGTGGAAAGGGTATGATCCGCTTTCTTCCGATGAGGAAACTGAAGTTGGAAAATAGGCATATAAAAATCTTGGCTGGCAGAACTAGCCACCCAGAAACAGTGCCCCCTTGCCAGAGAGGGAGCTGGCAGGACCCAGCTCCGCATCACCTTCCAGCACCCACTTGCTGGAACCTCATTTTCGAGGTGGCAGCAGAACGTGTGGTATTCCCACCAGCACCAACATCTGGGGCAGAGGTGGAGGTGGGGCCTTTATTAAAATGCAGTGACTCCATTGGCACCAAAATAAACGTGACATTTATCAGAACCTGCTAAATCTATTCAGCGCTTGCTTCCTTTGGAAGCGCAGGGTTCATGCCGTGGGCCTGGAGAGAAAAGGTCTTTGCTGGTGAGAAAAATGAGCTGGCAAGATGGGAAGTAGAAAGAGAAGAGGGAACATTGGAAAGGGCAGGCTGAGAGAGGGTAAGCCTCAGCCTTGAGTCACTCTCTTCAATGCCAGTGAATCCTCTGAAAAGGGAAGATAATGATGTTAAGGTAAAAGTCAGTCATGTTGGAGAGGATTTCTGTTGCCTGATAAGGAAATCAAACAAAAGTAATCCACTCAAACCTAAACCAGATTAAACTAACCTTTATGGAGCTCCTAGAATGTTGCTGGCATTTTTACAGATTTCTCACAATAACCTAGCAAATTACTTTTTATCCCTATTCTACATATAGGGAAACTGAGGCACAGAGCTGCTAGGTAAGGCACTCGAGATTACTCAGCTAGTGTGTGGCATTCATGAACTGTGCTCTGCCACACCTGGGTGGGGCAACAATGATCTCATAAGTGTGGTTTGGAAGCAAGCACTTGATTGGAAGAAGAGAGACTGGGGTCTGAGTCCAGACTTACTATTTGGGTTTGGAAAGTCTCTGCTCAGTAAAACATGGTCCTTAAGTTCCCTTGGTTCTGATCACCTTATGCATGAGCATTTGTATGCTCTTGGTCATCGACCATGGAAAAATCCCAAGCCACCATTCCCAGATCTCTTGCCTGGGCCCAGGTCTCTGGAGTGTAATGGGAAGCTGATGATCTGTTTCTACCTAACAAATGGAAGCAGCATAGGGAAGCACTCTGGTTGCCTGGGTTCGAGTCCCAGCTCTGCTGCTTACCAGCTGTGTGACCTTGGGCAAGTTACTTAACCTCTCTGAGACCTTACTTACATACTGTTTTTTGTCATTGTGAGCATTATGAATAATAATCACAGCAAATGTTTATTGAGTGATTATTAAGTGTCAGGCACTATGTCAAGGGCTTTACATGCATGATTTCATCTAATCCTCACAATTACCCTATGAAAAAGTTACTTTCATTTTTCTCATTTTAGAGATGAGGAAACTGAAGCTTAGAAACTATGCTCTTAGATGTGATAGATCATGATTCCCAGAAAGCAGTAGAAAGTTATATTTCTTGCTTCCTTCTGGTCTATGTGTTGCTAATTCCTATGGACCCCCCAAACAGCAGACCCAGGAGAGGAGCCAGGAAATGGGAATAGAGAAAATAAAACAACTTCATCTCAGGGAGGAAGTTATTTTATTTTTCTTTTTAAAGACCTGATGCCCTGCCAGACCAGAGCTAGCTAAAGCTGTTATTTCAGAGGGGCTCCTTCTCAGGACACCTCAGACTACTCTGGCACATTTTGGGAACCTTTTTTCCTGGGTCCACTGGGGGCTTCAGGTGGGTGGATGAGCATACAGTTTGCCTAAAGAATAGTTGCTTGGTCCTGTGAGCCTTGCTGTGAAGCTGTCTCTTAACCAGGCATCTGAGAGACAGTTTATAGAGAGGAGTTCATGATTACGATTAGAACCTGAATTACCAACCCTTATGGGCTACTCCATGCCTGGCACCACACTAGAAGTCTTTGCTTAGTGATATCATTATCTTCCCCATTTTTCAGAAGTGGAGACTGAGGCTCGATTACCCCATCTGCAATGGGCTGAGAGCAAGAGTGTAATCAATGACCTTGTCCTCTCTTTCCTCCTTGCCAGCGTCCTTTCTTATCCTAAATGGTTAACAGTGAGTAGATTAAAAACAAGTGTTAAGTGCAATCATCGCAGGACAGTTAATACATAATTGCGTATTTTTGTAAACAAGCTTAGAAGCTTTTTCATTGACCTCTCTGTGGCCCTGTGGTTTTGCAGATAAATTCTCTTCCCTTTTACACTCTGATTTTAGTTGGGAGCAATGGCTATGCCGCTATCATTCTTGCAGCCCCTACTCTCTCAGGGCTGTTCCTGGTGAGTGTGTGTCCTGGCACAAGCTCACCCAGTCATGCGATGTGTGTATGTGCCCGTGGGCCTCTCTGTGGCCATGGCAGAGTTAACACACTGCAAATTCAGACAGATTCTGCTGAGAACTTCTGGGTGAGGGTAGGGATCCCCTTGGGTGTAGGGAATAGCTCATGTTGGAAGAAGTAAAGAATTGGGAGTTTCCCTTCATGGAGGCTGATATGGTTTTGCTTTGTGTCCCCACCCAAATCTCATCTCAAATTGTAATCCCCATGTGTTGAGGGAGGGACTTGGTGGTAGGTGATTGGATCGTGGAGGTGGTTTCCCCCAAGATGTTCTTGTGATAGTGAGTTCTCACGAGATCTGGTTGTTTGATAAGTGTCTGATGGTTCCTCCTTTGTTCTCTCCCCTGTCACCTAGTGAAGAAGATTTCTGCTTCCCCTTCTGCCGTGATTGTAAGTTTCCTGAGGCCTCCTCAGCCATGAGGGACTATGAGTCCATTAAACCTCTTTCCTTTCTAAATTACCCAGTCTGAGGCTTTTTTTTTTTTAATAGCAGTGTGAAAACGTACTAATACAGGGATCATTCATTCATTCTACAAATATTTGTTTATTGAGAACCTTCATGTGCCAGGTTCCCTGGGGAAATAGCCCTGAACAAGGCAGATCTGGTTACAGACTGGCCAGGAATTGTTCTCAAACTATATTTAGTATTTCAGCAAGTCGCCATCAGGCCACCCAAGTTACCTAAAGCACGGAGCTTTGCTTGAAGGGGAAATTATACCAGCGTGGTGGGGTCACCCTACTGGCCAGAAAACTCTGGATGATTATGAATATTCACAAATGGAAATGAATGAATGATTACTTAAAATATTTAGGGTGTTGTTAGATAAACTCTTTTGAAATATGGGTACCTTGGTGGAGGTCTGCAATGGGTTCAGTTTTCACCATAGGGGATCCTGGTGTCCACCTTCCTCCTGTTGTTTTCCCCAGACTATATGCTTCCTGGCAGGCCTGTGGTGGGGGCTAGGCCTCCTCAAATGTTCCTGCTGCTGCTGCTGTTAGCAGTAGGCAGTGAGAGGTAGGGGGCTCTTGGGCCAAAGCTGTCCCTGATTCAGAAGCCTGTTCCACTCTCATTCCATTGCAGGTTCTGACTCCCCTGGCTTCATCCTCCAGTCCCACTGCCCTGTTTTCCTGTCTTCTTCCACGTTGCTGGACCCTGGATCTAGGCCACATTGAAGCCACTGCACCCCCTCCCTCAGTTATATTTGGGTTCTTTGCTATGTTACAAACGAGGTCCTCAGTTGGGAGCTCAGTGAGGTTGGCCTCACCTCTGCAGCCCCCTCCCACCAGTGCTGCAAACTCCTCAGACACTGCGGACAGGGAGAGGAAGCCTAAGGACCAGCATTCTCCCAGCCCTGTCTCTAATCTGCTGCATGCTGAACCAAGTAGAAACCTACCCCAGGAGACGAAGGATGCAGTGTGCTGGGTGCCAGTTGGGCAGGTGAATAATTGCAGGCCTGGTTGGGTGGTGGCTTGGCCCAGGTGTCTTAAGAGATCAGGGCAGGGCTGGGTTCCATGGCTGCCAACTGCATCCTGAAAGACTGAGGATCTTCCTGGACTCAACAAAAGGCCTTATCTCATCCCAGGATATGGGGCAGCAAGGCTGAGGCATGAGCTCTGACTTTGGGATCTACAGGTGAGCATTAAGAGTCCCAGTTCTAGTGCCCATTGGTCCCTGTCCCTGCAAGTCAATTTGCTCTTCTTTGAAGAGAAATGCACCCCCTATTTAAATCACAGAGTCATGGATGAGGAATTTGGGGGTAAACTGTGGAGGGCTGTGTGCACATGAGGGAGTAGTGTGTCATTACGGTCATGTGGTAGAATAGGTGAGCTCTGGAGTCACATTGCCTAGGTTTAAACCCTGGTTCCACTACTACTGTATGACTGTAGATGAGTGACTTAACCTCTCTGTGCCTCAATTTCTCATCTGTGCAATAGGGATAATGATGGTCTCTAATTTATAGGGTAGTTGTGAGGATGAAAAGACTTGAGTTAATTCATGTAAAATGCTGAACACAGTGCCTGGTGCATAGTGTTTAGGAAATAATGAAGATGGTGGTGGTGATGGTGGGCTGGTGGTGATGTTGATGATGAAACAAAGAGAGTATATAGATATAGACCCTGATGTCTTTGTTAGTGGTGAAGGGCACTTAACCATTCCAAATCTCCTCCCTGCATCTTTGGCTTTCACCTGACTCTGGCCAGGTGGGCAGCTCATTGGGAAGTGAATGACAAGCCTTACCCCATAATGGATGGCTTTGGGGAGGCAGCGCCAGGCAGGTCCCAGCCAAAGGAGATGTGAGGAGGACCATGCTCCTTGGGGCCTGTTTTCCCTGGATTCTCTGCTGGGTCAGTGGCTGGTACTGAGCCTGTGACCTGTGCTGAGACCCTCAGAGAGGCCACTCTGCCTTTCAGAACCAGCACAAAGCTCCCTGTGCAGGTACCAAGCTGTGATAATTGGGGCATCATGGAGCCAAATAAGAAGAGCTTAGGCTTAATCGAGAATTCTTCTGCGTACTTGATAATGAAGAGTTGATCTGGGCTGACATCTGGGGAAGGGTTCAGAGTGCTTTTGATTATGAAGTTTTTTTTTTTTCTGAGATGGTGTCTCGCTCTGTTGCCAGGCTGGAGTGCAGTGGTGTGATCTCAGCTCACTGCAACCTCTGCCTCCCAGGTTCAAGCGATTCTCCTTTGTGTTTTAAGTGGCAGAGGAAGAGCCTCTGGACTCCTCAAAGCAAATCCTCTGTGGTGTGCACTCTTTTCCATGAGGCCTCATTTCCTGAGGAAATGCCTCCCAGTTCCATCTCTGGCCAGAGAGTGGCTGCCAGATTCCCGGGCTTGGGTGACAAGAATAAGACAGCGGTCTTGGAGAAAGAAGGGACTGGTTGGGGGTCCTGGAGGGAGGAGGGAAGGACCCATTTTAAGTTCCAGGGACCACTGGACTATTCCATTCCCTTTAGATGGGCTCCCTTTGGCCTGCTCCAGTTTGGGCTGGGTTTCCCCGCATCTCATCATTCCCTGGGTGGTAGGCACCTGCCACTCCCTAAAGACAAAACAATGAACCATCGTGAGAGCCCCAGCTCACTTGCTTTGAGGGCTTTGTAGGGGATGGGGACTGTGTCCCAGGCTCTACCAACATTATCACTTCATTGACATACCGTTCATCTGCCAGCCTTTTGCCAGTTTGGCTTGAGTCATAAGAAGGTATTAATTACCCTGGGGTGTGGAAGCCAGAATTTCTGCCCAAGCAAGAGGGGGTAGTGTTGTCCAGGACTGGAATGCCCATCCTGATAAATCCCTCTGCCCCCATCTTCCCTTCCTCTTGTGCCTGTAACTGTCCATCCAGACCTCTCCTTTTCGTGGAGTCTCGCTTGGCCCCAATGTCTCTGCCCTTCTATGTCTATTCCTGTCTATGGGCTCTCTGCTTCGTCTCTGTCCTGACTTTGGTCATCAGACTTTTCCCCCTGCTGTCAGTTCCTCCCCTCGGGTTCTCTGCAGGGACAGGAGGCACTTGGTCTGCTGAGATCAGCAAACGCCTCATACTCCGTCCACAAAACACCAACTGTGGTTCCTCTCTCCCCCCTCGGAGGCCTCCAATTGCCTCATGTCAGTTCCTGAGTCCTCAGCCCCATCCAGGTTTCCTGAGAAAGTTGGTGTTGTGGTGGTCCTGGCGGGTGGGTTGGGCAGTGGCTGGGCTGGATTCTTATGGGAAAGCGAGTGTGTGTGTTCTCAGCCTGTGGTGACACAGCCCCCACCTCTCATGGGCCCTGCTGCCTACTCAGCCTCCCTGGCCACAGACCACCTGGGTCGCCCCACGTGGAGAGAAGTCAGGACCTGAGAGTGAGGGAAGGGAAGGGCTGTGGTCCATGGAGGGGCACTGGAGTGAAAACCACGCATTTCCTCCTGGAATGTCCTTTCCTGGGCTCCCAGCTTGGCCCAGGACGCAGGGAGGGGTGAGAATCAGTGCCTGGGCTTCCTCCATGGAGCAGAGAGAGCAACACTTGGCACCGATCACTGCCCTGGCTGTGTGTCCCCTGGTCACTTCCCTCGCCTCTTTGAGGCTCCTGCCCTGAGCTGCAACAGTGGTGGGAAAATACTGGAAATGTGATTCTTTTTCTTTCGTGTGCTCTCTGAGCACAAGCTGTGGTGTTAGGTAGGTGTGCAAGAAGGGGCAGCCTCCAATTTCTTATCTTGCTTTGCTCCTTCCTTCCTTCGCATCAAATTATTATCATCAAGAAGCTCCTGGGTCCCAGGCCTTCCTTCTAACACATGCAACACAGGGGAACTGTGCCACACGAGTAAGACAAATCCTGGCCTTCCAGGAGGTCTTGGTTAATATAAACACAACGACAACAACAACAACAACAACCAAAAATGTCAGAAATGTAGAATCTCAGGCCTTGTGGCAGACTTACTAAATGAGAATCTGCATTTAAATAAGATCCCTGGGTAATTCAAATGACAGTAAACTTCAGGTCTTGGTGTCTAGTTCTGGTCCTAGTTTCAACCTGGCTTCACTACTTACCAGCTGGATGATTCGGGGCAAACTTCTCTGGGTCTCGATTTCCTAGTCTGTAAAATGAGGAGGATAATAAAAATGTATGCCCTGCAGTCATTGTGAGAATTACATAAGACACTGTCCTGAAAGCAGAAGCTGGGAACCCCAGGAAACAGCCAGTCAATGTGAATGTGACCAGAGGTTGTAGCTGTGTGTGGTTTCTGCAGCCCTCTGGCCTTATGGATTTCTACTGATCTTTAAGAAGGACTGAGTCTCTCACTCACATATGGCAGTAGTCCCAGAAGGGGTGAGGTTCACAGTTCCTAGAGCCAGTGTTCCTGAGTTCAAATCCAGTGTTTGCTTTTTACTGCTGGGTGACCTTAGGCAGGTCACTCTCCTGAGCCTTTGTTTGCCTACCTGTAAAATGGGGCTGTTGTGAGGTTTGCCTGAGCTAGTATAGGCACTGAGAACTCATAGTTAGTGAGTGCTGGCAACAGGTTTCTTACAATCCTTGCTTCTCTTAGTCACCTCTAGCTCCTGTTTCCTGATTTTTCTGATTTCTCACCTTTATTCCTCTTCCCTTTGTCCTGGCCAATCCCTGATGTCCCCAAAGCAGAGGGTGATCAAATGTCCAGATATGCCAGGGATGGTCATGGCTTATGCATGTTGTCCCATTGTATTATCTCCCCTCTCACTTTCTGAAGTGTTCCAGTTAGGTGACCCTATCAAAGCCCCCCTCATGAAGGGCAGTTGTGTTTGCAACAGTTCTTAAAAAAAGGTTTATTGAAATTAATGAACTTAGAACAAATTGCACATATTTGAAGTGTATACTTTGAAAAATTTTGACAGATATTCGCTTGTGAAACTGTCACCACAATCAAATAATGAATACATCTATCACCTCCCAAGTTTGGGAGGACTTTTAATAGAGACCCAGGTGCAGTGTGGCGGGTCACACAATGGGGCCAGCCCAGCTCAGTTGGTAGCACCATGCTCTCAGGAGGTCTAAGGCCTTCCCAGCCCAGGGAATTCTCAGCTTGGCCATCTCATTCTCCTTCTCCAAACATCTAAAAATACCCATGCAGCTCTTCCTTTCTTTCCCAGACAGTGGTTCTCAAACTTCTGTGTCCATGACAGTCATCAGCACTGTTTGTCAAACATGCAGATTACTGGACCCCACCTTGCAGAATCAGACTCTCTGGGAGTGAATCTGTGACACTTTATTTCTCACGAACATCTCAGGTGACTGATGTGAATATCAAGCACATCCTAGCTATGTCCCCCTTCCTATTTATTTATTTATGTATTTATTTAAGATGGAGTCTTGCTCTGTCGCCCAGGCTAGAGTACACTGGCACAATCTCGGCTCATTGCAATCTCTGCCTCCCAGGTTCAAATGATTCTCCTGCCTCAGCCTCCCAAGTAGCTGAGACTACAGGTGCGTGCCACCATGTCCAGCTAATTTTTGTATTTTTAGTGGAGATGGGGTTTCGTCATATTGACCAGGCTGGTCTCGAACTCTTGACTTCAGGTGATCCACCCACCTCGGCATCCCAAAGTGCTGGGATTACAGGCTTGGGCCATGGCGCCTGGCCCCTTTTATTTAAAATAACCTAAATAGTGATGGATTGATAGTTGCAGCAAACCACCATGGCATGTGTTTACCTATGTAACAAATCTGCACATACTGCACATGTACTCCAGAACTTAAAAAAAAAAACTAAATAATTCATCAGAGTGTTATGCTAAAAAAAGAAAAGGTTTCTCCTTAGTGGAATGTATCAGTTAGCTTGTGCTGCAAAACAAAGCACCTAAATGGGAATGGAATGTCAGAGATGGCCCCTCATTCTCCATGCCCTCTCTCCACGAGGTCTCCCATCGTCCAGGCATCCAGTCCAAGTTCTTTGCAGTACAGCATCTGGCTTACCAGGGAGCAAAAGCCAAAGCTGCTGGGCTTCTGAAAGGCTAACCTGGAGTGGGAACACTGCAACTTTCACCTCATCATGTTGATCAAAACAGTGTCTGAGGAGCAACCCAGAGTCAAGGGGAGGGAAAACAGACATGCTTTCTTGATGGGAGGTGCAGCAGGTGTGTGCAGGGATGGAATTGTTGGCAGACACAGTGCCGCAGAGGAATTCTGCTACCAGCTGTTGAACTACAGTTCTCCTCCTTCACTAGAGTAACTGTTATCAGTATTATTCATAGTAGTGTCTGGGCTATATAGAAGGGACTATAATAGAAGGCAGGCATTGCTACTTCTGTCTGGGGAAGGAGAGGATGGCTCCACTGCGTAGGTTAAATGAGAAGTGACTATGTGTGGAAAGTGAGGGGAACGGAATCCAGGAAGAGGGACTGGCCAGAGCAAAGGCCTGGGGGCCTGAGATTATACGCATGTAAGACAGCAGGGAATAAAAAGGCCACTCAAGGAGGCCTTTCAGGCTTCCTGGTGTCTGCAGGCCTGAGGTTCCAGGGATGACCAGGGTGGAGAGGGTCTGCAGGGGCGTGCCAGCACTGTCCCCCATCACTGTACCTCAGCACAGACAGAGAGAGAGAAGCCTGAGGTTCCCACCAGGAGAGGCCAAAGGGCGGGGGTCTCAGGCATGAGAGGGTGGGACCAACAGGTTTCTGGGGAGCATGTCTAAGCCATCACTCTTGAACTGTTCAGGGCAAGGCAGCTTCGTTTTCAATAGCATTCTCCTCACTTTCATTTGTGAGACCAATTACAGAGCATTTTGCACCACAATTACTGCCGTTAAAACCTCTCAGTTCCATTTGGTGAATTTTAGTAGTAATTGAACAGAAGAAGCCATCACACAGGAGGCTGTCCTATTGAATCTGCCCAAGCACTGAACTGTGAATTCCAGTCCTCCCAAAGCAGTCACATGGGGCCCAGGTGGAAGGTGCCTGCTTCCCTCCCCTGGGGATTTTGCCCTGGCCCATGTGAGAGATCAGCTATACATGGAAGGGTGATGGGAAGTGCCTCCAGCCAGGGACAGCTGTGCAGTACCAGATTTTAGGGCCTAGGATAGGGATGGGCTGGGGTGGCAATTTCAAGCCTTGGGAACCTGAAAGTTTTGATATTTCAGAGTTGGGAGCGTGACTGGATTCATGCCTTCATTTATTATTTATAGAACAAATACTTCTGTAGCACTTACCATGTACTGGCCACTCTTCCAAGTGCATTGCAAATATTAGTTTCTTTAATCCTCACAGCAATGCCACAGTTAGTCATCTTGTGATTGTTCCCATTTGATGGATGAGGAAACTGAGGCTCAGAGAGGTTAATTAAATTGCTCGAGGTCACACAGCCAATAAATAGCAGGGCAATTTTACTCCAGGGTTCCTCTTCTTGTTTTCTTTTCCTCTTGTGGTTTCCTTCCTTGATGTTTAGGGAAGGCTTATAAGAATTCCTAAGTATGTCAGAGGAGCTGAATGAAGGGAACTGGCAATCCCTAGGCTGTGGTGACAAAGGAGACGGGTAACAGAGCTTGGAAACCTGCTTGATGGTGGGAGCAGGAATCCAAGTGAAATCCTTAAGGAGGAGGAGAGACTTAGGGGACAGAGTTAGGGTTGGGTGGTCTAGGAGCCACTCCTCACCCAGAGGCTCTGCGCCCAGACCCCAACCACAAAGTTCGGGTTTTGTTTTAGCAGAAAAGGCCATATTCCCTGATCTGTGTGATAACTGTTTGTTCCAAACCTCCAGCAGACATGCTGGACCCCTGAGTGAGGACAAAGGATGGTAAGCCATCTCTGTCTCCATTGCTTCTGATTTCTTTGTAGATTTAAAACCAGATGAATCAGGACACCAGCTCTGTGCCTTGAACATTTACAGATGAGAAAACTGAGGCTCAGCAAGGAAATGCCATTTACCCAAAGTCAGGTGGCCAATGTATGGGAGGGTCAAGCTTCAAACTCAGTTCTGTCTGATTCTCAAATCCTTGCTCTATTCATTGCACCCAACTTCCTGCTTCATCAGGACAGAAACAAGCCACTCACACAACCGCTGGGGACGGACCCAAAGACATCATCTGTGAGGGCCTCACTAACCTGCTGTGGGAACTGTCTGTCTGCTGCCCCTACTCTGCTGAATTATCTTTAAATCCACCCCAGGGCTTGGTAGGTCAGTTAAAAACAGACAGGGCCATGCTGGAATCTTAAAACCATGGCTGGAAAAAAGTCCTTTCCTTGAGCTTGGGAGTTTCTGCTTAAATCCTTCCTGGGTGACTCAGCCCCTTCTTGAGTAGCCTAGGCTGGCTTCACCTCCCATACCCCACTCTGGGGAGCACTGTTGAGGTCAGATTTGGCTAAAAGGGAACAGGGGGCTCTTTTCAGGAAGCGGCAGGAAAGCATTTGGGTTTGGTCTTTCCTACTACCTAAAGATGGTAATCCCACCTGTTTCCTGTAACTAGCAGGCCAGCCTCAAGTCGGGAGCTCTGCTTGGAGTTTACCTCTGTGATAGTTGGCAGGGACTGGGCCAGGGTCAATGGCTTAGGGCAAGGCTGCCTCTCAGGGCAGGTAAAGTGCCAAACCTCTGTCATTAAATGCAGGGTCTCTCCAATTTCCTTCTCCATCCTACAAAGGCACATTACAAAGGTAAAGTGCCAAACCTCTAGACTCTGAAGTCTAGCTTGGGAGGGTTAAGGGACAAAAAAGTTCCCCTTTATCTTCAGATCAGTGGTTCTCAAACTTTAATGGCATCAGAGTCACCTGGAAAGCTTATTAAAACAGAGACTGTGGCTGGGCGCAGTGGCTCACGCCTGTAATCCCAACATTTCGGGAGGCTGAGGCAGGCGGATCACCTGAGGTCAGGAGTTTGAGACCAGCCTGGCCAACATGGTGAAACCCTGTTTCTACTAAAAATACAAAAATTGGTGGGGTGTGGTGGTGGGTGCCTGTAATCCCAGCTACTCAGGAGGCTGTGGCAGGAGAATCGCTTTAACCCAGGTGGCGAGGGTTGCAGTGAGCCAAGATCGTGCCACTGCACTCACTCCAGCCTGGGCGACAGAGTGAGACTCTGTCTCAAACAAAACAACAAAACAAAACAAAACAAAACAAAACAAAAACAAACAGAAAACCAGAGATTGCAAGGCCCCAGCTTCGGAGATTCTCATTCAGTAAATCTGGATGGGGCCTGAGAACTTGCATTCTAATAGGCTCCTAGGTGATGCTGATGCGGCTGGCCTGGGGACCAGACTTTGAGGATGATCACTTTGGACATTTTTCTGTTGACTCCTCCCTTGTGGGGTGTGCCCCAGCAGGCACTAGGCTGTATTCCTACTCCACCACATGCTCCAGCTTGCTGCCGGTGGCGTGTAGGGTGACAGCCAGGGCCAGGGAGGATCAGGTAGGAGCATCAAGCTGACGAGGAATTTGTAGAAAGAAACCGGGGACAAGCTACAGATGATTATGGGAGGCAGCCATGATGCTCACCACCAAGCAGTGAGCAAATCGGAGACAAAGACCCCACTGAGGGCTCTAGAAAACTCTTTGGATGCAAAGCTGGAAGGCTGTGGGGAGCAGTGGAATGAGTACATACTTTGAAGTTTCTGCCACTTTCTAGCTGTGTGCATGTGTGATTTTGAGTAAATTACTTCTCTCTCTGCCTCAGTTTCTTCATCATTCAAGTGGGGTGAATACTACTTTCTATGACTGTTGTCAGGAAGTAATTGAGATTACAAATGAGAGTGCTCTTGGTACAATGCCTGTCATTAAATGCAGGGTCTCTCCAATTTCCTTCTCCATCCTACAAAGGTCATTATACTGGCTTAGCATGACTCCCGTCTCTCTATCTGCTTCCACTTGTCCTCTCCAGCCACTGGACCATCAGCCTACATTATCATAAAAAAGAGCGAGATTTTAATTTGTAGAATGTTTCTTTCTTTCTTTTTCCTTTTTTTTTTTTTTTAAAGAAAAGCCTAATTAGGAAGGCCGTTAAATGCCTGCAATTCCAATATAATTCTATTAAATTCTCCCTGTAAAGTTAATGTTACAGACTTTTTAACAGATGTTTTAATTAGGCATTGTTATTAAAGAGAATACTGTAGAAATTAAAACCAGACCCTAAATGGGGGAAGAAAGGCAGTTTTCTTGTGCTGGGTAAATGGTGGCAGCCGCCCAGCAAAGAGCTGTTGGCAGCGGGTCATGAAAAACATGCACAAAAGGAGAGGGAACGCTTGGCGCAATCCGCATTGCTCAGCAAGAGGGAAAAATGCCTGTGCCTGGTCCGCTCGGCCAGCACAACCTCGAGCCCAGCCAGCTTGGGAAACAGGGAGAGAAGCTAGGAAGGGTAGAGACCCCCTGGCTCAGCTTGACAGGTTTTGGGGTCTGTTCCTATTGTGGTCATTCCATTTAGGTCCATGTCCTCTGACCCTCCTGGCAGCCCACGAGGCAGAGATTACTCTTACCCATTTTACGGATGAGAAAACTGAGGCTCAGAGATATCTGATCATCTTCCCAGGTAGACACAGGAATAGACAGAGCTAGAGCTCCAATTCAGATGTCTGGTCCAGAGTCTGCCCTTTTTGTGGCACCATAGTGGGTAGTCCAGCCAGCCCCCACTGTGGGCTAAAAGACCTGATTGTTTTTTGAGAATCAGCTGACAGCCACCATCTAGAATTCTTGAAACCAATGGTGGTTTCTGCATTCGTTGCCACTGGCTGTGCCCTTCTACCTGGAAAGCAACCTCACCTTTGATGCCAGCCAAGTGAGGGGTCGCCCAATGTGTGGCTGGCTCAGGTAAGCCATCCTGCCACTGGGGATGGGAGTCATTGATTGTCATGGAGACTCCAAGCGAGACATCCAACTCCTTCTGAGATGGGCCACCCAACTCCAGATGGCTCCTGTAAGGAGACAGGAGGAAGAGGTGAGGTTGGAGAGACCTGGGTTCGAATCCTGTCTTCTTTGATAGCAACAATGAAGCCACTGGCTGATGTCGTGGGCCTCCACTCCTGAGTCTGCATTTTGCTGTCTCCTTCTCTCGGGCATTGAGCCAAGGGCCTGGGTGAGGGTGAGCGCTCCCAGGAGGCACCGAGGCTACTGAGACACCCTCTGGTGCCTCTGGTGACATGCTCAGATTTGCCTTTTCCAGGGGCTAATTTTCCTGTCCATTCTCCAAGGCTGTCAGCCTGGGATTATTCAAATGATGTTTATTTCTGTCCTGTGACCCAGATAGATCTGCCACGAGTACTTTTGTGAGAGCTTGGAAGGAAGAAATGACTGAAAGCGGGACCACTGTGTGGGTCTTATCCCTGGGACCCCTCCCAGGAAGCTCTGCAGACTCCTGCTTGTGTCCACTGGAGCTGCCACCCATTTCCCTCCCCTCTTGCTGCCTCTGTTGTCACCATGCAAGCCATCCTTCTGGGCCATGGGGAGGCCAGGGGTGCCTCTTGCTCAGGATGGTCTTTCTTGGGGCTGTTACTATGAGATCCCCGAGGTCCAGGCAATGTACTGCCTGACACTCAGTAGGTGCCCCATAGTTGCTAGATGTTGAGGGATTACTTCATCCCCCAGTCTGGGCCTCCTGAGCCTTTTGTTTCAAGGACATGGAATGGGTTTTCTCAGCCACCCCTCTTTATAGGCAGGAAGGTGCTATGAAAAGCCTGCTCCTGAATTCCAGTCTCGCCTCTCACTAGCTGAGTGAGCTTGAGCAAGTGGCTCAGCCTCTCAGAACCTGAATTTTCTCATCACTAAAGTGGGGAAGGTAATAGTGTCCAGGCCCTGGCATACTGATGAAGATGAAATGGGGCAATGTTCTTGAAAGCATCCAGTGCATAGAGGCTGGCTATAATAGGGGGTGTGCAGTGCAGTTATTGTATGTGTGTACATGTGTGTGCATACACACGTGCACACAAAATACGTATGAAATGCACATCATGGCCCCCAAAATTGGTCACATAAGTTACCTCTAGAGAATGGGTCTGAGGGTTGCTTCTTTTCTCTCCAGTTTAAATGTTTTTTAAACCGTAGCCCTGTATTATTTTTTAATTAAAAGAAAAAAGCAGCAAAATAACCAATGCAGAAACTGCTGGTGGTTTTGAGAACTCTGGTGAATGGGAATCAGCTAATTCTCAGACAACAGTCAGGTCATTTAGCCCATGGGGTGGGCTGGCTGGGCCATCTCTCTGGTTGGGGCAATTGACCCAGCTTTGGGCCCTGAGCAACTGAGTTTGAACCCTGGCTTTGTGATTTATTGGCCACTTGACTTCAGGTGAGGTTTCTCAGCCTCAATTTCCTTGTATATAAAATGGGAAGAACAGAAACTACCGGTAGGGCTGTTTTTGGGGAACTGAGAATGGGTGTGAGGCATCAGGGCAAGGATACATATGCCAGATAGGTAGCAATTCTGATGACCCTTGGGCTTTCCCATTGCTGCCCCTCCCCCAGGAGGCTGGAATTCCATGCCTCACCCCGAGGTCAGGTGAGGGCATGGAAGAATAACTCTGGGCCACTAAATCTGATGGGTGTTGTTCAGTCTTCCTTTTACTTGACATCAGCAGCATCCGCATTGCCAGCCCCTCGGCTCCTGAGACCCCCTCTTCTTCCCTTAACATTTCCCAAGTCTTCATGTGAGAAGGGAAGGAAGTGGGGGCTAGGCTGGCCTATGTGAGTCCCGCGTAGCTGGGTTGAAAAAGTGTGGGAACTTTCCTCACCATGAGAACCTGCAAGTGTAAGTCATCTGGAACAATCTGCACTTCCATCAGAAAGGATCTGGTTGAATAAGTCACACAGCCATCTCCAGAACCCCACAAACATGTTACAAGTTGGACCATGTCTTTGAGACAGGTGACATATTCCACATCAGATTAAGTGGAAAATAAATAATTAGAAAATAACATTTATCGTATAATCTCATTTTTAAAAAAATATAAGATAAAGCAATCCTTGGAGTAGCAGAGATTAAGAACTTTTCTTCTTATTTAATCTGAATTGTAAACTTGCATTAACGATATCAAGAACTACAATGACAATAATAATAAAGTTTTAAAAAAATATGAAAAGCAGCTTTATTCATAATTAGCAAAACTTGGAAGCAACCTTCAGTAGGTGAATGGATAAATAGACTATGGTACAACCAGACAATGGAATATTATACAGTCATAAAAAGAAATGAGCTATGGAGCCATTGAGACATGGAGGAATCTTAAATGCATATTACTAAGTGAAATAAGTCAACTGGAAAAGGCAACAAACAATGTGATTCCAACTCTGTGACATTCTGGAAAGGGGAAAACAATGGAGACAGTAAAAAGATGAGTGGTTGCCAGGGGTTAGGGGAGGAAGAGATGAACAGGCAGAGCACAGAGGAGCTTTAGGGCAGTGAAAGTACTCTCTCTGATACTATGATTGTGGATACACATCACTTTTCCAAATTCACAGTATATGCAACACCAAAAGAGAACCCTCATGTAAACTACAGACTCGGTGGCAATGACGTGTCAATATAGGTTCATCAATTGTAGCAAATGTATCACTGTGCTGTAGGATGTCAGTAGTAGACGTTGGGCTTATTAAGGGGGTGGGAGATACATGGAAACTCTCTGTACTTCCTGCTCACGTTATTAAAATATGAAAGGACCTTGCTCAGTCAAGTGCTGAGAGGGGTGAGTCAAGGTGCCTGGGAGACTGGCCCAGTTGGGGGACTCCAGAGAGCATCAGGAGCCAAGAGCTGAACCTGAATGGTGAGCCTTAGGGGCACATGGCCAAGCCTTCTTCCCCTCCCTGCCAGTCCGTTGCTTGTAGCCCTCTGTGTAGGGCAGATGCCATTTAAGACTGAACTTGAATCCCAGCTCCATAATCTCTGCTGTGTGACTCTGAACAAGTGACCTCATCTCCCTAAGCCTTAAAGTCTCAACCTGTCAGTTGGGCATAGTGATGTTCCACAGAGTTGATGTGAGTTACCTGAGGTCTCATATGTGAAATGCCCTGGATAGTTCTTGGTTCAGAGCAAGAGCTGAGGTCTGGGCGGGGCTGTGTGAACCACCACTGTGGGGAAGGTGGGTAGCCCCTTCCTGGCCTGCCAGCCTTGGAGCCCCTGAAAGGTTCCCCAAATGCTCTTCCAGGTCCAACCCGAGTCCCTTCTGTTTGATGGGTATGTGTTACACTCAGCTCTGCCTGTCATCTGACAGAAGCTTCAAAGAAGTCTCTTTCAAGTTCTACAGTACCTTGAGAGAGGTACCAAAATACTTTATGTGGCATGGAGGTCCACTGCTTCACAGTGGGGCACAATGAGACATTTCTGTTCAGCAAGCTGCCCTGTGCTGAGAATTAGGTGGGGTTTTCTCTTTTTGATTCATCCTCTTCTCCCAGCTGAGGCTTGTTTTCCTTGAGACCCGAGACCCATTTTTCTGCCCTCAGTGATGCCCTGATCCAAAGGAACACAGCTTTACTCGCCTTTCAGGCTATGCATGAGTCCAGGGTCATAATGGCCTTAGCTGGGCCCCAGAAAGCTGCAGAGAATGCTGCCCATGCCTTGCATTTGAACTAACAGAGGGGCCAAAGCACAAATCCCTGGCTTGTGTCAGGTCCAAGAGAGGTGAGCTGGCCTCGTGCACATTAGGTCACATGGGGAGCTGGTGAAAGATGCAGATCCCTGGGCCTTACCCTCCAGGGGTTCCAGTTCTGGACGTCTGGGATTCTGCTTCTTAAACCAGCTCCTCATGTGATTCTAATGCAAATATCTCCATGCCATTCTTCGAGTGACACTAATATAGTGGGTACTGCAAGGACTTAGACCTAGGCAGACCTGGACCTAAATTTTATCAGTCATATTTATTCACCTTTCTGAGCTCCACTTTTTGCATCTGTAAAATGCCCTTGTTTGAAAATAACACGATGGAGTATTTTTTAAGTTCCAGGCATAATGGTAAACCCTTTGCCTCCTCTCTTTTGATCTCTATGGTAGTCCTCAAGTAGGAACTATTATTTTTGAACTCTGGAAGCCTCACTCAAGGCCACCCACCTCCCCTTGTTTTTAACTGTGATGCTGAGTCTCAGTGGAGTTAAATATCTGTAGAGTACATATCACAGTGCTGGGCTTATTGCAGGTGCTTGATAAGTATTCACTGCCTCACCCCCAGCCAATTGCCCCAGCATTGGATGGGTTAGGAGCTGTCAGGGATCTGACATAGGAATGGGGCTTGCAGGGCCTGGAGGGGCTCAGAGTCCAGGGGCCAACATCAATCCATCAGTGAGAATTCACCAAGGCTATTAAGCCCTGGTGGAGGTGACCCCAGCAAAGGAAACAAGACATGCATCCTGTGATTGCTTTGTTGGGATAATTTTCCCAGCGAATAAAGAGAGAGAGGAGGAGCCTTCCAGATGGGAAGCCCTACAAGGGAAGGCTCAGCAGGGAACTGAGGAAAACTCCACTAGATTGGGGAAATCTCAGAGTCTGTGATTCTTTTGGATTTTTCAGAAGTCATCCTCTCTCCTTTCTCATCGCTGCTTAGCCCAGTTAAGCCTCTTCTAGGGAAATACTGCATTCGTGTTATTGATAAATGAAGATGGGCTTATTGACACAATATAAAGCCAACTCACTTTATCAACAGTAAAGCAAATCATACTGAAAAGAGCAAAGAGAGAAAAATGAAAATTAATAAATGAAGTTTATTGTTTTACGACAAGTTAGGTGTACACTTTCTCACCCAAACCTTTCCCTGCTGAGTTTTAAATACTCTACCTAAATCCCCTGGGTCATCCTATGTTAAATATCCTGTGTGTTTCTGTTAAGAACTTCAAGGTCAAAAGGCAAGTGTCAGCTTTTCTTTGAGCTGGTAATATAGTCTTTCATTCATCCAACAAATATTTATTGAATGTTTACTGTGAGTGAGGCAATGTTTTGGGCACTGAGGATACATCAGCCAATAAAATAGGCAAAAGTCACTGCTTTCATTGCGCTTATATTCTAATGGAGGAAGACAGAAAAAAACAACAAAACAACAATAACAAAAAAACTCAACCAGAACAAACATTAGGAGAAACCAGGTGAAACATATACGGGAGTCTCTGTACTATCTTTGTTGCTTTTCTGTAAATCTAAAACTCAAAAACACAAAATTATGTGTGTGTGTGTGTGTATTTGATGATAAATGCAATGAATAAAATAAATTGGGAAAGGAAATTTGGGAATGCTCTGGGGCAAGAGGAGGAGCTGTAGTTTTTAAAAGGCTGGTCTTTTTGAAAAAGTGACATTTGAGCAAAGATTCGAAGGAGGAAAAAGAAGAAGCCATGGGGATATCTGGGGAAAGGATGGTAGCGGAAGTGATAAGTGTAAAGTCTCACTGGTCCTAAGCCTCAAAGAGGGCCTCCAATGACTCCAGTATTCATGTTCTTGTGTAGTCCCCTCCTGACTGAATAGGGCTAACGTGTACCCAATAGGATATTGTGGAAATATGGGTTCCATGGCTGGGTCATAAAAGAGATGACAGCTTCAGCCTTTCTCTCTCTTGGATCACCCATCCTGTGGAAAGCCAGCTGCTGCCTTGTGAGGGCACTCAAGCAGTCAGTCCTATGGAGAAGTCCACATGGGAAGGAACTGAAGCCTCCTGACAACAGCCAGCAATAACTTCTGAGGCTTGTGAGTGGGCCACCTTGGAAGCAGAGCCCCCAGCCTTCTAATGGGTATAACTGCATTGACATTTTGGGCATAATCTTAGGAGAAACCTGGGACCAGAATAACCTAGCTATGCCACTCCCAGGTTCCTGACCCACAGGAACTCTGAGACTGTTTTTTAAAAAAGAGTTTCTTGTTTTAAGCAGCTACTATTTCGAGTTGTATGTTACATAGCAATAAATAACCAATACAGGTGTTGAGGTGAGAACATGCCTGGTTGCTTGAGAAACAGCAAGGAGGCACTGTAGTTGGAGTGGAGGTGTAAGGGTGAGAACAGGAAGATCTGAGGGCAGAGAGTGTGAGTCAGTTTCCTCCTGAAGAAAAGGCTTCCTCTCTCTGGGTATTATTATTATTATTTTTTCAGCAATTGGCTCTCCTGAGTGTTTCTCAGGCCCAGGCCTTGGGAACCAGTTTGTGATGCTCATTTTCTTCACTGCTGTCATCTTCTGAGGTGGGTTTACATCTCTTCTTCCCAGGAAGTCTGTGGTGGTGTTATCCTTCCTGAAGTGGTTTCAGTGATACCTCATGCTGAAACTTGGCCAATGTCTCTTTGGGCATTTTTTTTAAAGATCAGATCTGTTTTGGTAGAGAACCAACATAGATTTGAACAAAAAAGAGAGAAAAAGAATTTGATTAATTGAAAACAAATTTCTGTTCAGAGATGAATTCACAGAAGAGGTAAGGTTTGAGGGAGGCTGAGAAGTGGTTATGGGTAGTTGAGCAAAGGTGGTGGGTAAGGAAACAAATAGCAGAGACAGGGGGTAGGAGAAGGATCTCTACTTTCTGGGAATTCAACATCATTTGTGTGGAGATTGGGAAGAGGATATGGGGGACAGGCAAATGGAGGAAGGGGAGAGGATGCAGGGGCTGGTAAGGGAGTTGTGGGTGCAGGACTCAGCCTAAATTGTACCATGTAGGCCAGAGGCTCTCCTGTTGGGGAACTTCCAATCCTTCAGGGTTGGGCTGTCAAATGCTGGCACACCTGAGTTCTACTTAGGATTATTTTGATTGTAAGGGTCAGAAAATCCATTTCAAGTTGGAGCTAGGAAAAAAGAGAATGTATTGATTTCTGGAAGTGAAAAGACCATGGTTTGATGTAATTGGGGATTGATTTCTCTCTCTCTCTCTTTAGGTCTTGTCTCCTGCCATTTTGGCACCATTCTCCCTTAGGCTCTCCCCTTGTGTTTGCAACATGGTTGTTATTATTTTTTCTAGGGTTGAATATAGCAGAAAAGAGTAATTGTGTTTCCCCCAGCATACCTGGACAAAGTCTTGCTATTTACCATAATTGATGATTCAACTGGCTGTAGGGTATGTGCCCACTCCTAGGCCAGCCACTGCTATCGTGAGTAGAACTTTGATTGGCCAGGCTTAGACAATGTGCCAGACCTATTGGAACCTAGAGACTAAGAATAGGGGTAGCGTGACTGCCCAGATGGAAATCAGGCTGATGCTACCAGTGGGTGGGTGGGTTGTGTGACAAGATGCAAAGAGGCATGCTTAGTAGAACAGTCAAGGGTGGCATTTTATGGGCATATAGGGAGCAAGACCAGGGCACTAAGTCTACTCAAATTGATATGTGGTACCCATAGGTCTCTGTTAAATAGTCAGCACAGGTATGTGCCTTTATAGATTCTGTGAGGTACTGTTATACTATAGTCATGATTGCACCATCATTATTATTGATTTGTTTTATGCTATTTTGAATCTTTTAACTCCTTTGAGTTAGGGTAATGCTAGCTGCTGTCACAGATAAAGTGTAAAATATTATTGGCCTCAAAAAATTTTCCTTCAAGTGCAGAAAGTGAGTACTCAATTGACAGTGCTGGCTCTCTGTTCCACAGGGCCATTCATGGATTGAGGCACCTTTCGTTTTATGGCTCCACCAAGTTCTTGCAACTTAGAATCCTTTCTTCCAGCTAGCAGACAAGGAAAGAGAAGGTGGGGCAAAGGCACCTCTGCTTGGAAGGGAGAGGCATATACCTTTCACTCATGTTTCAGTGATAAGAAGTAGTCATGTGGTTCCGTCTAGTGCAAGAGAGGCTAGAAAGTGTCATTCCGATTGGGCAACCATGATCTGACAACCTCGTACCATGGAACAGGAGCATGCATTTTTGGTGGGCAGCTAGCCAACTTTGCCACAGCCTCCAAGTATATGGTCCCAAACTGTAGTTTTTAAAGTTACAGAAAAGAAGATATGGAGAATTACTGCCTAAGGTGACATCAGGACCACTGAATGATTTTTAGGCAGAGGAGGGACACATCAGATCAGTCTGTGCTTTGGAAACATTAAGGAGATGGTGGTAATGGAATAAAAAAAAAGGGAGTCAGGTCCCTGTTGTCCCCACTTCTGGCCCATTTTTGAGTAGGGCAATACTCAAGGGTGCCTTGCATTTATATTCCTACCATGTTCTGGGGACTCACCATGTGCCTTTTTGAAACACTGTCTGTTGACTTCTTAGCATAGCTGAGAGGCAGATACTATTATCTGCAATTTACAAATAAAAAAAATGAAAGTTCAGGGAAGGGAAGTGACTTGTCCAAGGTGTGCTGGGCCTCGAGCGGGTTGTCACTGAAGCTGCTGATCTGTATTGGGAAATGTATTTGGGGACTTGGTGGTGCCAAGCATGCAATTGCCCTGTGGCATGGTGTCTTAGGGAGCAAAGGGGTCCGAATACCCAGTGGTGATAGGGCCTGGCTGGCAGGTGGATTTCTTAACCCTTTGCACCTGCACCTCCACTGGGGGCAAAGTTTTAAGCACTGTGCATCTTATTTAGTCACCTCCTAGTCCCTAACAAAGATGCTCTGTGAGTCCCCTCATCAGCTCTCAGGAATCTGCTCCATGGCTCCTGGCCCTGCTGGGGAGGGGGACCATAGATCTGCTCCCCAGTCTAGAGAAGCCAGTTCTGCTGACTGGGCAGATGGGGCCCACGCACTGGGACCTGGGGAGATTGAGAGGAGAAAGTGGCTGAGCACAGCTCTGCGAGGCCTGGTGATTTATGAGGAGCAGCTTCCGTGGGCCATCTGGACCAGGAACTTCAGGAAGCACATCCTGTGTGGAGGCGCAGGCAGCGTGGGAGCCCTGCCAGGGAGGAGGAGGGCTGCAAGGGAGTGGGAGGAGGGAGGGGATGGGAGGCAGGAGTGGGGCAGAGGCAACGTGGAAAGAGCCCAGGCAGTGAAATCAGACAGATCCAGATGCTTCCACTTGCAGAAACTTTGGGCAGGACCTTAATCCCTCAGGGCCTCAGTGTGATTAACTTTGAAATGGAATGACAACATACCCTCTGCACTGTGGAGAAGTTTAAATGGAGCATTGCTTTTATAAGTACCCAGCCCAATGCCTTGAAGGAAGGAAGTTGATGTTATTGAGCATCTTCCATGTGCCAAGCATTCAGTTAGGTGCTGGGAATACAAAGATTCTCAGAGTTTGTGGTCTAGTGGGGGAGGCAGGCTATTTGGAACATGTGAGATATTTACAGTGAACTCTGGGAACACAGAGGTGAGAACCACAAACTCTGCATGGAGGTGATGTTTGAACTGGGTCTTAAAGCAGAAATAGGAGCTAAGTGGCCAGGGAAGATGTGGCAAAGGGAACAGCCTGAGCAAAGGCATGCTACACCACTGTCAAATGTTGGTTCATTCATTTATAACTCCAGCCCTGATTGCTCCACTGAGCTCTGGACGCATATATCGAACTGCCTACTTGACATCTCCATTTAGATTCAATGGACACTTCAAACTTAGCATGGCCAAAACAGAGATATTGGTCCTCCTGGTCCCCGCCTCCCGCCACCCACACTCATCAATTTTCTTCCTCCCAGGTCTTCCTCTCTTGGTAAATGACCCCCCATCCTCCCAGTCGCAGAAGCCAAAAATCTAGAAGACATTCATCCATCTCCATTTCTCTCCTCACTGTATCCAGTGGTGCCAAATTGCACCACTTCCTGTGTGTGCTTCCTTCTGAAATTGCATAATGTTGTGGTCACATCCCCAAACTCAGCCTATCAGCAAATCCTGTCAGCTCTTATCTCCCACATACATCTAGAATCCATTCGCTTCTCTTCATCTCCACCACTACCTCCACAGTCGAACCCACTGTGGGATCCAACCCAGACAACTGCAATGGGCTTCAAGCTCATTTTCTCATTTCCATGAGTCTTTCACAATCCAGTCTCCTCACCACTGCCAGAGTGGTCTTTACAAAAAGGCTATCAAATCACTCCTTTGTTGAAAGCTTTTATCACACAGTTATTTTCAAGTAATTCCATATAACCAGTCACCCCAAAACTCAGTGATGTATAGCAGCAAGCATTTATTTCCTGTTCATGTGTCTGAGGGTTGGCTGAGGTTCAGCTGATCTAGGTAGGGTTTGGCTCTGGCCTGCAGGTTGGGTCCAGCTTAACGCTATATGTTTCCCATCCTTGTTGGATCAATGGCTACCTAAGGCATTCTCTACTCCTGGTGAAAAAAGAGGAACATTAGAAGGAAAGCCCATTTGTGCAAGAACATTCCGAGCCTCAGCTCCCAACACATCCACCACCATCCCTTTCCTCAAAGCAAGTCATGCGGCCAAGATCAAAGTCATAGAGAAAGGAAGTACACTTCATCACCATGAGGCCATAGCAAATGTGTGGAGAGATAATTTATAATAGTGGGATAAAGAATTGGGACCAGGCTGGGCATGGTGGCTCATCTCTGTAATCCCAGCACTTTGGGAGGCCAAGGAGGGAGAATAACTTGCAGCCAGGAGTTTGAGACCAGCCTGGGCAACATAGCAAGATTTTTGTTTCTAAAAAACAAACAAACAAACAAACAAAAACCAACAACAAAAAAACCAATTAGCCAGGTGTGGTGGTGCACATCTGTAGTCCTAGCTACAAGGGGAGGAAGGTTAAGGTGGGAGGATCACTTGTACCTAGGAGTTTGAGGTCACAGTGAGTGAGCTATGATCACATCACTGCACTCCAGTGATACCCCATTTCTAAAAAAAAGAATTGCAACCAATAATTCAGTCTTCAACAGACGCCTTTGTGGCTTTCTATTAAACTTAGAATAAGGTCTAAACTCTTCCCCCCAGAATCTGGCTCCTGATATATCAACAACCTCAACTCCTCCCACTTTTGCCCCTCACACATGTCTCTTGAGCCACACTATCTTCTTGGCTGTCCCTCAGACTTTCCAAATGCTTTTTCACTTCAGGACCCTTGCACTTGCCATTCTCTGTCTGCTCCCAGATCTTCACAGGATGAGCTCCTTCTTGCCCCCAGATCTCAACAAAATGTCACCTACACCCATGAAGCTTGTTGGAGATACAGATGCCTGGGCTCCACCCCTAGAGATTCTGAAATGGCAGGTCTAGGTGTGGGTTTCAGGAGCCTGTTTCTAACAAGATACACACAGTCAATACCAATGCTGATGTTCTGTGGACACATTCTGAAAAACACTGCTATATAATAGAACCATGTCCCAGGAATACTGGGGAAGAAGTGGAGGGTCATAATCTATTGGGGGGTCAGGGAAGGTTCCAGAAGAGGCAGTGGCTGAGTCAAGGCCTGAAGGATGTGGCGAAGGTCATAAGGCAGACAGGACTGTATGTCTTGGTGTTGCCTCATGACTCTGAGCGCCTCTTCAGTGGGTCAAACTAGTCTCCCTGGATCTCAGGCCCCAGTCAGCCCAGACCCTTCTGGCCCTCCCTCCACTGACATTATATATGACTACCATGCAAGCTTATTCAGATAACCAATTCCACAGGAAGTCTTAGAAAGCTTTTTCTCTCTAAATAATCTTTTTTAGTGTCTGTCACCCAGAGTTGTAGAGATTTTATATCACCTATGAAATCCCATTAAGATTTTATTTCCTTATTTTCCTTTTATGATGACTGGGATTTCCTTCCTGAGAGAAGGCCTCAGGAAGTGGGCATGCCTTGGTGGGAGCCAGGCCTGGGGACAGGTGGGTCACTGGGGCAGCCTCAGCCTCTGAGGCAGCATAGGCATTCAGAGATGGAAGCAATATTCAAAGTCCTGTGGTTCATTTTCTACCCAAGATACCCAGTCTAGAGCATCCTATAACTCAGGAAAGACAGCCATGGGGCTGTGGAGTCAGGAGGCCCAGCCTAAGAGTCAGAGGATCTGGTTAAGACCTTGCACTTCTTGGAGGGATGGCAGGAGTTAGAAGCTGCAGTAAGCCAGGATCTTGCCAATGCACTTCAGCCTGGGTGACAGAGGGAGACCCTGTCTCTAGTTAAAAAATAAAGTTCTCCAGGTGATTCTAATTTTGCACCAAGATAAGACTCTCCTTTTAGGTACATTCAGCGAGTCATGGACCCACCTCGAAGCTTACATTTTCCCACCTGTCTACAAGGATATCTTGAAAGCATTTCTGCTGAATGGATGCATGCTTCATTCTGGATCCAAAATGTGGAACCCCAGGTTGGGGTTAAACTCAGGGTCACATTAACAAAAATCATCCAAGTTTTACTTGTTCTAGCCCCATTTATGGACCTATGAAAAGTTCTCCCAATTTTGTTGTGGAGCCCCTTATATGGTTAGGAATAAATCTCATTCCCCACACAGCAGCACTTGCTAAATTCTTTCTCTCCTGCTCCTCTTTTCTTGCTGACCCCTGCGGCCCAAAGATCACGGCAGGGAACCTCACTACTTCCACCTCTGCTGGTGCTCCCTGCAAGAAAGCAAATGCCCACTGTGTGGTGTGCAATATCCCAGACTTTGGTACCATTCTTGGCATCCCCATTGATTAAAGCTGCTTTGGGTCTGGTGCAGAAGTGAGAAGTCCAGGCTTCCTCTCTTGGGGTCACACTTTGTCACAAGGGCTGCTGATGCACTGGGTCTCAGCAAGTCTGTTGAGAGCTCAGCCTCACTAGTCTCTTCCTGAGGCCTCTCCCTAGAGGACCTGGGCATGAGTTCCTGGCCCAGGCCCAGGATATGAATAGTCCATCGTGGCTTCTCGAGTGTATGTTTTTGCTCTTTTCACTCCAAATAAAAAGAAACTTAACTGATTCCAACCCAAACTGACTTGTGCAAAATCGCCTCCTGGCTAATCTACCCCAAAAATTTCCCTCTGAGCACAGTCCACTCAGCAATCTGTCTTAGAAGCCCAGGCCCAGCTCAGTCCCATACATGGATTCAACGCAGGTCAAAGCTGAGAGTGCAAATTCCAAGTCTGTTTCATTTCCCTGGCCTCTAAATTTAGCCCCATCACCTGAGGAAATAATGATGTTAGTAGCTGCTCTTTATTGAGTGTTTAGTCTGGACTAATGTGATGCTAAGTACTTTCCGTGGCTTACCTCATTTAATTCTTAGCAAAAGTCTTAGATAGTGGGTGTTATTATGATCCATTTTACAGAGGAGGAATCAAAAGATCAGAAAGGTTAAGTAAATTTCCCATTGCCACTTAGCATGTAGGTGGAGGAGCTGGGACTTGGATCTAGGTCTGTATGACTCAGATGTCCCAACTCATGGCCTGGCTGGGTTGTTCCTGCAGAATCCAAGTAGATTCCTGATGTTCCTTTCCCAAGGGCTTGTGAATCATCTAGAAAGTAAGCAGGTCTGGGGACTTCAGGAGTCTGGGTCAAGATGATCGCTCCATGTTTTCTCCTTAAAAATCAGATAGCATTGGTCTGTCTCTCTTGTCTTTCAGTTTCTTAAATTATCCACACTCCCTCGAGAGTCTATTTAGACCAAGAACTCAGAGTTGAATGTCAGAATTTCACAGCCAACAGTGCCCAGAGAGATCACCAAGTCCACCTATACACCAGAGAAAAGGAAAAGTGGGCTTGTCTAAGGTCATGTAACGAGTCCAGGGGAAGCTGGGTCCAGGATGCCGAGTCCTTCTCCCACAGCCTTGCCCTCACTGTGTGGCCTTGCATAAATCTCCCCTCTCTGAAGACTCAAACAGACAGACATCTCAGTTAAACAGACAGAAGCAATCTCAGTTAAACTAAGCTTTTAGAGCAGCAGAGCCCTTTGACAAAAGGGAACTTGTAGTGAGACCTACTCTAACAGCTCAAAGCCAAGATGGTCTATTAAGTCAGGGGTGTGTATAAGACTCATTCTTCACCTTGTCCTCTTTCCCCATTTATCCTTAGGCACTTCTGGGAGTGCAAGATACTTGCTGTTGGCAGTTAGAAAACCATGGGCTTAAGCAGTTCGAGAGCATTGAAAGAGAACTTGATGGAGCTAAATCTAAATCTAATTATCATGCTGACCAATCTCAGGAGAGCCCTCTAACCAATGATGTTAGTAAATGGTTAACAACCAGCTCTCTGAAAAAAGAAAAGTCCTCATAGCATGTGCCTATTTCTTTGGTGTAAATACTCTAATAATGGCCGACTTTGTGAGTTACCAACATGATGTTAACCAGCTTGCAAATTTCCTGAAAACGTTAACAGTTGGCTCTTGGGAGCTGATATGAACTGACTCCAGCAATACTACAGCTTCCAAATCTTCAAATACTTTGCAAGATTTGGATTTTCAAACTTTGGTAGCAGGCTTCCTAGGTATCAGATGAAAGAAATGGGTAAGAGTGTACAGATAACTTGAATATCGCATTGATAGGTCTTTTTCTGTGCTATTATTGCCTCTGTTTCATATCTTGATGGAAATGTTGCAATCTTTACTGTGTTATAGAACAAATAGAAGTGTGACTTGTGGTTCACAATCCATGAAGCTGATTTTATATAATTTTGACAGTTCTATCACATTTCTCACAGTTCTGATTCTTTTCCCCTCCAGGGATGGTATGACATTATGTTGGGATAGTGTGTTGGGTACTGTTCCCCTCTGCTCCTTTCTGGTGGGCTACCTTCTTTTTTCTGGGTTTACACTTGCCTAAGTTCAAAGCTCTGACATACGCACCTTATAAATTTTCCCTGCCCCCATCCTGATATGCCTGGAGGAGGGGAGGTGGGGACTCTGTGGTTCTAAATCTCTCCTTGGCACATGTTCTCAGGCATGAGTGAAGAATCAGTGATTCAGTTTGAACAGAGAAACTGCAGACAGATGTACTGTTTTCACATCTGGCTACTTGGAGGTACAGCTGCACTTGGCCATCCACTCTTTTTTGCACCTGTGGGGGAGGAATCATTCCCTTATTGTGCTGGTGTTTTTATCTACATGGCAGAAGATGCTGAGGTCACATGCTCTGAGATGCCAGGCAGGCTCCAGGGTGCTGGGGAGATATTTTCTTAAGTCTGGGTGGGCTGGCACAGAGGTAGAAGGGTGGCGGGTAGGAGGTATCCCTGAGTACCCTGGTCAGCTCCTCACATCAGCTGACTTGGTTCATGAGACAAAGTACAAACCCATTTTTATTTCCATGACTCCAATTGCACCTCTGCTGGGGTTAGGAAACCCATTCCCCGGATGGCACTGAGCCAGAAAATTAGCAATGATCAATGAAAGGGGAAGGATGATGAAATAAAAGTGGAGTCTCAATTATGCTCTAAATGAGCAAGGCGATGTTAAGTCTTCAACAGAGGAGGGGCCGGGGACTGGAGGAAGGAAAAAATGATTACGTGGAAGAATTCAGTGCCCCAGTCTGGACTTAGCCATTGATTTCCTATTCCAGTTCCATGGATGGACCATAAAGGCCTTGCAGAGTGCATGGACTCCCCTGCCATATTTCTCCACAATCTGCCTAAAGTGAGTTCCTCCACTCTGCTTATCTGTCCAGCAACATCGGATCCTGGGTGGATCTAAGGGAACAAATGTCTGTGGGTATTATGTTAAGGATTTAAAGTTACCAGCTGCTGGGAAGTCAAATTTGTGGTTTCAGGGCACAAGATGATTCTGTGTGAACCATGGTTAAAGCTGCTCTTGTAAAATTACACAAGTAATTGGTTGTGTTCATATGAAATGGTGGGCTGAAATGTTTCTATGAGATTTTAGTGATTTTTTTTTAACAACAACAAAAAACCCAAACTTTTTTCCCTTAAACTGCTAAAAGACAAAGTAATTGATGTTGAATTTGGTGACTTGCCCTGAAAAATGCAATTATGGGGACAGCCTGTATCAGACATTTAGAATGGAAACCAAATGTTTTCTTGCATGAATATCCATAACATAAGACTTATCTCCCATCTGGCAAAACCTCTTTCTGTAGAAATGTTCAGAGTGGAATTGCATTAATAAGTAGACATCAAGTGAAATCTACTATTTATGCACTTTCAATAGTCTCTGTAAACTGAGTTGCATGTCAGCCTTGTATCAATAAACATCTCTACCTGCAGGTTTTCAAGACAGATTAGCCGAGAAGAGCCATTATGGGATGAAAGAGGAGGGCACGCTGGGAGAAGAATGAAATGAAACATTCACCCATGCAAACGTTTCCTCCCTGGATACTATTTGGATTTTAATTTTTTTTTTTTTCAAATATAAGATAAAATACAAGATGTTGGTGCTGTTTGGAGATAGCACACATCTGTACAGCAAGGAGACAATTCTCCAAAGTGCAGCTCTCAGTGGGCTATTTATTTAATTCGTATTGGTTTTGGACCGCAGCCTGTAATGAGGAAAGATACGGATGGAGGCAGGAGATGGCGGTTGGAAGTCTGTACCTTTTTGAACATGAAAGTACAAAAGGGTCGTGCATGTATTGAGGTTTTAGTGAAAATTCAATAACTTTAGCTGCAGACACTCTGCTCCAGGACACTAATAAAGATGGGAGAGCTAATAAAGGACCCAAATTCGAGCTTCTTAGAGATGAAAGCTGGAGTGGTGCCAGGCTCAGCTGCCCTGATGTTGAAGAATGCCCTGGTATGTTTTTGCACATGGGCCAATTGAGGATTAGGTTGATTTTAAGGTGTCTGTCAACAGCATATGAGCCCCAGGGACCTATGAATGCCAAACAGGCCCTACTGAAATGGGGTTCATTGAAGGGGGATCAGGGATGCTTGAATTTCCTGCCAGCAAATGCCCTGATAGACAGGCAGGCCAGAGTTAAAAACAAGAAGGTCCTCCCCAAAGTGAGACATCCCTGCATTGGGTCTTTTGGTCTTCCTGAAGCACAGTGGCGTGAAGATCTCATCAATGAGCTCGGGTGTGAGCGAAAGGGCCAAAAGCCTCTAAGAAAGAGGCAGCAGCTAGCAAAGAGCTGTAGCGTGGGAGGAAAGGGCTTGGCCTTGGCAGCATGAAAGACTCCCTGAATTATCTAACTCCATCCTCCTCTCCACCCAGTACTGTCACTTTCTATGCTCACTTATCTAAAACCACACCCTTGCAAGTGGCAGATTCAGGGCTTGAACTCAGATGGAAGGCATGGATGAACAGCATGGTCTGAGCCCAGCGAAGCCATCTGGGGTTCATATCCTCCAGCTCCCAGAGGAAATCAGAGTTCTGGAAAGAGAAATCTGGGATGGGGCTCAACTCACTGACTTGCTCTGTTATTAGGGTTGAACATGTTTGCAGAGGGCTGTTTGAGAACCATCTTGAAATCAGCCCACAGCCTTCTCAGCTGCAGGCTGATGCCCTCAGTTTATACCAGGTTTGATGCTTTGCTGACAAGTTTGGCCACATTTGCAGAAGGCTGCCTGAGAAACATCTGCTTGAGAAGCTCAGTTTTTTTCCTCTTTGGGCTAGAGATTCTCAACCTGCACTAGCTTTGCCTGAGGTCTGAATCCTAATTAGTGGGCTATAATTAGCATTGATTATTGCTACAGTGCCAGGCATGGTACATGGCACATTACGTCTTGTGTTGCAAGTTGTCATAACAACTCCAGGAGATTGGTGCATTACTGTCTCCATTTTACAGATGAAGAAAGTGGGGCTACCAGCTGTATGATTTGGTCCCAGGTCTGTGTAAATTCTAAGCTCGTGCGGTTTAATGCTGACTAGGGAAGCTGTACATCGGGTCCCTTCTGGAAGGATGTGGAGGATGCACTTGGCATTTTTGCCAGACTCATTTCTGTGGGCTGAGATACACATGTGCAAGGTTAGACAGCTGGACCCCAGGAGGTGTCACTGCACCTAGCTCTTCCTCCCAGCCCGCTCTTGGAATCTGCGGGCTCTACTCTGGGCCCTTTTTTCCTGCCCTAGTTGCCTTCCTCTTCTCTGTGAAGTCCTGGAGCCTCTCACCCAGCAGAGCTGACCTGCCTGTGATAAATACCATTTAATTACAGAACAAGCTTTTCTGCCATTTCTCTTAGCACGGCTTCTATTGCTGAAGATTAAACTTCATTCCCACACCACTGAATTACCTTTTTAAACCTATTATTTCAATGTGATTAACTTCACTTCTTTCATTTAGCTGTAAGCAAAATCTTGTTTACAAGGCAAAAAAAGTCTTTGCTTAATATCGGCAATAATAATACAAACGAACATTGCAAGAAAATAATTTATGTGAAAAACAGGAAAAAATGGCAGTGATACACGAGGTTCCTCTTTGATTAATAAAAAGGAGGAAATATTTAAAAACAATTTATCAAAGAAATATATGCAGTTCATACATCATGCATTTGTAAAGAATATACTAATATTCATTCCACAAATAGCTGTGTGACCCTGAATTCTAATTCTTTTGTGTGTGACAAAATTTGGGTTGTGGTTAAAATCCAGAGCTGGGTTTGGTTAACAGAGTGCCAAGACTGGCCAGGCTACTGATGGAGAAAGAGGCCTGTGTTCGCCAGACACCTGCCATGTTCTCTCTTTTGAATGTGGCCAAAGTGCATCGGAGGTTTTTAGAAAAGGTTATTACTGCAAGCCTGGGTGAGCAACCTGAAACCTAGGTTGGTTTTAAAGGCAGATTTGCATCATGTCAGTTGTGCCTCTTCTTTTCAGGATTGAAATCCAAACCTCTAGAAACCGTAATTTTATTAAAAATTGCAAAAGAGAGAAATGCTTGGTGATTTTTTGAATTGTTTTTATTGGAAGCAAACCCTGGCAGAATGTTTCCCAAAAGTTGTCAAGGCCGGGTGGCTGTGGGGAAGTGGTGGCATCTGTCACTGCAGTTATGCAAATCCTCTCCTGTTAGGGCCAGAGCTTGGAGGGGGGACACACGGCTGCGTGTTGGCAAAACAGACACCGTATGCTACCACCCGCGTTTCTCCCTAATTTATTTTTACCATTTTCTTTTATGGTCTTCCACTAGACACACTTCCCAGGGAGTTCCTTTACAGGGCATTGCAGAGAAATTAGCATTTACATCATATTTAACAGTTTACAATGAGTTCCTCCACCCACACATAAAACAACGTGCTTTTATAAGGAAAACATCAATGTGAGAATGAATATTTCCACATATGGGGTACTCATTTAGCTGACGTTTAGACTCCTTCATGGTTTAAGAGGAAAAATGGAGTTGGCAAAAGGCTTTCCAGCTCAAGCCAGGGTGCCCAGCCCTCTGCGCCCAGCCACGGAGATGCTTTTGGGAGAAGTGGGCTGAGCTCGATTTGCAGAGGCAGGGCTGGGGCAGCGGGAAGCTCCGACCCTGGATCACCTCTTCCACCTCTTCCTTCTGGTCTGTCTCTTTGTTGCTTACCCCTTATACCCCTCATCACATTTTCTTGACTTCTCCCTTCCCTCCCCGCTTTTCTCACTCCTTTCTTCTCTTGTCTGATTAACCGTGTCTACTGAGCACCTACATTGATCCAGGCTATGACCTGGGAGCTGGCATGACAGAGGAGAGTCAGACACTCTAAGCTTTTCTAACTCATGACTTTCAGGCATATAAAATATGCCCATACATACACAACCAGATGGACTGACTTTTCCCTCTTAAACTACGTAATGTTGAAATCATTCAGGAACCCCCGGTGATGGTGACCTGTAATGGCCCAGATGAGGGACAACAGACACTGACCTGGAGTCTAGCTCTGCCATCACCATGGTTAAGGCATCCTCTCTTTTCCCTGTTAGCTCTCGGTCTTGTTCTACCCAGAAGTTGTTGAGTACTGATTGTCAGGAACTTTGTTTACATATTCTCGTCTCATCCTCAAAACAACTCATATTATCGGGGAGAGAGGCAGAGCGGGAGTAGAAGCAGGTTTGGTCGCTTGCCACGCAGGCACTGGCCTGCTCCATGCTGGGATTTGCTTCACTGCAGCCCATGCAGACCTTCCCAGAGCTGCTCACTGTGTCTGTGGGGACTGCTGGGTTTACACCCTACTTCCTGTCTCAGAGAGGGGCTGTGTTAGAGGGGTGGGAGGCAGCAAAGCAGACAGAGCTATCAGTCCCTGAGAACGGGGGACCACTTTCTGAGGAAGCCACATCCAGGGATGCCCCAGTTTGCCCTCCAGTGGGTACCAGTAACTGAAAACCCAGAGAGTGCTGGCTTCTTCCAGGGTGGGGACACAGTCTCAGAAAGGCTGGGGGAAGTGCCAGAAACCATCAGGGCAGGTTGACAGATGTGTTTCTAGCATCTGCCTCGCTCCTGGTGCTTGGCAGATGGGGTGCAGGGACCAGGCAGCTGAAAACCTGGATCCATTTCAAACAGCTCCATTTCCCAGGCTCAGAGCAGAGCATTTCTGCAGGGCAGCCACGAAACCAGTGCCACAGGGTCTCCCCAACCAGAGAAAGTTTCACTAGAATGCAGCATAAGCCTGGTTTTGTTGAGAGGGAATTGTGGGGTCCAGTGAGCACTCTCTGGCTTATGAAATCCCTTGCTTCTGCACCTGTCCATGTAGCTCTGCAAGTCACATTTGGAGCCTTCAGACACCTGACAACTTTGAGATATGCCCACTTATCAGATGAGACTGTCAAGGTGAAGGCTGACTTGACCTTCCAGAGCCATGCTGTCCAATTAAGTAGCCACTATCCCCAAGCTATTCAGAACTGACTTATATTGTCAGTATATTTTAAATACTCACTGCATTTTGAAAAAAAGAAATAAAGTATCTCAACAATATTTTTATATTGATTACATGTTGAAGTAATATTTTGGATATATTGGGTTAAATAAAATTTATTATTAACATTAATTTCACCTGTTTTTACTGTAAGAAAATGTGGCCACCAGAAAATTTAAAATGACATACAGAGGTTGCATTCTATTTCTTTTGCACTGTGCCGTCCTAGAGGGCAGGCCTTGTAGCATCATCCTCAAAGACATTGTGCCTGTGTCACCAGCAAAATTTGCCCAGGAGCCCCTTATTGCGGATATTGCTAGGTCCTGGAGGCATGGGCCATCCCTTCCCCTGTTGCCCAGAATGTGAGAACTGTGTCCTCAGGGACCCTGGTCAGCTGTTTCTGAAGAGCAGTGACTGCAGATGCAACTTTGGTTACTCCTGGAAGTTTCTGCTGATCTGCTACCCCTGGCACCTAGATACAGCCCCTGTGCTGGGTCCCAAGGCTCATGGCTGCTCCCTCTAGACCCAAAGACAGGCTCCAGAGGAGCCTCTTGGGGGCATCCAGGGGCCTCTCTTCCTGTTCCTTATGGTGGCTGGGCTTGTTCCTGGCCGACCCACAGGAACCGGGCTGCCCTACCTCTCCTGCCTTGTACCTCCTCTGCCTTGATGGGCTGCCAGGTTTTAGGCAGGTGACCCTGGAAGCCGAAGCAACTTTGGGAAGCACAGAGGAGGTGACGTCTTACTGTAGCCACCTCCATCCTGAGTAAACCTAACCGCCCCCCCACCCCGCCCACCACCCACCACCACAAGGGGCACTTTTTCAGCTATGGGCAACATAAAACATCCTTAGGGCTACGGGAGAAGTGGGGACAGGGTGCTATCACTTTGTTCAGTGTCTCAGCCCAAACTCTCCCTTTAAAGATGAACTCATCCCTTTAGTTAAAGGTGCATCCTCTTTGGACCCTCCAAGGGCCCCCAGAATTCCCCACTTTCCAGGAAAAGCTCACCATTTTGGAGGTGGGTGAAGACGAGCTTCATCTGCATCCCCCTCCTTGAGTAGATATTTATGGAGCACCTATCTCCTGGCAGGCACCCTACAAGCACTGGCCACACAGTAGCAAACAAAAGCAGCTGCACCCTGGCCTCTCAGAGCTCCCTCTAGTGGGGGAGACACGTGCTGATCTAGAAATCACACCCAAGTCTCCTTACAAACACTAAGAGCTGCTTGCAAAGGATGTGAGAAACGGATCCAGTCTTGAGTGGAGGTGGTTGGGGTCAGGGAAGCCTTCCCTGAAGATGCAATATTTCAGCTGACATTGTATTTTGAAAGCTTTGGTTTTCTTCCCATACCACTCCTAGGAAAGGGTCTTGAGGATCGGATGAGGCTGGAGAACAACTACCAGGGTGGCCTGAGGCAGAATTTTCTGGAAGGAAAACTTTAATGAGAACAGAGAAAGAGATCCAGAAAATCAGCACATCTTAGCATTAAGCCTTAAGAGTAAGATCAGGCTGCAGCTGGGAAAGGAAGGGAGGGCTGAAATTCACAGTGGATTGAGGCAAGAGGTTCAAGGCCAAGGGGGGTGAATGGTGATGGGGTATGGGCCTCCCTCCCAGGTAGAGCTCCTGCTGTTGCAGTGATGGCTTAACAGATCTGTGCAGGGTTGCACATTGCGTATTTGGTGTTTTGATGGAGCCTCTGTTTTACTGGGTCTCATAAAAGCTTCCAATGATAGAGTATGCCTGATGCAGAACCCAATGCTGGAAAGAGCCCTGAACCACGAGACCTGGTTCCAACCCTGATTTTGCCCCCTACCCACTGTGTCACCTTGGGTGAGCCCTCTCCCCTCGCTGGAATACAACCTCCTCATCTATAAAATAAGGGGGCTGGACTGGGTGACCTACAAGCCCACATGCACATCTCGGGTTCAGGACTCTGGGAGTCAATGACGTGCTTGGCTGAGCCGTTCCCAGTTGTAGCCAAGATGTCGAGGTTCAAGCCTGTTATGAAGCTGCCGCTTAGATGCTGCCACTTCTGATATTAATTTCTTTTCTCCCCATGAGACATGGAGGGCTTTATGAATGACTCCAAGAATTGCCTCTGGCCTTGGGGACGGAAGCTGGCCCTGAAAGCCAGTGGAGCTGAAACCCTAGAGCACCTGTACCCCAGGCTTTTGGTGAATTGACCCAAATCATTTCTCCTATGAGCAAGCTGTGACTGAACTCTCGAGAACAGGGAGCTGGTGACAAACTTTCATTCTGATTGTCCCCAGAGCCATGCTCTGCTTCATTTGAACCTGGAGCAGAGAAAGCCCTGATTTTATTGGAAGTACAAAGTAATGGATGTAGGGTTGTTCTGTTGTGAGTTAGAATCCTGTAACCAGTGGACTAACTCTGGGTTACCTCCATGAGCCTTAGTTTCTTTATCCATAAAATGGAGACAAACAAGTCACCTATCTTCACCAAATTATAAGGAGATGAAAACGATCTTGTTATCTTATATCATATGCAAGCACCTGGTAAAATTTAAAGCTATATGAAGATTATCATTATTATAAAATAAAAAACAACATTAAAAATATCCCTTCCAGATTAAAAAAATGTATCTCTAGAGCTTAGAGATGTTAATGCTAATAAAGGTATCCTTCCTTTGCACAGTACTTTAGCTAATAAAGCAACACTCTATGTTCATTATCTCATTTTATTCTCACCAGGACTATGAGGCAGGTGTCATCACTGCTATGTTTCAGATGGGCAATAGCTCATAAAGGAGAAGTAGAATGCCTGAAGTCACAGCTACCTGGAGGGATATCAACCCTAATCTGATTGCCTCTAAGTGGGGTGTTTTCTCACCATCTGTGTTCTTTGGACTGGACATACAACTCCAGCATTGCCTCTCCCTTGCAGTTCTTGGCAAGGCCACTGTCCTTTACTGGTAGATGTTGGTCACTCAGACCTGTGACCCTTTGCCTAGAGGGGCTTTGAGAGTAGACACGCACCCCTCTTTTTACATGGTCAGGAGGAGCTGGCTTAGAATAGCTTTGTGGGAGACTGTTGTCCAGGAAGCTACATGTTAGCTTCAGGCTCAGGTGAGTGATGGCCAGAGCCAGGAAAGACTCTTCTGTGCCCTGCCTGGCCTGAAAGGCAGGTGTGGAGGGAGGCGGGCAGCCTGCAAAGGTGAGAAACTCTATGGAAGGATATCAATCACAGGCTGATGTTTCAACAAGAGGAAGATCCTCAAACAGGCCCCAATGCCACCCGACAGATTCTCCCTTATGTCTTCCTGCCATTCCCCAGGCCAAGGGCCATGCACTAATTCATGCTAAAACTTCAGCTCTGCTCTTTAGAAGCTCACAGTCATAGTATGGAAAAGCTGTCTGGGTGGCTACTGGAGATCTGCTAGCATTAAAGTTTCTGATTCCTTTCCAGCTAAAAATGAAAATGTCTTTTTAGGGGGAAAAATAAATAAATCCCTGGAAACAACACCTTATCAGAATAATAAAAATAAATTATAACAGGGCTGTCAGCGACACAATATCTGAGGGTGACAAGATGTAATCTCAGTAAAAACATTGGATCTGTCTGTTTATAGATCTAATAAATTATGTTAGAATTGTGCTCTTATAAATCCAGGCTGTCGAGGAAACCCAACAACTAATTTATCAGTTGCTCATCGAGAGGTCTGCTTCTCCGTTTCAATTGCTCACCATGTAGATAACAAGGAGCCTTACAGACTGGCTGGTTAAATGTCATTTGTTTCAGAGCTGTAACATGGCACGGATCATTGCTCACACATCGTCACCCAATTATATTAACCTGTGCAGCAATACGGTGTAATGACATGACATTAACGCAGCCACTTCAGAGGGGCGACAACTTCCCTCCTCACAGAGGCTGAAGCTGCCGGCTTCTCCCCAATCTCTCCCTTGTCATTTAAATGCAAAACAAAAGCTCTTGAATGGAAGGAGCAGAAAGTCAGTTCTCTCTGGATGAAATTTAAAATATTCTATGCTTCATCCTCTGTGAGCTATGAGGGGCTTGCCTGCTGAGTTTTTTGTTCAGCAGCTCAATTTTCCCAAAGGACGAGGTTTCCACCCTCCTCCTGAAATTCACAATTTTTTTTGTCTTCACGGGCAGTTCTGAGATTGCCCCCAAAATAAGAAATAAGGAGATGACTGAATTGGGGGATGAAAGGCACAGAGAGAGCCCTATTTACAGAGGTAAATTACAAGGCGCAGAACCCTTCTTGGATTATGGCATTTTGGGGTATCTAGTTTCTTTTTTCTTTCCTTCTTTCTTTTTTTTTTTTTTTTTTTTTTTTGAGACAGAGTCTGGCTCTGTCATCCAGGCTGGAGTGCAGTGGCATGATCTCGGCTCACTGCAACCTCTGCCTCCTGGGTTCAAGCATTTCTCCTGCCTCAGCCTCCTGGGGCATGCACCACCACCCCGGTCTAATTTTTATATTTTTAGTAGAGATGGGGTTTCACCACGTTGGCCAGGATGGTCTCGATCTCTTGACTTCGTGATCCCCCCATGTCAGCCTCCCAAAGTGCTGGGATTACAGGCGTGAGCCACCGTGCCGGGTTGGGATATCTGGTTTCTTTTGTCTTCTCAGAGATATAAGGAGAAGACGAACATGCCAGCTGATTTCAGAGCCTTGTGTTTCTCATTCTTGGCACTACTGACACTTGGATTACCGTTTGTCGTGGGGGTCTGTCCTGTGTTGTGGGATGCCTAGCAGCATCCCTGGTCTCTACCCACTAGATGTCAGTAACATTTCCCCACCAGTTGTGAAAACCAAAAATGTCTCTAGACATTGCCAATTGTCTGCTCGGGGGCAGAATCGCACCCTGTTGAGAATCATTGATCTAGGGCAAAACTTTTTACTCTATAAATCTCCAATAAATATTTACAGAGCACCAGATCCATGCTGGGTTTGGGACCCTTTAAGTTGCCTAGAAATTTCTTCATAAAAGAGAGGCCTGTCTCAGAACTCCCAAAGTCTCTCTCCTCTGCAGACAGAGAGGTGGCTATGCCCTTCAGGTTTTTCATGTTGAATCCCATCTCCGTTTAATAGCCCTGAAACTTTAGGACTCTTGCTTCATCTGTACAATGGGGATAATAACAGCACTGACATCATTGACCTGTTGTGAGAGTTAAAAGATTTATGCAGGCAAAGTACTGAAGGCCTGGCACATAGGAAGCCTTTGGTACTTGGTTTAATTTTCGTTAAAGTTCACTCATCAAGGATCCTGTGGATCCTGGGGACAAGGAGTTAGCCCAAACCTCGAGGACAGAACCTAGCCAGGGGTTAGGGACAGGCAAAGCAGGTCTCCATAAGCAGAGCTCCAATCTCAGTAAAGGAAATCAAGGAAGTAGCCCATGAGGACAGACTATGCATGCCTAGAAGAGGCTCGTAGGTACCAGTGCTGACCCTTTTAAATTAATCAATCATTTAATCAACCAATAGCATTTTTATGTGCCATGTGCTGTTATTAGTACTTCTCAAATATTATATCACTTACACCTCACAATAACTATCAGAGAGATTATATCATTTTACAGATGGGAAAACTGAGGCACAGAAAGATTTAGTAACTTGCTCAGTGTGGACCTTAGATTTGTACCCAGGCAGCCTACTTCCAGAGTCCACACTTTCAGCATCCATCTTTTTTATTTTTTTGAAGACGGGGGCTCACTCTTGCCCAGGTGGAAATGTAGTGGTTACGATCATGGCTCACTTCAGCCTTGACCTCCCCAAGCTCAGGTGATCCTCTTACCTCAGCCTCCCAAGTAGGTGGGACTATGGGGGCATGCCACTACACCCAGCTAGTTTTTGTATTTTTTGTAGAGACGGGGTTTCACTGTGTTACCCAGGTTGGTCTCAAACTCCTGGACTCAGGTGATCTGTCCACCTTGACCTCTCAAAGTGCTGAAATTACAGGTGTGAGCCACTGTGTCTGGCCCAGCACACATCTGTGATGGGGATAAGAGAGTCCCTGCTCTGCTCAGGGTTAACTTAGGGGTAAGACAAGTGACATGGTTTGGCTGTGTTCCCACCCAAATCTCATCTTGAATTGTAGTTCCCATAATTCCCGTGTGTCGTGGGAGGGACCTGGTGGGAAGTAACTGAATCATGGGAGTGGTTTCCTCCATGCTATTCTTGTGAGTAAGTTCTCATGAGATCTGATGGTTTTATTAGGGGCTTCCCCCTTCGCTTGGCTCTTATTCTTCTCTCTCCTGCTGCCATGTGAAGATGGATGTGTTTGCTTCCCCTTCCGCCATGATTGTAAGTTTCCTGAGGCCTCCCAAGCCCTGCCAAACTGTGAGTCAATGAAACCTCTTTTCTTTATAAATTACCCACTTTTGTGTATGTCTTTTTAGTAGCATGAGAATGGACTAATACAGCAAGGTCAGAGGTCTGGGAAGACTGAGGCAGAGAGCTGCCCATCCCCTATTGTAAGCTTGTCTCCCTGTTTCTCTTTAAGTTGGTCACCCCTGTTTTGTCTTCCCTTCCTTTCCACTGAAATGTTTATGGAAACACACAAATACTGACATGTTTAATAGCACCAGGATCCTGGAATAGTAATCTGTGATATGCATCTAATTTCCTTCAACCAAAACAGATGAAGTATTGAGGCAGAGGGTGGGGCCAAATAGGGAAAAGGCAAAAGGCAGCCTCAGTCTCCCCAACCCCAACCTGTATCTATATCTCTAAATGAGTCCTTCAGAGAGAAGGAAGCATTCCTCACCCCTACTCTGTGGGAATTATGTTCTGAGGAGGCCAGGGTTCTAGATTCCCTCACTCCACCCTAGCAATGCTCTTCCAGCAGTTCAGTGACCAGCACTCTAATGTCACTGGGGTGGAAGTGCATACAATAGGTAATGGCCATGTTGGGATGTGGGTCTGGCTTTGGGAAGGAGCTAATCTTGAGACAGTCACAGGCATTCAGGGGTTGGAGTTTGAATTTACTGTTCACACAGATTCTTCAGGAGTATGTGGCCTTCTTATAGTAACATGATCAGCCGGCTGGTTTCTGAGACAGCCTCACTCCCTGTGAACCATCGAAGTTATAGTAAATATTAGACTAAAAACACTGGAAGTTGTAGAGAGATTTGGAGGCTGTCACATGCGCCAGCTCTCTGGCATAATTTCTGGGCTTAAGGATTCAAATAGCACCCAGATGGCCAGCAAAGAAGAACCGAAGAAAGTCTTATTTTTCATTTAATTTTTTTTTTAGCAGAAAAGTCCTATGTCTAGGCAGACTTGTCTTTATTTTCTTTCTTTTGTTGGATCAGAAATGAGTAAATAGATGAAAAAAAGAAGCTCATGAGGCTTTACAGAAAATCTGCCTCATAAAACAGAGAACACGGTACTCACAACGTAGAGGAAGAACTTACTTTTAAAAAAGATTGATGATAGTAAACTGAAGAACATTTTAGAACACATCTGACTTGTCCTTTCTGCAAAATTCATGGAAATATGTAGTTTATGATTCAAGAAATAAAAATAAGATGATGATACGTCAATGGATGACATGAAGGGAGCAAGCTGAGAGGAGTTAGAAATAAAATAAGGTAAATGAAATTCATAAAGATGAAATATAAATAAGCAAAGTTAAAATCAATGTTAGATGCAGCACAGAGCAGAATTGGCAAGGTAGAAAATAGTCAATAATCACTTAATGTGTATGCCTCTATGCCTCAATGTCATCATCTGTTCAGTGGTGATAACCGCGGTGCCTGCTCACGGAGCTGTTTGAGTAGTAAATGACATAAAGCATGTAAAGCTCTTAGCAGAGTATCTGGGATGAGGTATGATTTTAATAAATATTAGATATTATTTTTATAATTAAAAACAATATAAAAAACTAATGTGATCACAAAAAAGTGAGTTTTTAGAGATTTTAAGTGTGCATTTGAACTAATAATAGTGAAGTGGGCATTGGACTTGGAATCATAAATCTTGGATAAACTTGAAAAACTCTAGCAGACTATAGGAGAAACAATAGCAAAGAGATTAGGTACATAGAGAACAGAGAATGGCACTTAATAGAGTGCCAGCATAGAGATCACTGCTGTTCCTAAAAAGGAGACCAGTGTGTATATTCTTTTGTGTATAATAAATACTTTAAAATATTTCCCTCCAAAATTTCAAAATAAAAACAAAATTTTAAAAGAGATCAGAACAACAAAAGAAGTAACAGTGGAAGGTGAACTAGGAGAGAACTTTCACAACCTTAAGAAAAATTTTAATATTTTATTGAAAGGTCAGTCATACATTAGGAAAAATAAAAAAAAGAGATCAATGTTTAGCAAAACGAGTGTTCTACAAGTATTTTATCCTGCTTTATTTTTCATTCATAGCATTTATCTCACATACATAGGGGTGTGTGGTTTGTTATCCACACATTGATGAAAATTCCATGAGGGCAGGGACTTTGTTTTGTTCATCATTGTATCCTCCATGCCAGATCAGTGCCTGCCATATAGTAGGTGCTCAATAAATATTTGTTGAGTTCATGGGTGAATGAATACTGACAGGTCTACTATAACGGGATTCCATAGACAATTTAATTTGGGAAGCTTTGCTTATCATAGCTCACTCTTGGAAAGTAGCAATGCTCAATGTGTGTTTTCCCTGGAACCCCAGCTTGGGAAAGGCTGACCTGTGTACACATTGGTTAACAAGATTCTCCATGATCTGATCCTCCATTATAACTCTCATCTCATCAGTTTCTTCTTTCTCTCTTGCTCATTCCTACTCCAGCCACAGTGGCCTCCCCATTATTCCTTGAACATATCAGGCAAGCCCTCAGTTCAGGATCTCTGCATATGCTCTTCCCTCTGCCTGGAATGCTCTTCACCAGAAAGCCACATGGCTCACTCCTCAGTTCCTTCAGGTTTTTATCGGAATGTTACCTTATTAAGTGTTCCCTTAGGACCCTATTTAAATGGTCATGTGTCCAACTCCTTATGCCTTTCTTCAGCTTTAACCTTCCTAACATGTGTTATCATCAGAAATTCCCTATAATAGATAGTCCACGTCATATTTATTCATTTTGTTTATCGCCTCTCTCCCCCGCTAGCCTGAGAGGTCCCTGAAGGCAGATCTTTTTCTCTGCTTTAATTCTCTGTTCTTTCTCTCTGCCTTGATTCTCTGTTCTTCATTCTCTCTGTTCCATTCATTGCTGTGTCTAGGTCAGTGCTTTGCACACAGTAGGTGCTTGACAAATATTTGTTGAATACCTGTATTAATAAATGAATGACCTCTACAGGCATCTAGGAAGGAAACGATTTTCCCATAAAGGACAAAGATGAGATTGCTTTCAGACTTTGCCACAATTCTGAAAACTGCAAGATGATGGGACGATGTCTACAGAATTTTGAGAGGAAAAGGTTATGACTCAATAGCATACAATTCCCAGTCAAGTTGTTCAATTGTGAAGATAACAGAAAGATATATATGCAAAGTATATCATTTATGAGCCCATCCTAAAATACAAAAAGCCAAGCAAATAAAATTCTTGAGGCTATATTACACATGAATGAAATGAATCAAAGTTGAGGACAGAGAAATGGGTAAATCAACATAAAAGTCAGAACAGTGAACATTAAGATCAGTTAAACATATCTATTATTTTAATAACCATAAATAAGGTTACCTAGCAATGCAATTATCTGAGAAACAATTCCTGGAATAGTGGAACATAATATAAACAAACATAAAATTAAATATTAATAATCTGGGTCTAAAAATTCTAGATTATATTAATGAAAACATGTAAGTGGGTTAGGAATGGATTGGGGTAAATTTAAAAATGCTTTTTTACTCCTTTTACAGAAGAGTCATCAACAAAAATGATTTAATTCATTACATTAATGAACAGAAAAATACAGGTTCAAGTACAGTTTTTACCAGGAAAAGACAATCATTTATGGGAATATAAGAAGGTTTTATACACTGCAATCAGCCAGAGAAGAAAAAAATCAAAGAGAACAGAGTTTATGGGAATATTTTTGTATATTATTTCTAGTGCTTTTTATATTTCAAACTTTTTCAAAATTTAGAAAAACAGTCATAGTCTTGATGAAAAACAAAACTAATAGCAAACAAGCACAAGAACAGTATAAAATAACAATGCAGCAAGATCTAGAACTCTGGGTTTTTGTTTATTTTTATTTTTTATTTCATTTTTTTTTTTTTTCTGTAGACCTCCTCTGTGGACCTGGGTCTTTAAATAGAATAAAATTTAATGCAAATTATAAAGACTTTCAAATTGGATTAAAGTAAGCAAGCAAGAGAGTGAGCAAGCAAGCAAACAGAAACCACCTACAAACATTGTACATGATTTAGACCTAAGTCAAAATGGCATACAAGGACAAGATAGACTCCAACGTAAAAGACATTTTTTTTTTTTTTGAGGCGGAGTCTCGCTCTGTCGCCCAGGCTGGAGTGCAATGGCGCTATCTTACTCACTGCAAGCTCCGCCTCCTGGGTTCATGTCATTTGCCTGCCTCAGCCTCCCGAGTAGCTGGGACTACAGGCACCCGCCACCATGCCCGGCTAATTTGTTTTTGTGTTTTTAGTAGAGACGGGGTTTCACCATGTTAGCCAGGATGCTCTCGATCTCCTGACCTCACGATCCGCCCGCCTCAGCCTCCCAAAGTGCTAAAGAAGGCAATTTGGCCAGTCACAGTGGCTCACACCTGTAATCCTAGCACTTTGGGAGGCCAAGGCAGGCTAATTGCTTGAGCCCAGGAGTTCAAGACCAGCTTGGGCAATATGGCAAAAATTCATCTCTATAAAAAATAAAAAAAATTAGCTGGGTATGGGACATGTGCCTGTAGTCCAGCCACTTAGGTGGCTGAGATGGGAGGATTACTTGAGGCTCCGAGGTTGAGGAAGCAGTAAGCCATGATTGTACCACTGCACTACAGCCTGGACAACAGAGTGAGACCTTGTCTTAAAAAAAAAAAAAAAAAAGAAAAAGAAAAAGAAAAAAAGAAGATAATTTTACTTTGATAAGGAAGCAATCCATAAGAAAAATAATAGTCATCTCCTAATGCTATCCGTCCCCCCTCCCCCACCCCACAACAGGCCCCAGTGTGTGATGTTCCCCTTCCTGTATCCATGTGTTCTCATTGTTCAATTCCCACCTATGAGTGAGAACATGCAGTGTTTGGTTTTTTGTCCTTGTGATAGTTTGCTGAGATATACCTAATGTTAAATGGAGAGTTAAGGGGTGTAGCATGCCAACATGGCACATGTATACATATGTAACAAACCTGCACGTTGTGCACATGTACCCTAAAACTTAAAGTATAATAAAAAAAAGGGGGAGGGGAAAAAGAAAAATAATAGTCAGGAATCTTGATGTGCCAAATAACATAACATTAGGAAAAAAGTGATGAAACACAATAATAGCAGAGCAATTTAACACAGACCAAAAATATAAATAAGGATACTTAGGAGTTCAGCAATATGTACTTTGACCCTTGGAAATTTAGGCAAAATTTTTCCAATTTACTCCCACTTCCATGGCTCAGGGCTGTCAAATGCTCCCTAAAACCTCCTGACCTCACCTTCTCCTGCTTCTCTTGACTTCCTTTTTGTTTCTGTGATGTTTAAATAGGAGGTAGAGTCTGGTCCCACTGTTTTGGTAGATTATTTTCAGCCTAGCAGTCCCTATGAATCCAAATTAGTTTCCCTGCTTTCCTTAGAATTCTGATAAACAAAGGCTTTCTATCTCTTTAGGAAATTATTGTTGATAATGCAATTTTTTCCAAACTTTTTTGAATGTGAATCCCAATATGTAGAACATTTTGAGCATAGAGTTTAAATATAAATATATTTGTTAATTATTTAGACATACCACTGAATTAAAATATTGACTTCTGTGCTTTTTAGACTGATAGTCTCTATCACTTTCACTATGCACTTCTCTGTTTAAAACCTTTTCAAGTATATGCTCCCAATAGTGCATATTATTAATAATATTAATCTTCTATAATACTAATATAAGATACATGAAACATATACAAAAATAGAGAAGGGACATGATGAAAATAAATATTGAATGCAAGTTTTAATGTTTTCCTTATACTCTATTGGATAATCCTGTGTTCCCTCTGTGATGCACAACCCAGAGTGGAGACTATATTCTAGAGAAGAAGCTTCTTTTCAAGAACTCTTGATATATTAATACAAATTGTTTACATGATAGCCAAAAAGAAAAAAAATCAACAGTTTCCCCAAATAAAAGTTATATGTTAAATTCTCTAACCACCATATAATAAAAATAGGAAACAATAAGAAAAGGTTAGAGGGAAAATATTTAATTAATGGAAAGGAAAACAAAACCTTTGAGTTAGAAAGAACTTAAACCAGCAGACATGGGATAGTTAGACGAAAAGAATGAGAACATCGTTTAGCAAACTTTTGGGATATGGCTAAAACTGGACTCAAAGGTAAATACATTTCCTTAAGTGAATTCACTGTTAAAATGAGAAAGAATAAAAAAAAAAGAACAATTTACATAAGAAATTAAGAGAAAATGTATATTTTCAATAGGTAAAAAGCAATAGGTAAAAAGGTAGACAATAGGTAAAAAGCAATATTCAAGGACAAATGCAGGAAGTGATAATTTAGAAATGAGAGAAAAAGGCTGAGTGTGGTGGCTTACGCCTGTAATCCCAGCACTTGGGAGGCCGAGGTGGGTGGATCTCCTGAGGTCAGGAGTTCCAGACCAGCCTGGCCAACATGGTGAAACCCCATCTCTATCAAAAAACAAAACAAAACAAAAATTAGCAGGGTGTGGTGGTGCATGCCTGTAGTTCCAGCTACTTGGGAGGCTGAGGGAGGAGAATCACTTGAACCCGGGAGGCAGAGGTTGCAGTGAGCCGAGATGGTGTCACTGCATTCCAGCCTGGGCGACAGGGTGAGACTCCATCTCAAAAAGAAAATAATAATAATAGTAAGAAGAAGAAGAAATGAGAAACAATACAATTTACAACTAAACGCAAGAGAAGTTCCACAGATGTCAATAAAATCTCTTGCACAACTAGCAAGATGGTCAAAATATTACTACAAAACATTGGAAGTGAAAGGGGGTATTTAACTTTACAGAGTGAGTTTCTAAGAATGATAAACCAATAACCAGGTAGTTTTATAGGTACATCTTTTCTAAGTTATAATATAAATATTTAAATTTCATGATAAACTGCTTTAGAACATAAAAGGGATAGCAAAATTCTTATAATTTCATACCAAAATTATATAAAGACAGAAAACTTGAGACCATTCTTACTTTTGAATGTAGTAAGAATGTTGTATATTTAAAAAAAATTTAGGATACTAAGTCCAATCTTAAGATAATAATTCACCATGAGCACACAATTATTTCAGGACTGAAAGATAGCTTAATATTAGGAAATCTATACTAAAAATTAAGTTTCTGTTTTTTACTGTGTCATGCAAACATGCCTGAGTGAATTTCCCCCAAATTGTGAGGGTGTGTTTGAAATTGTTTGCCCTAATATTGTCTGTTTCTGTGGTGTATAAAAAAAATCACTTTGTGGGAGTGAGAATCTAGACAGACCTCAAAGAGGTTATCAGTCATTCTTCAGAGCAGCTGAGGGCAACGAGAGGCTCATGGTATCCATATTTAGCCGTTACAACTCAGAGGAAACAAATGGTAGCTTCATATATGAGTCCCCATTGAAATCCACAAGGGCAGACACTCCAAATTACTGGCATTAATTTGTAATCAAGCTGCTTTTCACATGGGCAATTCCTTACAGTGTGTGACAGGGAGAGAAACAGCAGAGATATGCTTATTTAACAATGGTCAATGATTTTCTAAAGTAATGTCAGTGGAGCCAAGAAGTCAACTATTATAATGTAAGAATAGGACAAATGTAAAAAGCAATATTATCATCTTGATGAAAATTATAAAATAATTTGATAAGACTCCATATGTACTTCTGATTTTAAAAATCTTAATTAATATGGGCTTAAAGTCTCTACTCATCAAAATTCCTGCCTTACACTAACAGCCAAAGCCATAGATACTAGTTAAATACAAAAGGCATTTTCATTGACATTAAGAATGCCCCTTATCCACGAGAGGCCTCATTTCCCCAGTTGTGATAATCAAAAATACCTCTAGACATTACTGAATGCCCCCTAGGGGGCAAAATCATCCCTGCTTGAGAATAACAAATCTATGTTGAGAATCACTGTTTTAGAAATTCTAGTAAGTGCAATGAGACAAGAAAAAAATTACAACTTGTAACTACTGAAAGAGAGGATTATAATTACTTTCAGAAGGTGTGTTTATCATCTTCAGAAACTTAACAGAATTAACCAGAATTGGAAGTAATAAAAAGAGTTCATTAAGGAGGCTGAATATGGAATAAATATACAAAAAAAATTTATCCAAAATTCAAACAACAACCAGTTAGAAAATATAATGGACAAAGATTTTATTTCAATAACAAAAAATAGAAAATCCTAGGTAATAAACTTACCAGGCTATGTTCTGGAATACATATGAAGGAAACATACAATTTATCAAAAAAGGTGTTCTTGGATCCACCTCCAAGAATGATCTTTTCAAAATGAAAACATGTTACTGATTGCTTAACACTGTCAATGGCTTCCCATTGTCTTCAAGACAAAGACCTAAGTTTAAAACATGTCTCTTCTGGCTCCTGCTGACTCATGCAGAGCTTTCCTTCTGCTCACTCCCTGGGCTTCAGAAGGACCCAAAATATTTGAACACAGCATCACATGCCATCCAATTCTGCTGTTTTTCAGGTGTATGCCCCAGAACTTTCATCTTACACAACACAGTTTTCAGCTCCATGACTGCCCCATCACTCTTCTCTCTATATATTCCATTAACCAATCAAAGTTTCTCCTTAAAGTAGGGATCTGGATCTGAATGCAGTACACTGAGTATAGTTTGACCAGAGCAAAATTTTGTCCCCTCCTTAATATTTTACCTATTTATTAACATAGAAATACATATGGACCTATATTTCATTCCTGGCTGTACCAATTATTAGCAAGACATGTAACCTCTTTGATCCTCAGTTTCCCCTTCAATAGGATGATGATAACAGTACCTTCTAACAGGGCTGTGATATTAGCTATTACCTAGCACATGTTCTTTTCGCTTTTTTGTGTCCCTATTAGTCACATTCCGAGTCTTCTACCTTCTTTTTTCCTTCATCCCATGGCTATTGTTCATGACAATATGACATCCTGGCTGGATTGTCATTGAAGCTGACTGGCTGGGCTCCTTGCCTCCATCTGCTCCCCTCAAATCCTATTTGCAGAGTGATCTTTGTAAAATGCAGGTTATATAAAATAACTTCCCTTTCAATGCATTTGATGGCTCTTCAATGCATCCCAAAAGTTATCTGCAGTTGGGCTGCATCTACTTTTCTGGCATCCTCTCCCACTCTCTCTCTCTGGGTATCCTATACCCTAGTCTGGCTCATCAGTTCCTTCTCTTGCAAAACCATCACCTGAGAAAGGAAAATATTTCCATATGGACATTTCTGCTCCAATTGCCCTCTTCTAGAGGATTTCTCAACCAAGACAGAAAAGAGTACAGCAGAATGTCTCCTATTGGAGCTACACCAGAGAGAGGGACCAAGGAAAGGCAGTGGGCTGGCCAGGACAACAAGCTGGATTCAGGTGGGCTTCTCTCCCAGAGCCAGGGAACTGGCCCTGGGGCTCTGGAGGCCCCATTTATGAGCACAACAACCTCCCCTCACCTCATTGGTCACGGACACTTCCATTTCATGGTCAATTGACCATAATTTCAATTATGTAGGAAGCTTTTATTTTGCATGCAAATTCCAAAATGACTCAGAAATCTGTGGAGAGGCCTATGTATAAAAGACTAGGAGTTTAAGTCTGAAAGGTGGGAAATGCTGCATTTTTTACATAACCATCCTTACCAGCCCCAGCACACTCAGAGGGTGTAGTGAGTAGCAATTATTGAGAGAATATCGCAGGTAAAATGTCTGGCACATAGCACATACTAAATATTAGTGGGTCGAATGGTTTTTATTTATTTTAGCAAGGTCATTTAGCTAAATGTATATCTAAGACATGTTTATATCTTAAAACACTTTGCATATTAATGCATTTACAAATTAGAAAAAATGGTTAGACTAAGAGTCTTGAGGGTTTAAAAAATTTTTATTTTACTGTGATAAGATCACATAATATGAGATCTAACTTCTTAACAAAATTTTAAGTGTATAATACAGTATCGTTAACTGAAGGGACAAGGTTGTACAGCAGATCTCTAGCACTTATTTATCTTGTGAATCTCCAGTTTTGATTTGGAAATTCAGACTCCAATTTAAATAAGAGGATTTTAGCCTTAGATGGTGTAAGTTTCTCCCTCTTCCTCCCTCTGCCATGGCTTAAGCTGACAAAGCAAACTCCAAGCAGAATGGCTGCAAAGCAGGCTGTCCAAGGTCTGACCCCATGAGCGGCTCAATAAATGGTAGAGAGGCCCTATGGACAAGAGGTTCTCAACCTTGATTGCTCATTAGGATTACCTGGGCAGCTTTTAAAAGCCTTGATTCCCAGGCAACCTTTCAGGCAAATTGAATCAGAACCTCTTGGGGAGGTGGGGGAGAGAAGACAAAGGAGTTTTTCAAGCTCCCCAGGAACTCCAATATGCAGCTGAGGTTGAGAATCATCATTCTACTGGTGCCAAGACACTATAGTTTTCCTTTTGCTTATAAGGCCCTTGTAAAAAAAGACTTCCCTCAGTGTCCAGCCTTCTGCCTTCAGCCATGTTAGGACACAGTGTTCCTCCCCTCAGGAACACTCCCCTCAGAAGGACACAGCATCAAAGCATCCTCTTAGATACAGAGAACAGCCCTCATGAGGCAACAAGCCTGCTGGTGCCTTGATCTTGGACTTCCCAGCCCCCAGAAATGTGAGGAAAAAATTTCTGTTCTATTTAATTCTGTTCTATGTAATTTCTGTTCATATATAATTCTGGTCTATATAATTTGTGTTCAGACATTCTGTTATAGCAGCACAAATGTACTAAGATGACCACTATGACACTGTCTTTAAGGAGAAAGAAGGGACCTAAGGTATGCCAAGAGCCGGCTATTTATCAGACTCTCTGTGCTGGGAAATTTCCCTACACTGAATCCTCATAACCACACTGTAGGTATTATCATGTCCATTTTCAGGTGAGGAATCAGCAGCTCAGAGGGGTGAAGTGACTTGCCCGGGGTCACTTAAGCCCCATTAAGTGGTGGAGCCAGGAGATGAAGCAGGTTTGTCTGGCTCCAAAGCTGTGGTCTTTTAGTTCCATCAAGTTGCCAATCATGTCATGCCTCAAGTGGGTTTTTGGCTATTAGTTCCCTATCCTAAAGCTGAATGGAATGGTGTTTATGCTCTTCTCTGTTTCCAGAGGGGAAAGCGTGAGATAAACAAGAGCTGAGATAAAAGGACTATCATGCATCTTTGTTCCTGATCTTAATGAATCTTCTGTAATAACTTCAGGACTCAAGACATCCACATTACATGCAATCCGGCATGTATACTCGTGCACAAACACCTTCACTCATACACAGAGATGTGCACTCACATGCACAGATACCTTCACTCGCACACAAACACAGGTATACATATATTTACATGTGGTCATTAAACAAATTCCTATGGAGAACCTATGATGTACCAGGCACTGAACAAGTATATTTACCTGATTATACAAGGAGATGGCTTGTTGAAGAAAAGGTTAAATGTATAAACTCTGAAAACATATGACTTGGATTTTGAGTCCAGTTTCCCAGCTGTGTAAACTCAGTCAAGTCACTTAACTGGAAACTTTTTCTTTTCCTGCCATTATTATTATTATATATAAGAATTTTTACATGCATCTCTCTGAGTGTGGAGTGAGAGGGAACAGTTTTCAGGCCAGTGTCCTCAGCGTCTCTCCCTGAAGTCGGTTGAGGCTCCCGTGGCGGCAGCGGTGTCTGCCCTGATCCCTCTCATGCTGAGGTGTCAGCTTCCACAGGGATCAGGTATCAAGCCAGGACCTGCCAAGGCCAGCCAGAGGAGACCTGGAGGCTGGGGGTGTTGGTGTGGGTGTGTAGCAGGGTGCAGGCATGAGCTTGAGCTGCCCCCACCTCGACTCTTCCTGATTCCTTGAGCAGCAGGGGCAGGCATGGGCATCCTTTCTTCTTCTTGGAATTTGCCTTGCCGCTCCCAGGGCTAAGGACTTGCCTGCAGCCTCCTAGACAGACAGACAGACAGACAGATGGACAGCCAGCCAGCCAGACATCTCCAGGGAGGTAGCCCAGTGCTATGGTTAAGAGCATGGGCTCTGGCCTTGGACCTACCTGGGTGACTCTCAGCCTCCCTCTATGCTTAGCTCACAGCCTGATGCACAGTTACAGATCTCTGATGTCCAGTGATGGGCATACATTCACTTGCCTTGTTTTAATATTGAGGCTTATTCAGTTTTCTTGGCTTTAGTCCTTAAAAATAAATCAAAACTGATTTAGAGAATGTTTGGGCTTATCAGAAAGTCATTATCCCCTGGCTGTCCTTAGCAAGACCTCACAGCATCACAGTGGAAACAAAGTATGCTAAATTGAACAAACAGATGGACATGGGCCCTATGCCCGGAATCACCGGAGACCCTTAAGGAACCCCTTTGGTGGAAGAGCTGCACCAGTGTTGGGCTGAGGAGTCAGCAGACCTGGATTTGAGTCTGGACTCCAATACTGTGCAATCCTGGATAAGTTACTTAACCTCTCTGAGTCTCAGCTTCCTTTTCTCCACTTTGAGTAATGGTCTCAAACAGTGTGTTTTAAACCACTTACTTTAATCTGCTGTCTCATGTCCGAAACAAGGTCAAATCCCCCTGTTGGGGATGTTCATCATAATTATTCTTTCCTCTATAGGCCTCATCCCTATTGTTGTCATATATTTGTTTGGGGGATCATTTGATTACAGTTTATTTCACTTGAATACAAGCTCCATGAACAAGAACCTCATCTGACTTGCTCATTGCTGTAAATCCAGGCTAGCCCAGGGCCTGGCACATAGTAGGTGGTCAGCAAATATTTGTCAAATGATGAATTTAGGAGTGGCCAAACTCATCATCCAGTCAGTTACAAAAAGTAGCTTGTGTCAAGAGTCACTGGGGACATCATGTCACTAGACAGCCCAGTATAACTGCCTCTGTGCCTCCAGGCTGAGCTGCCTCAGACAGAGCAAGAGAACGCTAGGGAAGTCAAGCTTCTTCTATCCTGTAGGGTCATTCCCATGGTGCTTAGTGGGAAGTCTGGGCTTGGTGACATTATGTGTGGGCTCTTGTCTTCCTATGTGAGCCCTGCAGGGAAGGCAGTGTTTCCAGGACAGAGCCTGGGTCTGGGAGTTGGGAATCAGAGCCTTGCTGACATAGCTTCAGGACCTAAGGTGGAAATGCAGACATCTCTGATAATAGTGCCATACCACCCAATTGTCATGAGGATTCAATGAGATCATGCAACTGAAGCATCAAACAATGGTAGCAATGATAGGGATTATAGCACATTGAATAAAAGAAGAATCTCTGAGCCCATAGTGTTAGCGATAAATAAATAAATACATAAATAGATGGGGAGAAGGGAACACTCTCCTTTACAGTATAATGTCACTCAGAAATGTAGAAGATGTGATGGATTTGGAAAAATCACCATTTTGCAACCATCCTAGTATAATTGATTTAGGCAAGAATTATCAATAGAGACTAAAACAAGTGCAAGGATACTTATATCATCTCACAGTATCTTCCCACAAATCACTGATAAATCACAAAGGGAAAATAATCTTTTTATGGTGGAGAAACCAGGGATGACCACCTTAACCAAGTGATTGAAGTCAACATCACCAGTGGGACAAGTAGAACACATTGAGAAGGATACAATATCACTTTTGTGTTATGTAAGCCAAAAATGCGTGACTGGAATCTAATCATGAAGTATCATCAGACAAACATAAACTGAGTTATCTTCTATGAAATAACTGGCTTGAACTCTGCAAAAATGTCAAGGTCATGGAGGGCAGAGAGAGGCTAGGGAACAGTTCCAGAATGGAGGACTCAAAAGAGTGATCCTGAATTGGACCCTAAACTGAGAAAATAAATGGCTATGAGGAGCATTCTTTGGAGAACTGGCAAAATTGGAATATAAACTGTGAACTAGATAACAGTACTGCATCTATGTTAATTGCCCTATCTCCATCATGGTACTGTGGTATGTAAGAAAATGTCCTTGTTCTTGGGAAATTCACCCTGAAGTCTTCTGGGGCTGAGGGGGAAATGAGATAAGCCAAGGCCTTGGCTCCTGGCTTAACTAGAGACTGATACAAACAAAGCTACCTTCTTGGGTGTTCCTAGGAAATATGCCCCTCCTAGAGGAACTCAGCCATTTGAGGAGAGATGAGGTGCTGCTATGCTCTGCAGACAGAGGTGAACTGACTACAATTAGCCCTCAGAGCTATGCCACCAACTTAGTATGTCTGGGGAATGGGGATTCTTGGCCGTGATAATCCACAAAACTTCCCTCCCCGGTGCCATCAGCTCCCTGTCACTCAGAGAACGGGCCAAAGACATAATGTTCTTCTGTTTATGTACCAACCGTGCTCCCAGTCAGAACCCGCTAGAAAATACATCCAAACAAAATTAACTTGACAGGGAAATGGATATTTGAATGAAGCCTCTGCTTAAAACAATAATTTATCATGTTGCATCGTACATCTCTACAAAACCAGGATCACGGGTGGCTTAGCTGAAATGAGGGAATTCATTACTCCCGAAACATCTCTGGGACTCATTTCACAGGAGTCAGGGGTTGTGGGGAATGAATGAGGGAACAGACATCGACCAAGCCCCCCACATGTGCCAGACAGACACTGTTGAACTGTTTTCATGTATAGCCTCATTGAATCGGCACAGTTATCCTGAAGACAATTATCCATGCCCAACCTCATGAATAAGGAAATGGAGACTCTTTGGAGTCTGAGGGCCCAGCTTGAGGTCACCCACCTAGGACATTATGGGCCAGTGTTTTGAGGTGGTAAGAGTCACCATTACCCTTATCAAGGCCAGGATGGGATACCTCACTCCCTGCATAGCTTTCTGACCTCCTGAGCAAGCCATATTTTTATTTGTTGGTATGAGAAACCACAAACCCTGTCCTGGCCCCAGGACACATACACCTCCTGGATGCTTTTACAGATGTCCAGCAGATGCTGGATAACCACAAGTGAAGTGGAGTGGAGTGAGGAGTCCCAGTTAGAGAGCTCAAGAAGGTAGTTCATGTTATTTACTCAATCATTTACTCATTCATTCATTCATTCTGCAAACACAAATTGAGTTCTTATTATGTACTTAACACTGGAGATATAACATGGAGCTTAGAGTCTAGAGTCTCAAAGTCTGGTCCCTGGACCAGCAGCGGCATGTGAGAACTTTTAGAAATGCAAATTCTCAGGCCCCACAGCAGACCTATTGAGTCAGAAGCTCTGGGAGGTGAGGCCCGGCAATCTATGTCTTAGCAAGCCTCCACGTGATTCTGATGTTAAGGTTTGAGAACAACTACACTCAAGGGCACATAAGACGACAGGTTGTGATAACAATTGGGACAGAGGTACTTGACAGCTTGGGGCTCTGACTGTTGTAAACAGAGCCCAGAATTGCATAGAGATGTCCTTGTCACTTCCATCATGTCTGGGCATCTGGTCTTTTCTTGCCCCCCAGACTATGCAAAAAGTGACTCACAGCCTAATTTAGCCTGGGTACCCTGGTCTTGCTAGGAGCCCAAGGATGCCTTGTGGGACTATGGTGGGGACAGCTGACAGGAAGAGAGTCAACTGGGCCTCAAAATAGCAAGTTCCTTCTTAGGTCATATCTCCCCTTCATTGAGGAAGGATATTTGTAAGTCAACCAGAATTTGCAATAATCAATGTTTCAGTTTGGTGGCATAAAAAACTGGGCATGGGGTTTGAGAAATACTTGGGATGATAGTTCACAAATTTTAGTGTGCAAACAAATCTTACAGGGAGTTTGTCAAACAGACTGCCAGGCCACACAACCAGATGAGTCTGGCAGATCTCGGGGATGCCCAGAATCATATAAGCCCCGGGTTGATCTCAGGGCAGGTGGTTGGAGGAAGACCCTTGGTGAAATGTAGTCTTGTGAGATATGCTCACAGGGGCCAACTCTCAGCTTGAGCTACATGCCCAGGCTTCTAACCCGACCACCCCTGGATTCTGGACACCTGGAGACACGTTTGTGGTTCAGTACGGTTTTCTCGGAAGCTGATGAGTAACTATTCTCATCTTATGGGTGATATCAGGGATTAGAAAGGACTTTAGCTTGGCTGGGGAGCGGTTAATAGCCCTTTATGCAGCAGAAAAACAATGAAGGCATTCTCGTTTTATAAAAGTCGCTTTGAAATCTAATTAGAATATGAAAGTTGAGATCTTAGTCTATTTTTAAGCAGAGCATGAGTTCAGCAGGAATAATCAATGCTGAAGCTGTGAGCCGCCCGTCAGCCTTTCACTGGGGCAGGCAACAAGCTTCCTTCTGGAAGTGTCCTTGGTAACGGGACAAGTAGATAGAGAAGTAAGGGACAAGAATCAGAGACAGATGAGGGCTCTACCTATGCGGGAACAGCTAGGGGCAGAGATGGGGAAGGCCGTGAAATCTCCAGACCCTCTCAAATGTCCCCTCTGACACACCTGAAGGCAAAGAGTGGGTAGCTAATGTGTGGTTGGTGTGTGGACTCCTCTGTTGGATTAGAGGAAGCAAATACATCTTATTTTGACTGTCAAGGATAGCTGTGGGGGTGGTTTTGCAAAAAAATGAATTGTTGGAGGCAGATCCTAAATTGAAGCTCAGCCCTGCTCACTGACTGTGTGATTTGGCAAATCTTGAAATCTTTCTAAGCCTCAGTTTTCCCATCTGTAAAATGATGGTACTAATACTGACCTTAGGAATGCTTAAATGAAATTATAATAGCAATCATAGCTAATATATATTGAGCATTTACTATGTGCTTTATGTGCACACATTATTTCAGTTGGTCTTTACAACAATCCTATGAGGTTTAGGGAGGTAGAGGGACTTGCCTTATTAATGCAAGGAAAGCATTCAGGATAGTGTCTGGTACAGAATAGATACTCAATTAATATTCATTTCCTTTCCCCCTCCCAGGGGAAGTTAAGGAGGCTCATTTTTGGAGAACTGAGAACTCTCTGCTGCATTTCCCCAGCAGGCAGTGACAGCCAATTGCTTAAGTCTCCTGAGCCATAGCAAGGGTTGCAAAATCACTGGTGGGGTATTTCTGATCCTGGGACTGTCAAAGGCATAGCAGGCAGATTTGTTGGCACCTGCATGAGCCAGATTGCATAGAACCCAGAGACACTCATGTGACAACTGTGGGGACTTGTCCCAGGAACATCCCACCCAGATTTGCCTTCCTTGAAGAAAAGTAATGCAAAAGGCCATTTTTCACTTTTAAATAGCTTTCATTCTACGTCTTAATAAATGCACGTTTGTTGATTTGTGTAAGCATGATGTGGGAAGTCTGCAAATGGATGTAATCTGCACCCAGGGCACATGTAAGCACCAGCAAGCACTTTTGAATAATGAATCCCTCCCGTAAAAGACGGACGCTATTCATAATAATTCCTTGCTTTTCTCATTTTGCTGCGTACAGTAGCGATTAATCAATTTGCAATGTTATGTCACCCGCAACAAATTGCTAGCACCAAGACAAATTTATTGCTTTATGATAAAAGAACTTGTTTAGGTAGAAATAAATTAAATTTGGGGGCTTGTGATTTGGGTTTGATGTTCATATAGATGACCCATGGAGAGTGGGCTGGGGAGGTGAGAGGTCCAGGTGATTCCTGCCTTGACCTGGCACCCAGGAGAGGCGTACAAATGCAAGAGGGTGTTTGCTCAGTTACGGACCCAGAGACAGTGCAGCTCTGATGGGAGAGAGTAATGCCGAGAGCTTGCGGTAGTTCTCGGGAACGTCTGCCGGGCTCTCCGTGTCAGTCAGTGTAATTTACAGCTTTTAACAGAGAGATATGGACAATCAGCAGTGCTCAAGGGAAGTAACCCTCTTCTCCTTCTAGGCTTCTCCTGAATCCTAAGATCCCAATTTACCTCAAAGTGACAGTGAAAGGAACCTACATGATAAGAACTGGGAATGAGGATCAGAGGTTAGAGGGTCAGAGAGGTCCTGATTCCTTTATTTATCTATGCTTCTGGAATATTAAATATCACAGAAAAAGAGGCGCAAATGGTATTATCAAAATTGTGGTGTAATAAATATTACATTTAGCCAATGAATGCTTTTAACACACGCACACAATTTAATTCTGTATAATTATTGCCGACACTGTCAAATCTTCAATTTGAGGCCTTTCCTGGTTAAAAAAAAAAAAAAGCTGGACTGAATGGATGTTGTGGTCCCGGCCATGGCAAGGGGGATTTGGGGACATGCATTCCCATTCCTCTATATCAGATTAGTAGGAAAGCAGCTCAGGGAAGCACTTTGCCTGAGGACCCAGAATCAGGGGGTGTCACAGTAGCACTGGGCTTCCAGGACGCCACACACGTTTGTCATTAATTTATACTCCATTAATTTGGAATCTGCAGTGGAATCAAGGGTGGATGCATTAATTCTGCCCTCTCCCAATACACACACACACACACACACACACACACACACACACACACACATCACTCTCAGGACCAGGGCTTTTTCTTAAGCCATCTGATAGTCTAAATGATTTGTGAAAAGCAGGTTTCAGTTAGGAACAACATCAGTTCCATTGCCCATGGAAATGGATTTCTCTGCCCCAGCTCATCAAAATCCATTCCTTTCTGTTCTTAAAGCAGGCCCTGGGATCACCTCCCTAAATGCCTTGATACACCCTGTCCAACTGCCAGGGAGAGAGCCCCAGTGAAATTTTAGGGCCATGGACTCTGTCATCCTAGTCTGGTTTCAGCCTCGAGGGAGGGGGGTGTGAAGGCCTGCTGCCTGCAGAGGCTTCTGCAGCCTTTCTACAGGATCTGGGCAATCTCTTGGCCGCTCTGAAACCCGACGTCCACATCCAGAGCTTCGTGAACAATGCGGGGCAGAGCACTGAAGCCCTCTGGCAGCACCCTTTCCACTGCCTTGTGGCCAGGGGGGCCCACGGCAGCCTCCGAGGGTGCTGGACTCACCTGATGACGGCTTCTTTTATTGTCTTCCCTTCTGCCTGCTTGCTGGGCTCCAGCCAGCCCAAGTTCCCTCATGCGCCTGTCTGGGCCTGCCCAATCCGTGGCCACCTCCTCAGCTGGTCCTGCACAGGCTCCAACCCTGTTGGGGTTGCATATCCCCTGTTTGTGCTGCCCGCCAGCTGGCTAATTCTGATTATTTCTCCTTCTCCTTGCTCTCTTGGGCGCCTTTATTCCTGATTGTGCATTTTCTCTGGACTCAGGATTAAAAAAACCCACGCTGCTGATATCCTTGTCAGCCTTTTCCTGAATCATTGCTGTGCAGCTCCAGGGAGCCACGGGCCGGTGCCTTCTGACCGGCAGACTCCGTCCATGGGCCTTCCTGTCCTTGGGGTCCTGGAGCTCTCTGTCTGAGCCTCCTTGGCCACTGAAGCAACACCCAGAGGCCTGCATCCTCTAAGAAATGCCAGCCAGGGTTGCAGATGGAGCCAAGAATTGAAAATCTGGCCGAGTCTTTCCATCTCACAGGTGATTTCTCTCAAGCACCAGATAATTTTTAAATTTTGAAGTGCTTTTCTCCACGTGATCTCATTTGCTGTTATTGTCCCTGTTTTACAGATGAGCAAGCTGAACCTCAGAGGGCTTAGTGATGTGGTTGAGGCACAGCCACCAAGGATCAATGACTGAGGTATGGGGGAAATAATCATTTCTACCTGACAGATGAGGAAACTGAGGCTCACGTTGCTCAAAGGGCTTGTCCCAAATCATACAGCAGTAAGAGGTGGTGATAGAAGTGGGTTTCAGGCACTGCAGCCTCCAGGCCAGAGGTACAGAGTCAAGCTCGGTTGCCCACACCAGCCCTGGTCACAGGGGCAGTACCCAACTCTGGACAGGGTTCTGTTCTGCATTGTGCATAAAAAATCAGGTCAGTCCAGCAGGGAAACACCCACCAGGCAGTATTCAAGAGCCCCAAGTCCAGGAGTCAGAGGTGGCCAGGGGCTGTCCTGGTTACTCCCATCTCCTCCTATGAACACAGGGCTTGGTGGGGGGTTTGTGTTTGTATTTCGGGGGAAGAGGCTGGTTAACTCCTCAGCCCATCATGCTGCTTGGCCTGTCTCAAACTGCTCTGGGGACGACAGAATAAATATGACTGGGTGGTAACAGGGGTTTCCACACATTATGGTTCAGGTCCAGCCCATGAGAGACTCAGGAGGAAGGTTCCATGTAGCAAATGCCCCTTCGTCCAGGCAGCCCTTCCTGACTCTTCAAGACAGAGCAGATCCTTCCTTCCCGGTCCCCCGGAACCTACTTCTGTGAATCATGACATTCCCACTGATGGGACCAACTGTTCCCCCATCATCCTTCACCTCAGCTGAGTCATAGGCACAAAGACCTCCATGGGTCCATAGATGCTAGTCCTGGGACCAGCCATGGTCACTCATACACATGCCCACCCACCCTCATCCTCACAGAGAGACACAACTGCAGAGAGACACTGTCCCACACATCACTCTCAGATGCTGTGTGGGCACATACGTGCACATGCACACACACACACTCACACACACCCCTGCAGACAAGCACAGACCCACTTAGAGACAAAGTCTGTCCATGTCTATGCATAGACAGACATCTGTTCCTACACCCGGTATTCTGTGTGTCCTCCTTAGAACAGAGGCCACGGCTGATGGCATGGCCTATGGGGATTTGGGATTTGGCTTGCTCAGGTCTGAAGCTTCTTGGGTGGCAAGCTCTAATGCTGGGAACTTCTTTCTGGACTGGTAGCCTATTCCAGCTGGGGCCTCTCTTTGCCCTCTCTTCCCAGACAGCCCAGCCGCAACTATCTCTAGGTAGAATCTGCCCGCATGCACTCCCAATCAGATAAGCATCCTTCTTTTAGGCCCCTGGGGCCCTGTCACCACCAGCCTTGCCACCTCGGCACTTTCTCAATAACTCACAGAGGTCAGCTGTTGCTCACTTGGGGATTTTTTTCCCCTTCTCCTCTGATGCTCTGCTTTCCCTGAGAACAAATACCTGTCCCTGGGGCTCAATGGGTCAACTGGCTAAAAGAGGAAGGATAGGTCAGGGTCCCTGCTGACATCTGGCTTGTGCCCTGCCACAAAGGTGCTGTGAGTCCTAAGAGCGGGGCACAGTGATGGAGCACGGATCCTAGAGTCTGACCGGCTTGAGCTTAAACCCCAGCTCTGTCCCCTCTCAGCTGTGTCACTTTGGACTGCCACTTGACCTATGCAAGCCTTGATTTCTGCTTCTGTAAAGTGGGCATGGCCATTTGAATCTTACAGGATTGCTGAGAGGCTTAGATGAGGTTAAACACATGTAAAAAATACTTATATGACGAGTACTCAAAAAATGTAAGTGAATGACGATTATGGCAACTGAAGTGTAATTGAATTGTTGTTACAGGAATTGCCCTACCCCTATCTTCATGGCCTCTTAGGCCCTGTGAGACTCAGACAAGTTCTGAGCAGTGATTCAAAGAAGGTACAGCCTCCAGCCTTCAGCAGAGGAGGCAAATGAAAGGCTGGCAAGGGCCTGGGCCTCTCTTGCAAAGCAAGAAAGAGCTGGGACGGGAAACAGCTCCCTTTACTGACATGGGCTGTTTCTAGGAAACCTGTCACCAGTCAGTTACTGCCTGTAAAGCCCAAGGGATCACTCTTTTTCTATGAAACCAGGAGGGAGAAAACTCATGGATAAGGAGCCCTATCTAGATAAGAGCTTCATCTGCACTGATCATTTTCACGTATATTATCCCATTTAATCTCAAAACAATTCAGCAAGGAGGAATTATTACAATGAAGGAAGCTGAGGCTCAGAACAATAACATGGCCTGTAAGTGACATGGCTGGGGCTTGAACCCTCAGTATCTGACTTCACATGATGGGTTGTTCCCCAGCGTCCTGGCCACCTTTAGAAAGTGAACAGCAGAAAAAGTGAACAGAATGGAAATGATGAAACCAGCTTCCTTGTCCTCAGAGGCAAGATGCTGAACAAATCCATCCTGTAAGCAATACTTAGAGCGAATCTTACTCCACAAAACAATTTAGACAAAGACCTAGTTTATGCAGCTGAATATGAAATATGGCTTGTGTCTTAAGACATTTGTATAAAAAGACTATTTCTTTACTGTCACAGCCTCAAAACCACCTCTTCTGAGAGTACTGCTTTCTTACCCGAGGATGGCCCATCAGGGTGATCTGGAAGGCAGAAGACGGGAGTTTTTCTGTGAACTCACTGTGGTGGGGGTGGTCCTTGGGTAAGTTTCATTCTGTCTGCACCCCAGTTTCCTCTTCTATAAAAGGACATGGTTTTCTGGGGTGATTTCTCTGGGTAACTTCTAATTTCCCCTAAACCATGGCTATATTCTCCAACGCAGAACTCATATGAGATCAACAAAGTATGTTTTTCCAACTTATGAATTTCTTTACTAGAAAATCCTAATGAAGGCAGACCACGTAAATAGCATTTGGTTAATGCATTTAGAAAATCCAAGAATAAATTCACATCGGGTATAGAGGCCTAGGTATAAATGGCTGCCCCCTGTCTGACTCTATGACCATCAGAAAAGAAGAACTTTTGGTTTCTGAAGCCTGTGTCCTTGTCACTGATTTAAGTCCTGGCTCTCCTCCATTTAGAGAAGGCAGCAAGGTTCCTGGCCCGAGGTGAACTATCCACCTTTATCCCTGTCTGTGGTGACTGAAAACTTTTGCAGGATTCTTCCTTCTTTCAGAAACAGAAGCACTGGGGGTGGGGAGGACATGGGCAGCAGGTGTGGCCCCCTGGCTGTCCCATGAGGACTGCTGCTAAGGAAGACACAGGCCTGGAAGTGGATTCTTATGGCACCTTCTTTGGTGGGGGGGCCACGGGAAGGAAGGGCGTCAGCATCTGGCTACTGCTGCCAGCAAATCTGTGTGTTGACAGAGTTGCTCCCACATGTGTCCTTTTAAACGCTGATCCCTGCTAGGGATTTGAGTTGACCGACTCCGTTTGCCAAATGCAAATGCATTAACCTTACAATTGGGTAATCTAATAAAAAGGATCAATGGTCTGATTCGGTGCTTATGGAGTCATTTACTGCAAGTGAGAGCAATTGAGCCAGGATGAGCAGCGTTGGGGAGCCCAGAGAATGGCTTCAGGCGGCCATCCCCGCTGACTTCCCCAGGCGAGGCCCACTCTGCCTGGAGGGGCTGGGCCAGGTGGTCAAGGGAATGAGGAGGGTGTTATTCATTCATTACTGCCACTTTAATCACTTAGAAGTTCAATTAAGTATAAATCATTAGTGGTATTTCAAGTTACTTTATCCAGGCCTGTGCGTAACACACTTGACTGGCGGTGGGGAGTTTTCTGTGACTAGATTTAGCGTGCGACTGAACAAGGCAGTCATATGGGTTTTTCTGCTATGAAATTGATAAATGAAGCGGGCATTCGAGGTACAGCAGTAATTTCTGTGGTGCAGTCAAGTGCTCGCTCCCTTGTCTCCTCTAGCAATGAGGGCATGGGCCCCTTTAATATGGCAGCTTTCCCCTGGGGGTCCAAAGGCCAGGCTGGGCTGCAGGCCTAGGGTTTATTTCCTTGCAGAAGTTCCCAGAGTGAGCCCTGGTTCATTAGCAGGAATATACCTGGGAAGGAAAAAAATAAATAAATAAAAGGAGAAGGGGAAAAAGAAGGTTCCCTCACCCTCGTTCACCAGCGCTGATGCTGTCATGATTTTTTTCAGAGTAGCAAGCAGGTAGTGCTGGAAGGACGGAATCGGGCTATCTCGGCAGCTCGTTCCGACTTCCCAAGGATGCAGTTGTCCCCAGTGGCCAGCATCCCTGTCTGGAAAGCATATTTTCTCCTAATCGGTTTTACAGCTCTTTTAAGGTAATATGTCAGATCATTTTCCCCATATACATAGTTAATGAAAGTAACCCTACAAATTCATTTTAAATAGATGGAAGTTGTTATAACCCTGATCCAGAATTTATTACGTTCATTACAATCTTGCTGAAGTAGGTAATGTAATGGACTATTACTTTTATTATCTTTTTAATCCCTCAGAATTATTAGGAACTAACTAATATTTGGCATCACCCTGTTAATGTTTAAACAGAAATTGATACTTTAATTCGTCTAGTAAATGATGGAGGCACTTTGAGTGGAAACAAAAGCCTGATGGGATTTATCTCGATCAGTCCCAAAGACTTTTAAGTGGGACTCAGGGGTCTGAATGCAATTATTTCCAGGCAGGGTATCTTCATCAAGTACTCAGAAAGGACAGAGGAACAGAGATGGCGATAGTGACAGAGAGACCCAGACGGACTCTCTTGTCAGACAGCAACAACAACAAGGCAGAAAAGAGAAAGAGAGAGAAATTCCACTCATACATTCACGTGTGAATTCTGATTCACAAAAAATTAGAGTTCAAGCTCTGATTCGGGCTGATAACTCCAGCAATGAGCTCTATGTATCTTTTCCTCCTTGCCCTTCATCTTCCCTTCCCCTCCTCCCCAGATTAAAAAGATTTTTTTCTTTATAACCATCCCTCTCTTAGTAATCAGCTTTATGGCTAAGAATTCTCAAGTGCTCTAGAATTCGTGCGTTGCCGAGACAAATGATTGGGCCACATTCTCCTAGTGAGGAGTGGAGACCCTGTTTGCTCCTTAAAAAATAATGATGGCTGCTCAATTTGCAAATTACCAAATCTCACTGTGCAATGGGAGGGGGCGGGAGGGGGCATACTGTTGTGTCTATTCCAGAAGAGGCTGTGTTTACCCTCTAGAACTCCGTTTCCTGCCGGGCGGGTGACAGGTAGGATTTAGGAGAAATTGATCTCTTGCACTTTCTAGCTTTTATAGGGCAAAATGCAAAGCTGGTTACTAAAAGAAAATTATTTTTTAAGTAATAAAAATCTATTAGTTCTAACAGAATGAGAGGAATAAAGTACTTCCCTTTCTGGTTTGATAATAAAAGACATTCGGGAAAGGAAAAGCTGTCATCTTGAAAGGCAAGAGTGTGTTTTCTAACAAAGAAAGCTTCCAGTTAGCAAAGTCATTAATTAGCACAGAGAAGCTCATTAGAATTTAAAGCTGCTTTACTGCGTAGTGTGGCTTTGCTCTCTCTAAATGCTCGGGGTTTCCAAAGCAAGAAAAGTATTGATTAAATTGACTCAGCATGAAATGTACCCCATTTGTGCCGACCCATAAAGAGGTGGGCTTCTCGGCTTTCTTAGCAGAAGAACCTGCCAGGTGTCCTGTGAGCTGGGCCCAGGTGGGTGGGCTGGGGACAGCATCCTGCCTGCCTGTACGCTTACTTACTTTGAGGGACCGACCGACTGCCCATCATTCGGCAAAAACCCGTTTTGATCAATGGAGGGGAAACCTGCCCTTAGTTAAGTTTATTCCCGATGCCTTACAAATCTGATTTTGTAAATGCTGATTGCATTCGTCAACGCGGAGTTGACAAGGGCTACACGTCATTTGGGGCTTGATAAAGAGACTAAGAGGCAGCTTCTCAGCATGTTTATTTTTAATAGACATAAAAAATGAAAACAAAAACAGGCTTTCTCACTCCTTGGAACTCTCGTTGACAGAAAAGTACTGAGTACACAGAAGTGGCGACGGGCAAATGGAGATCCTGGAAAAGGAGGTTTTCTACCAAAATATCCTTGTGAACATGAGGACAGCTTCCAAACTGAGAAAGAGTGGGCTCGAGAAAGCTCTAATGCTTCTTTCCCTGACACGAAGTGCTTCGTGCAGTGTTTGGCATCAACATGTCGGAGCCGTGGCAACGTTCTCCGTGCATCCCCGCTTGGGCGTCATTTTGTGAGTACGACAAACCCCATCAATTCTTACCTCATCTATTAGAAATGCAGCATTGTGAATGGAAGCAATGTTTTCTGGGGCGCATCATTGGAAATGAAAACTACTTCATTTTTCTATATCTTTACTGAATAGACCTAACCCTTCCCTTCAGCTTCACTGGATGTGGATGGCCCTAAAATACTCTCATGGAGACCATCAAGAGAGAAAGAATGTTGCTTTAAAAGCCAATTAGAAAATATTCACAACATATGTAGCAAAGGGCTAATGTTCTTCCTATAAAAATAACTTTCAAATGGATAAGAAAGATATTAAGATCTCAACAGATAAATGAGAAAAGGGTATGAAAAAGAATTTGCAAAAGAAATTCAAGTAGCTAATATTTAGTGAACACTTACTATATGCCAGGTATAATTTACAAGGGATTTCTCATTCATTCTTTACAAAGACCCTATGAGTTAGGTGTTATTATTCTCATCCCTATTAAAAGATGAGAAAACAAAATAAAGCTTTGAGAAGTTAAATAATCACCCCAAGATCACGCATATTGTAAGTGAGGGGCCAGGATTCAAAATCACTCAGCTTAATCTAGCAGGCAGGGGCTCCTAACTGCTTTGCTGTAACCTCACAAATCCACAGATACAATTGTAAAATAAGGTTTTTTTTTTTTTTTTAAAGTTCATGCTTACTAGTAAACTAAAATATGTTAATTGAAAACAATCAGAAAAATTTCATTATCAGAATAACAATAAAAAATGTTAATATTCAGCTGGGTGTGGTGGCTCATGTCTGTAACCTCAGCGCTTTAGGAGGCTGAGGCAGGCAGATCACTTGAGGCCAGGAGTTCAAGACCAGCCTGGCCAACATGGTGAAACCCCATCTCTACTGAAAATACAAAAGTTAGCCAGGTGTGGTGGCATGAGCATGTAATCCCAGCTACTAGGGTGGCTGAGGCATGAGAATCACTTCAACCTGGGAAGCAGAGGTTGCAGTGAGCTGAGATCGTACCACTGCATTGCAGCTTGGCTGATGAAATGAGACTCTGTCTCAAAAAAAAAAAAAAAAAGGTTGAAACAGATATTCTTAAATATGAATTACAATTTGACAATATCTATCAAGAGTCTTAAAAATGTACAAGTCATTTGACACAGTAATGCTATTGTAAATAATTTATCCCAAAGGAATAGAAATGTAAGCAAAGATTTAGGCACACAAGTTTGTGCCTGCGGACATTAAATGCTCCCACATGAAGGGAGTGGTTAAGGACCTTATGGTCCACCCATTCAACAATATTGGTAACAATAAAAATGATGTTTAAGAGTTTCTAATAACGTGGGAAATGCTTATGCCAGGAGTTAAAAGCAAGATATAAAATTCCATGAATAACATAAACTGTGTAAAATATGGTTAGAAATAAGAATGGGAGAAAAGGAGCAAAAAAATGTAAACCAGGAGGTGTTCTCTGTGCAATGGGATTATGTGTGACCACGTCTTTTTGTTATAAATATTTTCCGAATTTTCCACGGTAAACATGTTTTATTTATCATTGGTGTGGGGCAGCGGAGAAGAAATCCTTTATGACTTTTAGAAGTCGACGTCTTAACTTGAATCTCAGACCTAATGGGAAGGAACCACGGGACCTCAAAGTATCAAATTAACCTAAGACACTGGACGTATTTGTTCTCTGAATCAGCCCAGGATGCCCAAAGACAGCCCTATGTGTTCTTCAACTCTCTGAGCCTTCCCCTCATCTGTAATGTGCCTACTCCTGGGGTTATTGTGAGATTACAATGTGGGTAAAGGCCTTAGAACAGTCCCAAAGTGTAGGCATTCAAAAGATATAAATGGTAATAATAAAGTAATACACTAATTGCGGTCACTGCAGCTGTTGTTTTGTTAGTAGGAAGGAAGAGTTGAGCATCTTGCAGGCACCAGGAAGTGTATACAGACTGGCTTGTCCTGAGAGTGCTAAAAGCATCTTTTACTGACACAGTTCCAGTCCTAGATCTGAGCTCTTGGTGCCACCCAGTCTTTTGTCCGCTGCTGCGTGGGTGTTCTTTGGATTCGGATGTGCGCAGACTTATAGGTAGACCCTTCTTCAGCCTGCCACATCCTGGGCACTTTCTTGGGGCCAGGAACTGTGCTGAACCTTCTCATATACGGATTTTCCCACACATAACTTTGAGAAGCAGGTTTCGTTAGCATTTCTGCTTTATGGCTCAGAGACTACTAGACATCAGTATCATGGGTCACAAAGCCAGAAAGTGGCAAAGCTGGAATCAGAACCTATGTTGATCTGAATTCAGAGATGTCAGAGATGAAGATCAATAATGGCTGAGAACACAGGTTCTAGAATCAGAAAGACCTGGAGTTTGGACTATCTGTGTGGCTTTGAGCAAGTAATAAAAGTGCCTCAGTTTGCTCATCTATAAGATGGGACTTAGAGAGCTTGTATGTTGCACCATTATTTTATGAAACACTAAAAAACAGTCAAATCACTGCCAGTGAAACCATGACATAATACTTTCTTATCACTTAGAATTTTATTTTTATACTTATGAAAAGAACTTTCAGGTTTATTTAAACATAGGTGTTTGTCACAAGACCTTTGTATACATACATGAAAAGGAAAATATAAGTGAAATAATTGTTTAAGTTATTCCTAAAACTTCCTCATATTCAGAGACGAACTCAGCATTGTCAATGTCCATGTTTTTCAACAGACTATCATCTGCTGTCACATTGCAGGCATTTGTGATAGCATTTCTTTAAAAATCACTCCTCTATTGTCCTCAGGATTTTAAGCTGCAAATACTTGTTCCGCAAGTTTTGATGTGTGTTCCCAGATATGACAGTGACATCAAGACTGCTGGCAGGCTGATAGTGATTTTAAAAAGCATCTCAATTTCAGAGGTGTTAAAATGGGAAAAAGAAAATGTATGTCTTAGAATTGATGAAATACAGTAGCTACCATATAGCGTTGTTAGGAGAATTAAATGAGGTCATGCTGGTAAAGAACTTAGACATTAGACTGGACACAGAGTAAATGTTCAATATCATCATCATCATCATCATCTTTATTATATTGCTATTATATTCTGTTCTCTGAGATGTATTGGATATATATGCAGCTCTGTAGGCTCTGTCTCAGAATTCTGAGCCAACATGCAGTACCAAGACATTGGACCCTGAACCACTGGGGTCCTTGCAATGGCTGGTGATGGATGAGACACTGGACCCTGGGGTAGAGCCTGCCCCCTCTCCTTCTCTGTCTCCCTCTCTCTGCATGCTTTGCGAACCTTCTCTCTCTCTCCCTGCCTTTCCCTCCTTTACTTATTTCTCTGCTCCTTCTCCTTATCTCTGCTTCCCTTTCCACCCCCTCCCCAGCTCTTCTGCAAATAAATGGCCCTGTCACTCTGGCTTTCTTGTAGGTTTAGAGTGAATGGAAGTGTCTTTTTGAAAAGCTTGTTTCGTCTGACATTCCTTACCAGCTCAGGAGCAGGGTCCTTTGCACTCCCCTCTCTTCTGCTCAAAGATCTACTTATTTAGTTAACAATTTACAGGGCTGCCACTAGGCCTTGAGAGCTCCACCCCACAGCAGAGGCAGCTGGGCTGTGCCCTCTGGAGGAGGCCTATTGGCAGGCTTGGAGGGGTGCTTCCGTCCTGCCTCTAGTGGTTGTAGGTGAACTGGCTTAGGACCTGCCTAAAAAGAAACCATTTATTCCCATTTATGATTCTTTAAAAAAGAAGTTCACAGCTTTTATGATGAGCCTTTATGCATTTAATGACATTAAAGTATTTGATTATGTGCATTAAGAAGAGGTCTGAGAGCTCTCTGGTGTCCTTAGTTTTAAGTGTATTTTAACTGCCTACAATGAAAGGAACAAGACAAAAAACGAGCTGTGGCAGCATCCTCATAAATTCTGAGCCATAATTGACATACTTTTGCTGGCACCAGGAATGGTCCAGGCAGGTAGACACAGAGAAGAGGAACAACAGAATTTCCACTTTCTCACTGGCCTGAGTACCAGAGGGAAAGCAAGATCAGCCATCCCTGCAATACTTTCTCTTCAACCAGCATCTCAGCCAGGGATGAGCAGAGACTGGGACTGACATGAACTGAAGATCCCACTTTGTACCCAGCCTGTGCCAGGTTCTTTACAATTACTTCTGTGTTTCATCTCCAGATGCAGGTGTCTTTAGCCCCATTTTCCATATGAAGAAGCTGAGCCTCTGCAAAGTAAAATGACTTGCTCCAAGTTGGCAAATGTCAGACCTATTATCTAAAAACAAGTCTTTCTGATCCTGGGGCTTCAGCCCTTTGCACAGGCGCTGGATCTGGAGCTCCAAGTGACACACATTTGGGGAATAGTTAATAGACAAGGAGAAGGGAATAGGTACTGAGGCCAGGGAAGCATAGGCCTTTACAGAAAAGCTTCTTCCTCCCGTTCTCCAGGCCCCAGCCCCTTGGAGGCGTGCATTGCAGTGGAAATGGAATCAGGACAGAAACAGCCACTTGAAATGAACTGCACCCAGACAGGCCGCCATGGTGGCGTGATTGATACTGGAGCATGTAGGTGTAATGAAACTGATGCTGGCTTCTCTGCACCTGTGATTTATTGAGGACAAATTTAAGATGAGAAAGGGCCCCATACCAGGAGCTGCATCTTCCCCTCCAAGGGAGGGTGGTCATCCATCACCAGCCATTGCAAGGGCCCCTTGCAAGCGGCTCATCAGATGAGCCAATAGTCTCTTTGTTGGGGTTCCTAACAAGTGTTGGATCAGCAAAAGTCTATTTATGCTGGTGGACCTTTCAGGACCAATTTGTAGTGGGTCACTGATTCTGCTGGGGTATTATCTTCTTTACTACTCGGGCCAGTTGGGGAATGCAGCAAAGATTAATGGTTTTGGCTGCTGACTTGCTGCCGCAATCTACTGCTTCTGGACCAAAGATTAAGTTTTTTTGTGTTTTACCAGAAAGGGCCCACCTTGTGTACGAGATGCACTTTGATTTACTGACTTGCTTACGGAGAAAGGAGTCGTGGAAATGTACCTGGCTGTGGTAAGATTTTGGAAGATGGCTGTGAGGTCTGGCATCCATGTTGTTCCTTACCCCAAGGACCCATACAGGGAATGGGTGGCTCCTGAGGCCAGTGTGGGTCCTGTGGCCCTGGGGTCTGTGGACTGAGGAAGCTGACTTTGAGCTCACACAACATCTTTGCCTTGCCTGGCACCCAGCAGCTGCCTCTGAATTCAGAGAGGCAGACAGCACCCTAAACTTTATCATGTAAAAATTATGTTATGGAAAAAAATAGTTACAGCTTTTCCTTTTTATTATGAAAATAGCATATGCTCTTATAACACATTTTGGAAAAAAAATTCAAGAAGCAAATAAAACTACACATAAGCCAACTGCACAGTGATAGGACTGTTAATATTTGGCTTACATTTTAATCTAGAATTTTCACAGTGCACAAATATATGCATGTTACTTTACACTATTAAATGTATACTGGATTTTTGTGGGACTTTTTTTGCTATATGATTGTATCATCCACTTTTTACAATGAACATTGTACCATAAGCTTATTTTAATAAGCCATCCTTTTGTTTTTTCTTCTAAAGTTGGGTTTGCTGCGATATCTCCAATGCTAAAGGTCTGTTCCTTTATTCAGCAAACATTTGCTGTGTGCTTCTCTGGATCAGACGCTGTGCTGGGATCACAGAGCTGAGTCAGACACAGCACTCCTGAAGTGCAGCTGCTGGAATCAGCTCACGGGGCTATGCATGTGCCCTGAGGGGTGCTTCTGACATGCATTTCTTAGAAGGGCCCAGGACACTGCACATAGTTTGGAGGCAGGGGCCTGATACCACTGACCCCTTCCAGGTCCCTGTAGAATCACAGTTCCAGAGGAGGAATTACGCATTTTGTTCTGCAGGAGAGGGACCTGCTATTGGCTTTGGATACACCAGCTTAGCTTTTTAGAGTGAATTGAGATCTGAGGGCTAAATCTTTCTGCAGGGGCAACAGCAGCCCCATCTTGGAAAACTGAAGAAAGAGCCCAGTAGCCCCCAAGGGACTAGCCACCCAGGGCAGTTGCAGAAACTTCCAGGGAGATAGTAAGAAATGCCAAAAAGAGTGTGGCCTTGCGACTCCAACAGATCTGAGTTTGAATCTCCTAGCTGATGACCTTGAACAAGTTTTCTTTCTGAGAGCTTCATTTTCCTTATCGGAAAAATGGGGCTTTTCCCCCACCAGCTACTGGCCTCTTGTGTGTGTTCACCATGTGGAAAGTCCCACGTGAAGAGCTGGTGTTCAGCCCGGACCAGGCCCATTTTCCAGATGCTGTGCTGACTCAAATAGATGGATGGGCTCTAATTGTTCCAACAACACGTCTGAGTTTCGCAGGGCCTTTCCTTGGGAGCCTTTGTCTTAGGGCCATAAATCACTAGGCACCTGTCCCCACAGTTGGCTACGACTTCCTTTCCCTGACTGAGGCTGGCTGAGGGAGGGAGGGCTGAGCTGAGCACAAGCCTGCTTTTCACCATTGGTTTTTAAATCTCTAATTGGGAGTATTACTTACTCAGCGATTCTGATGGTTCCCTTTGTAGTAGCCTCTTCTCTGCCCCAGGGCCGCCTTCTTCCCTTCCCCTCCACCCTAGTCCCAAATTAAAATTCTTTCAGGAAGTAGAACATTTTCTCTAGTGCTCTGACATGCACACGCACTTCCCCCATACCTGTCTTGATAACTGGTGGAGCATTTGTCATCTGGCCTGAGGCCTCTTGTCTATATGACATGTTCTGTGTATGGGAGAGACATTTCTCTTGGTTCAAGAGCAGCAGTTAACAGCCCCAGATGTCCCCCAGCCTGTGAGTCTCGCTTCCTACTCTGCTGTACCTATTGTATACTGAACACTCCTGAAAATCCCTGGCTCCTTTCTGCCCCAGGACATTTTCTCTCGCCTTTCTTTTTGCCTGAACGCCCTTCCCTGGGCTCTTTACATGGCTGTCTCCTTTTCATCATTCAAATCTCAGCTTAAATGTTATAGAGAAAGCTTCCCCGACCTTCTCTGACTCTAGAACAAGTCTTGTTTGCCCATGTTAAACTTCTTGATGGCATGCAATCCACTTCCTACCTCAGACTTTTCAGGGTTTGTGAAGCTGTATCTGCGTAATGGCAGATTTAACAAGCGTTTGACTCTCCTGCCTTCACCGTAAGTGCCAGAAGGACAGGATGATCACCTTTGTATTCTCAGTTTCTGGTACATCTCAGTTTCTGGTAGGCTCTCAACAAACAGGTGTGTTGACTGCACAATGAACCGATGGATGGATGATGGATCAATGAATTGGAGAGTGAGTGAGTGAATAAACAAATGAATTCCAGAGTGGTGTGCAAAGGCTTATTTTCCCTCAGATGACCTGAGAATGCATGAGGGGCTGAGTGCCTTCCCAGTCCCATCTCTGTGGGGCCAAACCTCACTCACTACCTACCTAAATGTTTCTGAAACCCGTACCTACAACTCTTCATACTTAGTGATCTGCCTTCATCCTCTGCCCTCCTTTTTAGTTTAAACTTTTTATTATGACATTTTCCAAACATACAGAAGAAGAGAAAATCACTATAAACCTGCATGCACCCTTGACCCCCACCCCCTTGCTGGAGTATTTAAAATAAATCACAGACATCATCTCATTTCATGTATAAACATTTTAGGAGGTATTGTTAGTAGATAAGGACTTACAATTTCTTTTAACATAACCACAATATCATTATCACATCTAACCCAATGAAAAAACCAATTCATTTAATATTTGGTAGAGATTCAAATATTCCCAATTGTCTCAAAACCTCCTTTTTACATTTAGAGTCAGGCTGTAAACATTGCATTAGACTGATATGTCTCTTAATATTCTTTATAACAGTCCTCCCTTTTTCTCACATTTAAAAATGTGATTTATTTCTCTTTTCTAAATGCCATTTGTTTCTTGATGAATTTTGGTCATTCTCCTGTAGATTGTTTCACATTCCAGATTCAGCTGAGCGCCTCCTTGTGGTGTTGTTTAACGTGTTCCTCCATCCCCTGTGTTTCCTGGAAATCAGTAGTTTGATCCAGAGGCCTGATCAGAGTCGTATTCGATTTTTGGCTAGAAGCCTTTGTAGATGGTGTTGTGATGGTTCTTGTTGTATCACCTGCTAATGTCAAGTTGTCTCTCCTTTAACAGTGTTAAAATTGATCTGTGGCTCACCCTGCCCTAATTAACTCCCAACTCCCTTCTCTATTTCCATTGCTATATGAAATTGTTTTGCAAAACAAGTCAGTGGAGAACATTGATCATATTGAGCAGAAGTGGGAGCAGCAAGGTCTGATGGCAAATGCACTAGCAGAGAGCATAGGGACCAGGTAAGAGGGTTAATTTCTTTGCATTTCAGTTTTCTTGAGTGTAAGATGGGGCTAATAATAGTAGCTTTGAGAACTAATACATGGGAGAAATGTTTGATACATAATCATCAACCCTCAACACTAAGTGCTTAATGTGTATCTACTCACTTAATCCTCCCAACAATCCAATGAGGTAAATGCTACTATTAGTCCCATTGTACACGTGAAGAAGAGCAGACAGAAGGGTTAGGCAACTTGCACAAGGCCATATAGGTAGTAAATGACAGAGCTGGGATTTGAACCCAGGGAGTCAGGCTCCAGAGCCTGTGCTCTTAAACACAGTGCTGTGTAACATCTACCAAGTCAATGAGGAGCTCCCGGTTTTTCTCCATGCAAGATGCTTGTCAAGTCCTTCCCAGGAATGAGTACCTGTTAATTCTCACCTTAAGATATGTGCAGGGGTGGAGTAAGGCAGTCCCCAGTGGCTGGAGGGGTTACTGTGCTTTATTCTGAGTTTTCTTACAAAGTCATATTGTCCCCCACCCCCAACTGCTGTTGGATGGGCCAGAGCCAGCTTCATAAGCTCACATGCTGGAGAAGGGTTTGGGGAACATAAGGTCTCACCCTCATTTGGGAAGGATTCATGTCTCCAGAAAAACTCTCTGAAGCCCAGTGAAGTTAAGTGACTTGCCCAAGATCACACAGTAAGTTTGCCACTGAGCTAGGGTTAGAACCCCAGACTCTCTCAAGCCTTGGGTGATTGGGTCTGGATACCTGGGTCCTTCCATGCTTGGTTAGAGGGAGTTGTATGTCTACTCCCCATTCCCAGATCCTCTGAGTCATTTTGGCCAGAACTCCTCTGGTGGTACAAAGGGACAAACCTGCCTGCTGAGATTGTGCAGCCATTCAGGGCTTGCCTGGCATATCACAAGACGTTCCCTTCTTGGTCACTATTGTAGATGTCTGGGCCTACTGATCTCATGCTTCCAAAGGCATTCTGGAAACAGCCCTTTCCTCTCCCCTGGCTTCAATCTTGAAGCAAAATCAAATAAAGGTGCAGAGCAAGAATTCGAACTCAGTTCTTCTGACTCCAAGTTTAGAAGGCCAGAAGTAAAGTAAGTCCATGATCACTGATGCCAGTGCATCTGCCATAACTACAGCTGTACCTTCCAGATGGGAAAGTGAGGCTAAGAGAGGGGTAGGTAATTTAATGTACTCACATAGCTTTACCTACAGCGTGGGCTGCTGCAAAGGAGTCAGGTGGTTCCTTTTGTGACCCAGGAGGTTCAGAGAGTGGTCTCTCGTTGGGTTGCATGTACATCCTGGCCTGGAGAGTACCTGGTGAGCTCAGGGTGCCAGAACTGGGGCTGGAGGGGTTTCTGAGCCTAGGAAAACAGCCTATGGTCTGTGGGCCCAGCTTGTCTGATTACAAAGTCCAAGACAATAATTGAAGGTGGCTTTGGGTTCCCTGAGTAGGATCTGGCGCCGACGCCTGGTGGCTCTGTTGGCGCCTTGAGCCCTGAGCATTCGCTAATGGATTGTGGCTGATCCCAAGACTGATTGGCAGCCGGCCCCAAGGTCCTCAAGGGAAACCTGGAAACTATGGTCTCCAGCTTGGAGACACTCTCCCTTCTGGGAGCCACAAGGGGTGTGGGGGGAGCTTGCAGAAGGCCTAAGGCAGAAGTTCTTCTGAGCCCACGGGATGATCCCTCTCTTCCCAAACACTGGGGTAGAATACGAGGTGAGGTTCCCACAGAGTGAAATACGGAAAGCTGTCAAAATGCCAACTGCTCATTTCATCTCCTTGCTGCTTCCCTGCCCCACTCTCCTGGGCTGGCCAGCACTATAGCCCCCCACCCCTGTCCAAGCAATAGTGGAGACAGTAAGAGTGCTCAAAGGTTTTCTAAAATAGCACATAGGGATGGGAGTGGTCTCAAGACAAGGGGGAAAACCTTTCTCAGACAAGCCAGGCTACCATCATTCCCAGAACAGAGGAGAGAGGAATTAACCCTTCTGGAGAGCTCAGAAGACTGAGGGCTTTCCTGCTGTCCGGGAAGGGCTTTCCAGATCAGGGCACAGCACAAACAAAAGCAGAGAGGCAAAAGCTTGCAAGAAACAGCACAGGAGAACTGGAAGGTAGAGTGTTAGTGAAGGGAGGATAGAGGGGCAGGCCTTGAAAGCACTGAAAAAATCTCAGACTTTACCTGGTGGCAGTAGGGATCCATTGAAGGTTTTAAAGGGAGGGCAGAGGAGAGGAACCTGGAATCTTTTCATAGTCATGGCTCTCTTGTGCCTGATTAGTCAGGGCAAAAGGCAAATACAAAACGGATGCATCTGACCTTTTTCTAGGACACCCAATATTTATGCGCTTTGTGCATCACCCAAATTTTATTCATTTACCAAAAGAGTGTGAAAAAGGCACTTTAGGAAACTGCTATAAATCCAGTGCAAGTCACCATGGTAACCTGATTAGCAGCTAAATTAAGTTCATGATTAAGAAGAAATAAATAAAAATAACTCTCCTCCTTGGCTGGGGCTACCCACTGTGCCACTGGCAGCCAAGCAGATGCTGAGGCTTTGGGAAGCAAGGGTATAAGCCTGGGCCTGGCCCCCAAGAGAAGTTGAGGCAAGGGTGGGAGGTGTTATCTGCTGCAGAGAAGCGAGAAGCTCAATTGTTAACACTGCCTGGGGGTTAGTGAGTCCCCTGGCAACCAAGCCAGGGAGTGCAGGCTACACATCTGAAGGCTAAAGCAATGGCTTTCCTGACAACAACCCATGCTCTCTAAGGGTGTCTTCTTGATGCCCCTGGGACACGTTCCTTTGTCCAAGCACCAGGTGCATGTATTGCTGTCTCTCCAGTGCTATGCCCTCCAGTGCTGGGTGCTGACATGACTCAGACCTGGTTTTGGTCCTAGAGAGGCTGAGTTTGGTGGTGGACACAGATATAACAGATGCTCTGGGCAAAGTGTCTATATAAGGTGCTATGAAAACATGCGCCAGCCAGCAGGAAGGCTTCCTGGAGGAGGTAATGCCCAAGAGAAAAGCACATGTGTGGCTGCTGGAAAGTGCCTATTTCAGGTGAGCATTCTGGGCCATCTGCTTGGGGCTGACTGGCAGACCAGCCTGGAATGAGCTGGCATCAGCCCTGATGAGACCAGAAAAGCCTTGTTGGGGGTTGTGCTGAAACACATCCCAGGGCCCATAAGCAGGAGAGATGGGTGCAAAGAGAGAAATGAGCCTCCCACTTACCCTTTCCAAGCCTCCTCCTGGCCACAGCAGTCCAGAGCAATAGTTAGAGTCAAACAGCCTTTGAATCTTTCCTCTGTCACTTGTAACTTGTGCCCTCTGGCAAGGGACTTAATTTATTTAAGCCTCAGCCTACAAAATGGGGTAATAATGAAGATAGTACCTGTCTGTTAAGGTTATTGTGAAGGACTAAGTGAGATGATGCAATCTAAATATAATCCAGTCCCTCACATGTAGAAAACACACAAGAAGATGTTTGCTTGGCTAATTTCATTACCTGGGGAAGTCTGCCATGACTGGGTGGCATGATCCTGGTTGCAACTTTCCTAGAGCAGTGCTGCAGTCTAAGACTCTTCCTTCCACATCCTCCTTCCTTCCCCCTCTCCTTTCACAGGGGCAAGACCAACATCACGGTCTGAAGGCTCTCCCTGCCTCCTCTTGCCCTTTTTTCCTTTATACTTCACAGGTGTGTCCCCCAATCAATCTCTTACACATAGAATCCTGTTTTGGCTTCTGCTTCTCAGAAGACCCCAAATGACATAGAAGGTCTTGGAGAAGAGTCCAACAGGTGGGTGGTAGAAGAGGTAGAATGGAGCCCCAGCAGCAGGTCACAGAGGTGTCTATAGGTGGGGGGGTGCAGGCCTTCAAGGACTCTGGTGAAGAAGTGCCCAGTCTCTTTTTGTGTCCTGCCCTCAAATGTGGGTGTGTGTTCCTGAGTGTGCACAGTCCCCGAGCATGCTCTCTTGTTGCATTGGCCATAATGTAGTGAAAAAGATCTGTTTCCATCAGAAGAGGATGAGCACTCAGCCCTGAGGAAGTCCTTGGGCATAGTAGATGCTCAGTCAAAAACAAACAAACAAACAAACAAACAACCCCAAACCCTGAAAAACTGAGCACTACTGGGACCTGTACCAACCTTAAGTTTTGCTTTGGACCAATTTTGTTTTCATTTCCTCGTGCTTTGAATTGCATAATGTTAGATCATTTAACCTTTTTAACCCTTTGTTTTTGTGACAGAGACATATATTCACAGACACGTGTACATCTTTATGCCCACACAGAAGGGTAACAGCAGCCTTGCTTCAGAGGCCACACCTTCCAGGAAACCCTTCAGCCTGCCGTGTCTTAGCTGATCCCTCTGCCATCCCCTTGCAGAAGGAGCTTGGAGTCTCTCAGCTCAGCTGGACTAGATGAATCTTCTCAGGGTCGTCTTCTCCCACCTCTGGCTCCCAGTTCCTTCCCCCAGTCTCTCCCTCCCTGCTCTGTGTGATCAGGGAAGCTGCAAACCCAACCCTTACATCAAAAGGGAACTTGAAAAATACTTGGAGCAAAAACTGCTAACTGTGCATCCTTGCTGTATGCTGGCGCTGATATTAAATCAGGAAATGGCACTGAACAGCCGCTCCGAACACAGAAACAGGGGTTGTCAACACAGCAACCAAAAGCAATCTCTAACGGGCAGAGGTGAAAGGGACCTGGCACAGGGCCAGGAGGGGGGCTGCAACCCAGGAAAGAATTCCTGAGCTGAGTGTGTCTGTGCCACCTCTCCAGTGTCCAGAATGAAGCCTGGATCTCAGTCCCTGGCATGGAATGCACCTTGTCTCTCTCCATGAGGGATGAAAGATAATTAGATAATTAAGCATGTTGCTTAAATACCTTTGAAATTCTCCTTTTTATTTCCATACATGTTTACCGAGCACCCACTATGTGCCTGACAGTCCAATAAAAAAGATGCCTTCCCATGTGGAGATGACCTTCTAGCCCTCAGGACAGAACTCTGACCCTTTGACATGGCATTCAAGGTCCTTCGAGTGTTGGCTCCTGCAGAAGCTTTCATCTCTGTTTCCAGCCTCCCTGAAATAGCTCCCCAAGGGCACGAGGCAGTACCTTTGCTCCATGCCTTTGCTTGGACTAGTCCTACCACCAGCAATTCCTGCATTTCTGTGTTTGGCAAGTTTCTGCTCAGCCTCCAAAGCCTTAACCAAGTGTCACCTTTTCTCTGCAGCATTTTCTGCCACCCTCCCCATTTCTTCCAATAGAACCAGGGATCTTTTACTTGGGATCCAGAAGCACTGTGGACATATTGCCATCACAACACCTTTCATGTCACAATGGCAAGGTTTGCACTGTCTTGGAGGAGAGGAAGGAAGCCATATTCATCCCTGAACCCTCATCTCCCAGCACTGGTTGTAAAACTGAAACAAAAATGGAAAACCTTGATGAAATTCATTGTTGGTGTGGCTATGGGGAAACAGATTTTCCATTTCTGATAGTAAATGAAATAGGCACCATCTTGTTAGAGGCTAATTTGACATTATTAACACTGAAAATGCACACATCTTTCAACCCAGCAATTTTATTTCTTGCTTTCTAGAGGAATGTTTGCCCATGTGCAGAAAGGCGCATGTAAAAAGCTGAGTTGCAGCATTGTTTGCAATAGTAAAAGATTTGAAATTGCTTAAATGTCGGTCAATATGGCCTGGATAAAAAACTATAGGGCATCCATTGGATAGAATGCTATGCATTAGTTAAAAAGAAGTAGATTTCCATGTATTGACCAAGCATTTGCTGAGTAAAAATCAAAAGCAAGCTGTAGCTCTAGACATAGATGTTAAAATTACATTGCTGCATTTTTTCACAATGAGAATGTGATCTTCTGTAATTTGTTTTAAAAAGAGATTGAATGACCACAGCAGCTCCTGGCTGAATGGAGACTGGGCTTTGACACAGCCAATCAGCATTATTTCCTCCACCACTCCCACGCAGCAGGTCCCAGGGCAGTGGGAGGGTGCCATCTACTTCCCCTGTACCTGAGAAGTTTGCTCTCCATGTGGTGATGAGCATGTAGTGAGAAGCTGGAATTCTGGGCCCTTGAAGAGCATCCAGACAAAGGAGGAAGAAAGCGAAAGCAGGGAGGCCCATGGGGTGGGATAACTCAAATCATGCAGATTTCTTGAGTTAGTCCTTGGCATCAGGAGGAAGAAGGAAGGATTGGTTCAGGAATGACTGCTAACTCAGGGAGAGGAGGGGGCTGGAGGGTGTGCAGAAAAGGCCTGACAATTCACAGACCTCACACTGTAAGGAAGATCAGCCTTTGCCTAGTTATTAATTTCATTTATTCATTCATTTATTCCACACTTGTAATTGAGTTCCTCCTGGTATGGGCATTGCACTGACTACTGAGGACACAGAGACAACTCCACCTCCTGGAGACTTCCTCTGGAGCTCATGATCAAATTCCATCTAGTTTCTCAGAGTGTGTTTCTTGAACTCCAGGCATCAGAATTACCCAGAGAACTTATTAAAATGCAAATTCTTGGGCTCTACTCAGACCTATAAAATCAGACTGTGGCTCACGAATTTGTGTTTGTAACCCATTTTCTCAAGTGTAAAACATTTGGACTAGCTGACTATATCATTTCCTTGAATGTCCCTGTGTTATTTCCTAAGGCTTCTCCCAAACCTGAGGTCTACCCTGATCCAGGTTGAAGAAAGATGGGATGGAGGTACAAGCTTTGCCCTATGACTCCAGTGTGTAGGATTTCCCTAGAATGACCAGGACCTTGTCCTTGCTAATAGGCTTTTCACCCCACTCCCATGCCTAGGTACACCCAAGTCCCTCCAAGGCCTGGGAAGATCCATAAAACATGTCTTCTAAGTTCCTCAGAAACAAGAGATTGACTCATTGTAAGCAGGGGAATGGCATATGCAAAGGTCCTGTGGCAGAACACAGCTTGGGCTGTGGAAGAACTTAAATAAATCAGTGTGCCTGGAGCATTGTGATGGGGGATGCAGCAAGATGAGGTGGGAGAGGGTAACAAGGGTAGACCATCCATGGCCTGAAGGCTATGCCAAGGAATTTGGTTCTTTTTCCAAGTGTTAAAGTGATTTGTATTTAAGCCAGGGGGTGGGAGAGGGGGAATTATCAGATTCATATAAAAACTATCTCTACTGCCCTGTGGAGAAGCAGAAAGTCTACAGCCAAAGCCTCTGCAATCCTCTAAGGAAAAGATAAGGGTGGCTTGGATGAAGGTTAAGGTACCGGATGAAGGTTAAGGTACCAGATGAAGAACCAGAGAGATCTGGTGGATCTCTCTGGTGGAAGGATAGAGAGGCGATAGTTAGACTATGGGAGGTGAGGGCCTCAGCCCTGGGGAGCAATAATGAGGTTTCAGAATTCCTGACACTGGCTCTGGGGTCATGGGTGGGGGAGGTGTAGTGGGAAGGGAACTGTCCTGGTTATCATTCACTGCACAGTGGCTTTGAGTAGCAGTGAGCTTCTCATCAGCACTGAATCATCTCTCCCCTCTCTTTTTCTCTGTCTCTTTCCTTTGATATTTAGGGATGTATGAATATGGACTGAAGGTCAAACTCAGACCAGAGGCAGGACCCAGGATCAGAGGCCAGGCTGATGCCAAGGGTAAAGGACAGGATGAGAGGACTCTGCAAAATTGTTCTCCTTTGGCCGGTACCCCTGCCTTGGTTTCTCTCCAGCCCCACACAGTCAGGGAAGAGAAAAGGGAAAAGAGAAGTTTGACTGCCACTGATAAGAAGGCACATTAAACACTGTCCTCATAATCAAATTATTGGCAGGGACTTGACACTTGGTAAAGGTTCAGCTGTGAACTGAACAGTCACTAATCCTGTGGCAGCTGAAAATCCTGACCCAGAGAACAGGTGGAGAAGCACCGTACTGACACCAGAATCCCCAGGATGCTATTCAGTTGACACAGAGACCACACGCTTCATAGTATTCAGAGCACTGGACTTGGGACCAGAAGTTCCAGCTCATCACTGCTGTATAACTGTAAAGAAATCATTTAGCCTCTCGAGCCTCATTCTTTGTGTGAGATGGAGATAATCCTACTCATCTCATAGGGCAGTTGTGAGGACTGAATGAGTTTAAATGCAAAATGCTCTTAAGACACTGTGATATATCTGCATCCACCCACTTATCTCCCTGCTTACCTATCTCTGTAAAATAGGGATAATAATAGTTACTACTTCACAGAGTTGTAAGAGTTGAGTGAAAAGGTGAATGATGGAGGCTGAGGTGGGCGGACCATCTGAGGTCAGGAGTTGGAGACCAGCCTGGCCAACATGGTGAAACCCCGTCTCTACTAAAAATACAAAAATTAGCTGAATGTGGTGGTGTGTGCCTTTAATCTCAGCTACTTGGGAGGCTGAGGCAGGAGAATCGATTGAACCCAGGAGGTGGAGGTTGCAGTGAGCCGAGATTACGCCACTGCACTCCAGGCTCCAGCCTGGGCAACAGAGTGAGACTCCATCTCAAAAAATAAAATAAAACAAACCAACAACAACAACAAAAACAACAAAACAAAAAGGTGAATGACAAAAGGCTTTGCAACTCCCTGTACAAATGAGAGTGACTATTATCAAATATCCCATCTGTGTTGGAAGCAATACTGCCCAGTGGTTATCTAATGCAGGCTTGTCCATCAGAAATAGAATGTGAGGCACATGTGTAATTTAAAATTATTTATTGGTCACATTAGAACACAGTAAAAAAAAACAGTGAAATAGTTTTAATAATAATTTCCTACCCCTAAGTGTGTGTGTGTGCTCGCGTGCACATTTCTGCATGTATTGGGGTGTTGTCCCTGGTCCCCAGGAGAGACAGCCAGGATCTTCACAGTCAGTGTAACTCTGGCTCCCTACTGGGACCCTCTGAATCTTTTGGTTGCCTAAAGACCACCAGGACCCAGAAACCCAAGAATACCTTTTTAGAAGCACTGGGTTGGAATCTGACAGCGGTTGTATGGGGCAAGGGAAAGTGGAAGTGATAGCTGCCTTTGGGAAGAGGAAAAGGAAGAGTAAGGGCAAAAAACAGAAACAAAAATCCCCCAGAAAACCCTCCTGTCTCTTTTTGGGTTCCATAGACCTTGGGAGGATCCCACGGAATGGGAGCAACATAATACTTTTCCACTGAGCCTCACAAAAGGTGGCAGAGACCTGAGGGCTCCTTGGAAAAGACAGGTGACACTACATCTGGGTGATGCAAAGGCAGAAGTCAAGCTCCTGCGGCAGGCGGGAGGTGGGGGTCCCCTGATTCAGGACCCTCCCTGGCAGAACTTGCCTCTGAGGCCCTTGAGACCACTGGCCTCTGCTTAGCGACTCCGCATAGTACGATCCGGAGCCCACCGAGCTTTGAAGCTGGAAGTTTCCCGCTCCCGCATCCCGCGTGCTGCTGCGCCTCTCCACCAACACACACGCGCGCGCAAACAGCACACGCACGAACACACCCCTCCCGCACGCCTCCAACAGCACCCATGCGTGCACAGAGACGCCTCCTCGCTCACCAACCACCTGCAACCCTCAGGGAAATAACGCCGAAGGTGAACGGCGCACCTTCGGGCTGAATGAGGATGCCAGGAATGCCGCTCTGGTTTCCAGGCGTACGGGAGGACACGCCGCCGGGCCTCTCTGGAGTTATTCCCTCGGCTGAGTGGGGGCCAACGAGGGCAGCGCGGCAAACCTCACACCTGGCGGCTGGCTGTGGGCTCCACGCTCCCTTAGGGAATAACCTCTTCTCTTACTCCTACCCCGAATGCTCCAAGGCTCTGCAGCGGCTCGGACCCTGCAGAGCTTCCTCCATCACCATTTGTAGCTAAAGAATCCCGAGGCGGTGCGTCCCAGAGGCATAGCCTCTGGCCCAACCTGGCGTGGGTAGAGAGGAGGTCACTCTTGGGTAAACACCTTAAATGGGAGTTTTGGCAACAAGCTGTTCACTAGAGGGGCTGTGGCTGCCGCAAAATCCCCGACTTTCCTTCAGTGTGCCTTGGGACTCCGTGCATTTCCTTCAGTGTGCCTTGGGACTCCGTGCACTGCTCGCGTGTCTCCTGGCCTCCCTTTACTTCTCCTCGACCCTTCACTTCTTCCACCGTTCCTTCTTTTACTTTTTTTCTTTGAGCGTGTCGGACTCCCAGTCAATAGGTATACAGCAGCAATCCCTCACCCTCCTCACCTCAACCCTGCCTACGTTTTAGGGATAGGGTGAAGACTGCGGGCACTGCTGTGTATCCATGACGGGGAGCCGAGCCTGGCATGCTGATCCAGAGACCCCAGAGATGAGAAGCGGCATCCCGCGACAGCAGTCGGAAGTTGGAGGCTATAGGGCCTGGGGCTCCAAGTCAGCGCAGCAGTAACCGGGGTGGGGGAGGCCAGGCCACGAAGTGGGGCCGGCTGCGCAGCAGCGGCCTTAACTCCTCGGCCACCTGCATGTCTCCGTCATTCACCCACAGCCTGGCAGGGGTAGGGCTGTTTCCAACATTTTTTTTTGGTGGGGTAGGTTGTGGGGTGTGCAGAGGAGGGAGTGGCTAAGCTGGGAGAGGGGCAGAGAAACGGATTTGGGTGGGGAAGTGAGCCTGGGGATGGACAGAGATACCACAGTCAAAGCCCAGGCGAAGGGAGTGACCACAACAGAGACAGAGGCACAGGGACAAAGAAGAGCGCGGTTGCCCAAAGCCCGAGTCCAAGAGACCCTGAGTCGGAGGCAGGCCGCCCGCAGGAGAAGAGGAGGTTCGGAACCGCAGACCTGGGGCCTCAGGAATCCCCAGGGCCTTAATGGGCCACGGAAGTCTTCGACGGCCAGTGTCAGGCAGAGCCGAGGGGACGTATGGGCGGGGGTGGAGTGGGTCACAGCTTGGCCTGTCCATCTTGGTGCCCGCGCAGAAGTCCACAGTGGCAGAAACACTCTGGGAGCCACAGGTCTCTTAGGACCCTGAGGGAGGGTGCTACCAGCTCTAGTCCAGTCGGGACCAAGAGAGTCAGGCGTGCTTGTCCCGCCCTGGCCGCCTGAGGCCGGAGCCATACATAGTCTGCACAGATCCGAGACACCCGGTCCCGAGTGATCTGGAAACGAGTGTGCTCTCACTGCGTTCAAACAAGACGAGGACATTTACAAGGTGCGAGTCCCCAACCCCCAGCTACTGGCAGGGGCTGCGCAGCGGCACCGCCCAGGCTCTCTCTCCAGGCGGCCGACTCATTTCTGCGGAGAGCACGCTTCTCGAAGAGGGTTGTAGACGCGCTCTTCCAGCATTTAATTTGCCACCCCACAAGATTGAGTTAAGTTTTAGTTAAAATACACTCATTTTATTAAAAATAGGCGGCCCAATACCACGCCGTACCCCAGCCTCTCCGAGGGCGCAAGAGAATAGAGAGTTTTCAGATTAATTGGAGGCAAATATTTTACCTTCTAACATTTAAAAATAATCTAGGCGCGTCTGCACCGGTGTGGCTCACGCGACCCCTACGCGCGAGGTCAGTCGGGCTGGTCCAGCGCAGACAGCGGCCGGGACTCACTCACCCAGTGCGCGCCTCTCCTGCCTTTCGCTGCGCGCGCCCAAAGCTAGAAAGAAGAAGGTGACGCGGGAGGCGGGTCGGGTCTCCGGGTCCAGCGAATTCGCGATCTATCCGGTTTCGGCGCCTGAGCCGAGGTCTCAGAAAGAACCCGTTAATTCTAGCCATCCTGGATCTGGGTAGGGAGGGTGCGCGGCTCCCAAGCCCAGTCTGGATGCCTAGTGCGGTGTGCTTCGGTCTCCCCGTCTGCCCTCCGGGGAGGTTTCTCACCCGGTGGCCCTGGGCCGCTTCACTGTGGCGCTTCCACTTTTGGCTACCGGCCTTCCTCCGCCCAGGACCTTCCGGCCCAGGGAGCAGCCGACGGGCACCCCCGAACGCTGGGGCACGGAATTTCAACGGGGCGACCAGAGCGGAGCTCGCGGCTCGAGGCTCGCGGCTGAGTACGAAGACGGGACCCGAGGACCTGTACATCGCTCGAGGGGAACCTGTCCTGGGCTCTGGTGCACACATAGTATGCGTTCTGGGCTGGCTTGGGTTGGGCCAGGTAGGGGAGACCTGGCTGGGTACGAGGCGCCGTCCAAGCCTTCCGGCCGTGGGCCGGGCGGTCGCGGCGCCTTTGCGCACAGTGGCCACTTGGGGTCGCACTTTATGCCTGTTTGAGCCTCTCCGCGGCGGGCTGACGCCGGGATCTGCTTAATCGTTACAAAACGTTCAAACAAAAACAGGGCCGGCTCCCCAGCAGTGGAGAGCTACTCGGAGCACCGTCCCGGGCCGGCCTCGGCCCCGAGGCTCCGGGGGCTCAGGATTCCGTGCGTGTGGCGGGGAAGAGGAATTCAGAGCCTTTGGGCTGCTGCTTTTCCCGTCGCCTTCACTGTGAACATTGTGCGGTGGGGTGAACGCGGGGAGCGGCGGGGCCAGTGGAGTCGAACCTCAGGGCTCTGCGACTGCACCCGCCAGGAGGGGCCCTCGCTTGGCCTGAGAAAGGTCCCCTGAGGTTAAGAGTTGGGTCTGAACACAACTCTCGGAGCCTCGAGCCCGCCCTCCCCAACATACAAATACGCGCAGATCTCCAGAAACAGGAACGCACGACACACACGGCCAGAAGCCGCGAGGACACACAGAGCGTCGCCCACTGGGCGGGGGCCGCTTGGGAACAAAGGGCCCAGGAGGCGTTGTCCCGGCGCTCATTCTGAGCCTCCTTGGGGGTGACACGGGATGGGGGTGGGGTGCAAAGGGAACTGAGGGAGGAGAGTGCGCGAGGAGGGGAAAGCGGTGATTTGGCCTAGAGGTGGGGCGCGCACTCCAGGCGAGCGTGCGTGGGCCGGGACCTGCAGGGTACGGGGGTGGGCCCAGGCTGGCCGTCCCACTCCGCTCCAGCGCTCCGCCAGGCCTCCGCCGCTCCGGGGCCGCTCGGGCCGCCAGTCAGCTGACGCGGGGGGCGGGGGAGCTGTCAGGCGCGCCCCGCCCTGCGCCGCTGGGCCGCGGAGGCCGTGCAGCTATTGGCCCGCGCACCGGGCCGCCCGGGCCCCCGCACCCCAGTGACATCAGGAGGCGATAAAAGGCTGCGGCGCCGCCGGATCCAGCACAGCTGCACCGCCGAGCTGCGAGCGGCTGCGAGCGAGAGAGCGTAAGAGCAAGAGAGCTAGAGAGCGAGCAACGGGCACTCGCCCCACGCCTCCCCTCAGCCCCACCGCGCGCTCCGCTTGCCTCTCCACCCCGCCCGACTCTACCCGGCCCGGTCCCTGCGCGGGCACAGCCCAGAGCTCTGGGGCGGTGCAGGCAGCCTCGGGACTCTCCGGCGCGCCGCCGCGTCCCCAGACAAAGGCTTGGCCGGCGGCCCCGGCCCGCTGCGCCCTCGCTCCCCGCCTCCCCAGCTCTTCTCCGCTCTTCCCCCCCGCGCTTGGCTCGGCGCGCTCCGGCCGGCCGCAAAGTTTCCCGGGCGGCAGCGGCGGCTGCGCCTCGCTTCAGCGATGGCCGCGGAGCTGAGCATGGGGCCAGAGCTGCCCACCAGCCCGCTGGCCATGGAGTATGTCAACGACTTCGACCTGCTCAAGTTCGACGTGAAGAAGGAGCCACTGGGGCGCGCGGAGCGTCCGGGCAGGCCCTGCACACGCCTGCAGCCAGCCGGCTCGGTGTCCTCCACACCGCTCAGCACTCCGTGTAGCTCCGTGCCCTCGTCGCCCAGCTTCAGCCCGACCGAACAGAAGACACACCTCGAGGATCTGTACTGGATGGCGAGCAACTACCAGCAGATGAACCCCGAGGCGCTCAACCTGACGCCCGAGGACGCGGTGGAAGCGCTCATCGGCTCGCACCCAGTGCCACAGCCGCTGCAAAGCTTCGACAGCTTTCGCGGCGCTCACCACCACCACCATCACCACCACCCTCACCCGCACCACGCGTACCCGGGCGCCGGCGTGGCCCACGACGAGCTGGGCCCGCACGCTCACCCGCACCATCACCATCATCACCAAGCGTCGCCGCCGCCGTCCAGCGCCGCTAGCCCGGCGCAACAGCTGCCCACTAGCCACCCCGGGCCCGGGCCGCACGCGACGGCCTCGGCGACGGCGGCGGGCGGCAACGGCAGCGTGGAGGACCGCTTCTCCGACGACCAGCTCGTGTCCATGTCCGTGCGCGAGCTGAACCGCCACCTGCGGGGCTTCACCAAGGACGAGGTGATCCGCCTGAAGCAGAAGCGGCGGACCCTGAAGAACCGGGGCTACGCCCAGTCTTGCAGGTATAAACGCGTCCAGCAGAAGCACCACCTGGAGAATGAGAAGACGCAGCTCATTCAGCAGGTGGAGCAGCTTAAGCAGGAGGTGTCCCGGCTGGCCCGCGAGAGAGACGCCTACAAGGTCAAGTGCGAGAAACTCGCCAACTCCGGCTTCAGGGAGGCGGGCTCCACCAGCGACAGCCCCTCCTCTCCCGAGTTCTTTCTGTGAGTCGTGGCCGGTCCTGGCCCCCGCCCTTGCCCCGGCCCGGACTCCCTGTCCCACGTCCCTAGTCCCAGACTACCCCGGACCCTGTCCCTGCCGCGGCCCCAGCCTTGACCTGTTTGACTTGAGCGAGAGGGAGGAAGGGCGCGCGGGCCGCGGGCGACGGGCGGGTGCGCGGGCGGGCAGGGGACCTTGGCTAAGGCGAGAGTAGCGCACGCCAGCGCCGCCTCCTAGACTCGAGCAGAGCCGGAGAGAGAGACGAGAGGGTGGGAGGTCCCGGAGTAACTTCTCTCCAGGCTGAAGGGCGGCGAGGCATAGTCCCGAGAAGTCACCAAGGCCATCTGGAGACTCCTGGCTTTCTGAACTTTGCGCGTTAAGCCGGGACAGCTGCTTTGCTGCCCGGAGAGTAGTCCGCGCCAGGAAGAGAGCAACGAGGAAAGGAGAGGGACTCTGGCGTCCCGGCAGGCGAGAGGCGAGGCTGAGCGAAAGAAGGAAGGACAGACGGACCTGTCTGTCAGAGTTCGGAGAACACTGGCTCTCAGCCCTGAGACACAGGCCTCAGTTAGGACGCTCGGCGCCCAAATCTCATCAGTTTTATTGCCTGCTCGATTATATAGAAAAATACAAAAAATCTGCATTAAAAATATTAATCCTGCATGCTGGACATGTATGGTAATAATTTCTATTTTGTACCATTTTCTTGTTTAACTTTAGCATGTTGTTGATCATGGATCATACTCCCCTTGTTTCTTTGGGTGAGAAGGGATCGCAGTTTGGAAACTCCGGCGGCTGCGTGCGGGGTTTCAGTCCCAGCTGTAGGCTTGTAAATACCCGCCCCGCCAAACCGCATAGAGAACGTGGCAGCAAGCTGAGGGTCTTTGTTTGGGTTTATTATTACGGTATTTTTGTTTGTAAGTTAAAAAGAAAAAAAAAAAGAAAAAGTTCCGGGCATTTTGCATCAGAAAACAACTTTGTCTTGGGGCACACTTGGAAGTTGCATGTTTTCTTTCCTTCCCTTATCCCCATTCGGTCCTCTTTTTCCTCTCTCGCTTTAGTTTTCAACCTTGTTGGTGCTGAGAGAGAGAACCGAGAGGTCCCAGTACAAGGGCAGGGCAGGGCAGGGAAGCTGCCAAGCTCCGCACCCCAGAGGAGTGTTCTGGACTACAGCCTTGTCTTATGGTCAAATTGATACCCTTAATAAGAAAGGAAAGGAAAGGAAAACAGATCCTCCCCTCTGCTTTTTATTGTAACCAGAATCACCCTGAGGTCCCTTCTGAACCCTCTGGGCCTGCGCTAATTGTAGGAGCCACAGCGCTCCTAGGGTGAGAGGCTTAGCCATCCCTGACCCTGGCAGTGCACTGGTAAGCAGACACTGCACTGAACCAACTGCTATGCTCAGAATGTACCAGAAACCCAAACATTGGCAAGTAATTTTGCAACTTTCAAGTGCGTTCTTTAGACCAATGCATTGCGTTTCTTTCCCTGCTTTTGAGATAGTAGGAAGAGTTCTTGGTGGTGTCCCCCCCCTTCAATTCTTCAGTTGTATAGTAGTTATAGGGAAGATATGGGTGTTTTTCTTTATTATTACTTTTTTTTTTCTGCAGGTCAGTAAAAGGATTTAAGTTGCACTGACAAAAATACCAAAATAAAAGTGTATTTTTAAGTTCCCATTTGAAATTGCTGGCGCTGCTGGCCGGATGCATTTTTGAGTTTGTATTAGTTGATAAATTAACAGTAATAACAAGATTGTATGAACCGCATGGTGCTTGCAGTTTTAAATATTGTGGATATTTGTCCTGCATCAGAAACGAGCTTTGGTTTTTACAGATTCAACTGTGTTGAAATCAAACCTGCCGCAACAGAAATTGTTTTTATTTCATGTAAAATAAGGGATCAATTTCAAACCCTGCTTATGATATGAAAATATTAAAACCTAGTCTATTGTAGTTTTATTCAGACTGGTTTCTGTTTTTTGGTTATTAAAATGGTTTCCTATTTTGCTTATTAAAACCATGGAAATGGTGTTTATTTAGAGGACTCTGCGTTCGCATGATTTTGACTTTCTTCTCTTGCTTCCTCAAGAGTCGCATCAACTTTGGGTTACTCTCACCCCATGGCCAATGGAATAGCAAACCAAGCCCTAGCAAATCCCTTCCTTGAGTGTCTGAGTGTGTGTGTACATGAGCCTCAAATGTGTTCTCTGCTTCCCACCCTAGGTACAGACCCTGGTCAAGAGAGCTGGATTATGAGCTGAGAGGGCGCAGGTCCAAACAGCCTTGGAGTCCCTGGGTGTGGGGCACACGCCACTTTTTCAGTGCTTTCAGGCTTGGCCACCAGAACTGACTTGCTAGTCTGTCTGCTCTGAAATAGTGATTGATGGAGACTAGGAAGCCAAGAGCTGCCACCTTGATGGGGAAGCTGGGTCTTTTTGGCGCTCTGGCCCAGCTGACCCGGGCCTTTGCCTTCCTGCCTGGGGTGCAAGTCTCCTTTCTCCTACCCAGCACATCTCTCTGGGAGCAACTGGAGCTGCCCAGAGCCAGATACCTTCTCTGAATGGGGCCTGTCTCCCTCACCCCAAAGCTGATAGAAGCAGGTACAACCCAGCACTGGATCTTGGGGTGCAAAACCCTCCAGGCAGGACACCTCTCTGTGTGGACTTGTGTTTTTGACGGTAGTATGCCTCGGGTGCACTGGCGCTGAGGCATGGATTCCTCAGTTCTGCAGATGGGCACTGTGTGGCCGAGTCTGAATTTTAGTGGCTCCTTGAATTGGGTGTTGGAGGGGTTTGGGTCATCACTCCAGTGCAGCAGCTTTGGCTGCAGCCTGGAGATCCCTGACTGGGAGGTGGCCCTAGAACCTTTCCTTTTCCGTATTCTTGGAAGAGTGGTGCCCACCTAGGTCACCCCCAACCCCTCTCAGCCTCCTTGGAGTCCTGTCTATAACTCAGGGTTGGCCTCAGACACCCCTGGGACATGGAGTAGGATCTCCAACCCCTGTAGAGTTTTTGTGATCCTTTGGCAATGGCTAGCTCCGAGGGGCTCCGGTCTCCTTAGACTCATTATCTGCAGTCCAGGAGGCTTAGCGTTTAGTTCCTGGGGTTCTCTGGCTCATGGAGTTTCAGAACCCAAATGGGGAGGTGTAGGAGACCCATGAAGTGGAGCCCCAGCTGGGAATCTGAGCTGGGAGAAGGAAAAGGAGAGTGAAACTAACAGGGAATTTTGGCCTGGATCCCTGGAAGCCTGGAGGTAGTGATGGCTGAGGTCTAGAGAAGAGGAAGGGGACCTAAAAATTTGGGATACAGATAACATTAACATTCATGTACATTTATATAGTGTGTTGGTGTTGTTCAATAGGAGAGAAGCTTGGAATTCTAGCTCGAATTTAATTCCTAGGCCCAGTTGATTTCACTGGCAGAAAGATGAAAGATGTGTCCGGTGGGGAAGGCTTTGGCTGTGATCTGGGAGGAGAGGGCAGCTGAGCCTGGCTCTGTGGAACCTTTGTCCCCATGTGCATGAATGAAGGAGCAAGGGGCTTTGATTAGTTGGGTAACTGCATACACACATGCTCCTGCACAGAATGTTTTCACATGTACACATGTATCCTCTTTGTGGTGAAAGAGGCTTCGCTCAGGTAGGGTGCCAGAGGAAATCCCACTGCATGGCTCCAGAGACCAAAAAGATCACGAACTCCTGGCTGGTGGAGACCCTAAATCCGGCGGCCTGACTCCCTTTGGAATCGTCCCAAGCGGACTGACATTCTCCATCCTTAGCCTCTGAGCTGGGGAGGGTTGCAAACTCCAAAGTGTTGGCTTTTCTTCCCCAGAGCACAGAAGCACAGACATCGACCCAGTGACCAATACCATCAACATTGCATCCAGAAGACAAAGTGGTTCAAGCCGGTTTGGAGTGACCAGCTGCCTCTCGGAGAATCTGACAATCCCAGAACACAGTCTTAGTGATACACTGACACACAGATACACAGACACATCCTGCACACATTGATGCCCTCATTGATACCCACATTGATGGTGCGGGGACTGACATTGAGGCACTGTCAGTCCCCGCATCAACCCTCCAAGTGAGCACTAACCGGCCCGGGGCGCAAGCAGGCGAGAGTCAGGCGGAACCGGCAGCTCCTTGGAGGAGGCCCGGGCTTCCGGAGCCTCCAGGGCGGACTCGCACATCAGGCAAGCCCCGGCTGCGTCTCCGCCTGTAGCCTGTCGTCCCGACCCGCCGTGATGCCCCAGAGCCCACAAGCCCAGGAAAAGAGAACCGAGTCCCAAGGCCCTCGGGCACGTCCCACCCTAGCAGCACCCCGCCACCGTCATCCTCCTTTTCCGTTCCCACCGCTCCCTGCGGCTCGCGGGCTCCTTGCAATCCTTCACATCCCCGGGGGAAAATCCTCCAGGGCCGGGAGTCTTCCAAGTCAGCACCCGTCCCACGTAGACAGGCTGGCGCCTGCACCCGGAGACGCACTCAGAGACAGGCACGCTCAGACACCCGGACGCACGCACGGGGCACAGCAGGCCCCCGGACGAGGGCTTCCCTTCGGACCGCGCCCGTGGCTGGAGCAGCTGCAGTCTAGTCCGGCGCGAATCCCGCCTCTTGCGACCCCGGATCTCTGGGGGGTGTGCGGGAGGCTGTGCGGACTGGATCCGCCGCCGCCACTTTCAGAGAGGCGGGTCGGGGAAGGCGCTCAGCTGGGCTTGCCGGGAGCCTCGGGTCCTTGTGCGCGGGGACGGGTGGGAGCCTAGGCACCATTCCCTTGCCTCCTGGCATCCTTTTTCTTTCTTTGACATTTCCCATTCTTTTAGCCCTTCCTTCGTAACCTCTTTCATTTCAGAAAACTTTCTCCTTCTGTTTTGATTTCTCTTCTGTTTTTTATCTCGGCGCTGCCTGGCGGGGAAGGGCTGCCGAGCGGGGTCCCGAGGTGGCTGGAGTGTGCGGCGCGGGGGAATGAGACTCTGGAGTCCCCCGAGCCACCGCGCAGCACTAGGACCAGGGCCCGCTGCTCCGGGCTCTCGTCTTGACCGCTCCAACTATCCCGCTTTTCCCTTCCAGGTTCCCCCAGTGGCGAGGTTCGCTGGGGATCGGCGCCCCGCTGCGGGGGAACCGGCACCAGTCGGTTCTCCGGGAAGGGATCTCCGGGGAAGCTGAGCCTGGGCCCTGGACCCAGATCCCTCTTTCAGTGAACCAGGCAGGCTTCCCTCAGTCCCGGGTCTCTGGGCATTTCTGTGGCAGGACAACGCCCCTGCCTGTCAGAGGGCACTCGACTCCTACCCACTGCTTCAGCCTGTGCCCGCCCAGAGGCCTCTTGGACCCATACTGCAGTGGGAGCTGCCAGGAACCACGCCAGATCCACCAGGCTGGTCACTTGGCTTTCTCTGTGACCTGGAGTTGCAGCTTCTGCCACACCAGGCAAACCCCCTACTCTCTTGCTCTCTCATCCCCACTCCCCAAGCTCTTCCTGTCCTGGCTTCTGGAGACAGTGGGTTTAGAGTTTCTGGTCATTCCCTTGCAGGCTTTCAGGTGCAAAATCTGCACTCCAGGCCCTTCTGTTTTCAGAAAGGAAAACTCTGAACTGGCTTCTTGCGTAACCCTTCCCTCTGCAGCCTGCAGTCTGCTGGCCTGGCCTCCCATCCCAGAGATAGTTGTGTTTGGATTTGTTATGTAAGGAAGAGAAGATTAGAGGTTTGCTCTGCTCTTCCTCCCCCCCAACAAAATAAAAGTCCTCAAATGGCACATCCATTAGGCAGCATGGTTTCCAGCAGCCCTCCTAAAAGAAATCAATCTGGTTGGTAAAGCTGCTCTGTGCTGTTGCCTAGCCCAGTACACTCAGAAGACAATCCAGCTGCAGTGAAGGGACAGTTCTGCGTCCAGGGAGTACCTGGTCCGTGGAAGTAGCCCTTACTCGGCTTCCCAGGCTGGGCGTTCCCGGCCTAGAAGCCTAGCCTTATTTTGGCGAAGGCGGCAGCTACTACTGCTGAAATTTTATTCTTTCTATAGTTCCTGCCTCTTGGAGCATGTGTCCAGACCATGGAGAGCACCTCTTCCAACTGGGGAGCACATATTCCGTATCTCCTCCGCATCCTCCGTATGCCTCCTTCATTTCTGAACACCGTTACCACGTTCTGTCAATTTCCTGTGCCTCACACTTAGTCTTCTTAATGTCTTTCTCCGTTGTCTTACACATATTATCCTAAAAGATGCATACTAAAAGATGCATCTTATATTATCCTATCTTTTAGGATAATAAAAGATGCATTATATACATTATCCCAGAATGCCTCCTAAAAGATGCATTTAGATAAGAAAATCAGAGCTCAGTGTTCTCACTTGGAAGAAATAGAATACATGAAATAAGTTACTACTTCAATGTGGAAAATCACCTATATTAATGATTTGTTATGAAGCCAAACTCAGTTTTAGCTGCCTCTCTGCATTCTTTCATGTGAAGTTACTTTCATGAAATATACCAGCCACTCATTACACATTCTTTCGTATTTGTATCAAAAAGGGATGTTGTCTTTGGGCTGGAGGGACAGCTTTGGAGGCAATGGGAGGAGCCCTGGTACTTTCTGGAAGAAGCCAGTTTCAGCATAAGAAGGGAGATGAAATCCACAAGTCCAACATTTATATTGTTGTGTTTTCTTTTTTGGAGATCTGTATATCTTACCTAGGCTTGGACTCCTTGCAGTAAATGGACAGCAGGGTGGGAGACTACAAGGTGCCCATTTCAGAGCTTTGGAGCATGAGGCAGACATTGATCATAGCCCAGGACTCCATCGGATTCAGGAGCCACAGCTGCCCTTAGCTCACTCTTGGTGTCCCTTTGTTTCTTCTCTGGATCTGGCACCTTCACTTCCCTGCTTCTGCTGGTGTTACAGGTACCTGAGCTTTACTCTAGAGAGATCATGGACCTGGACTGGCCTGGGGGCTCACTTCTGCCTGTCCTGAGTGGACAGAGAAGGGATGTGCTTCCCATTGCAGGGCTTGACACCCATCCTCCTTTGTGTTCTGGGAGCCAGAGCATGGCACAAATGTCCCTTTCTGTGGACAATGGGCAGGAAGGTCACAAAGCAGAAGTGTAACCAAACTGTGAGATTAGTTTCATTATTACATTTCACTTAACTCTATGAAGCATGGGTTACTATTATCTGCAGGTCAGAGATGAGTAAAGCCCAGAGTGGTTACTATTTGCTCAGTGTCACCCTGTGGAGGAACTAGAACTTGAGTCCCCACCTATCTGGTGCTGAAATTTGTATTTTTGTCACCAAACTTCGTAAGTCCACTATGCCTTATCTGAAACACTCGGGTGGGGGGAAGTATGGAGGAGTGGGACATAGTCATCTTTGATGACAGTTTCCTCTCTAAATCCCTCTGCAGAGGGTAGTTACATTTACAAGGGTGTGCTTCATGTTCTCCAGCCATAAGATGCTCTCTTTGCATCCCCAGGCAAAGAGATGGGTGATGGGAATTTGGAGATGCACAAGTACAAACATGATGACAAGGGTGTCAGAGAGAAACTGCAGCTTTGTTGCTCATTTCAATCTCTGGCAGAGGAGTATGGTGGTGGGAAGTGTGTGTATGTGTGTGTGTGTGTCTGTGTCTGTGTGTCTGTGTGTGGTGGAGGAGGACACTTTGGGCATCATTGTCTTGGGACATTGGTACTGTTTGCAATTAATGAACAGTTAGTTCTTTCACCTTTCATCTGTTCTCAATTGAACTTACCAGTAAATATATCATAATTACCAGAACAAGTGTTTATAGAAGCAGCAGCCTCTAGGCGAGGCAATTTTTATGGAATCGCCCATAGTTTAATGAAAGCTATTTCTGGGGTAATGTTGAAGCTCTAGACCTGCACATAGATATGCATATGTTCTCAGAGCAGGTGCATGAATAAACATGCATGTGTATACACTCAGGCTTACACATATGGAGGCAGGCCTGCATACACATTGGAGCACAGAATCCACATGTGCTCATTTGCTAGATACAAACTCTCATATTCATGTGCCCACATACATGCACACAAACATATACACATACATTATACATGTATGCATATGTATGTATCCATGCCTATATGCATGCATGTCTAAATATTCATGCACATGCATTTACAGTGTGGATACAATGTTCACAATTATGTGCACATAAGTGTATGTATTTATACTCACATTGAGATACAATTGATTACACATGCTCTCCCAAAATGCATAGGAGTCCATGTACATCCTCACACGCACATGCATACATGCATGTATAACTGAACACGGGTGTTCACATTCATTCACAGACAAGCACCATGTAACAAGTGAAATGTGGTACTGGTAGGGTTAATGGAGGCCCCAGACTCCCATAAATATTTATATGAAGCACTCAAGCTCTCAAAGTGGGAGACAAAACCTCTTCCCACAAGGCCTTTTAAATCATGCAGCTGCTGCGTGTTACCTGTCAGATCCAGGGCTGTGCAGTCCAGCATTTGCTCCATGAGGGCGGCCACATACGTGCTGGAGCACACGGCACTCTCCTTGCCTAGCCAGGCATCCCAGCAAATGTGCCAAGGTCGGTCCCCACTCCTCGGATTCGCGAGCAGCAGAAGGAAGCATTTCAATGCTGCCGCTGCTGCTGCTGCAAGCACAGGACTGAAGGAATGAAGAGACATTATGTGAATATCTGAGACTTGGCTTCTCTGGTAAAGACAGATGCTATGCTGTTGTTATCCTGGAGGGACAGCATGTGGGGGCCTTGGTGAGAAGGGGGTGCAAAAATGATTAAGGGTCCTGAGCTGAATCCAAGTTTGGTGCAGTAGGGACTCCAGCCTCTGGAGCTGCTCTCACCCAGCAAAATTTTGGGTCCCAGGAGCCTACTGAATCACAGTTCTCCACAGTGCTATAACCTTTTTTTTAGTGAATACCCTGCTTCTAGTCCTACCACCTAAAACCATTCATTGGATCGTTGAACAAATTATTTGTCCTTCATACGTCAGGCCCTGTGCTAGGTGCTGGCAATATAACAATGAACCAAAACAGAAACAACGGAGTTTAAAATGTATTAGGAGAGAGAGACATCAGTAAGATATTGTACTAATGAGCATACAATTTCTTCCTTCTTCTTCTCCTCCTCCTCCTCCTTCAATGGAGTCTCACTCTGTCATCCAGGCTGGAGTGCAGTGACCATAGTTCACTGTAGCCTCAAGCTCCTGAACTCAAGTGATCCTCCCACTTCAGTCTCCTGAGTAGCTGGGACTTCAGGTACAAGCCATCAAGCACTGCCAATTAGTGTACGATTTCACAAAGAGATAACTGATACGAAGGAAAGCCACCTGGCTCTCTGAGAGCATGCATAGGACAGTGGAGCTGATGTACAGGAAGAGTGGTCAGAAAAGCCTTCCTGGAGGAAGTGATGTTTGAGCTGTTAAAGTCTGAATAAAAGTTAACCAAGCCAAAAAAGGAGCCAAAACACTCAAGGTCAGTGTCATCTGATAGAACTTTCTGTGATGAGAGAAATTTTCTTATCTGTGCTACCCAATAAGGTAGCCACTAGCCACAAGTGGCTATTAAACCCTTGAAACATGGCTCATGCAGCTGAGAATCTGAATTTTAAATTTCATTTAGTTTTAATTACATTTAAAATAAGTGATCAGAATCAGAATCTGTCTCCTCTGATTTTCTCTCCCTCTACTTTCTTGCCTTGCTCACTCTGTTCCAGCCACACTGGCCACCTTACTGTTTCTGGAAGAGGCTGGTTATGGCCCTTGCTTAGGGAATTTGCTGAAGCTCTTCCCTCTGCCTGAACCACTCTTCCCCCAGATAAACCTGTAGTGAACTTACTCACCTCCTTCAAGTTCTTGCTGAAATCTCACCTCCTTCATGAGGCTTATTTTGACTACCCCATTAAATTTGGGAACCTACCCCCTTCCCCCTCCCTGGGCACTGCTGACATGCCTTATTTTTCTTTAATATTTCTTTTCTTGTTTTTTTCTTTATTTCTTTTCTTATAGCACTAATCACTTTAGAATTTATCAGATTATTATTCACTTCTTGCTTATTTCCTGCTTTTGCCTGCCAGCATATAAGCTCTGTGAGATCAGTGTCTGGTGACTGTTTTGTTTACTGATGTTCCTAAGAACGATAAATGGTGCCTGGCACTTAGTAGGACCATAACAACCCAATAATTGGTTGAATGATCATGTGTTGTGTAAAATGTGCTTAAAAAGGAAAGGGGTAATATCTGTGAAAGCATGGGTTTGAGGTCCTGGCTCGCCCTATCAGTCAATCATTAATCTATCTGTCAATCATATCTATCAATCATCTATCTGTCAATCATTATCTACCTATTATCTATCTGTCATTCATATCTATCATCTATTAATCATCTCTCTGTCAATCATATCTATCAATCATCTGTCGATCATTATCTACCTATATCTGTCATTCATATCTATTATCTATCTGTCAATCATATCTATCTATCTATCTATCTGTTATAGTCTGTCTATCTATCTCTGTGTTTTTTGGTACTCTAAAAAATACGTACTGCTAAAAATTTTTTTAAAGCTTATTTGTATGTCAACCTCCAAAATCTTGTATACCATCAGTGGTGCACTTGGGGACACACTGTGGCGTCTGTGGAGAGAAAGAAGAAGTTGACACCTGATATGAGAGGTAGGTGGGGAGCGCTGGGGTGGGACTGCAGGGGAGGGGGAAAGGGAAAGGGAGGGGGCAAAGTAGAGCTCAATCTTGTTTTCTCCTAGATCCTGGTGGGTTTTTGAGAGAAAAAGGTGAGGGAAGGAGCAATCAGAGAAGGGGTTTGGGATTCCGAAGGCAAAGAGCTAACCAACATCCCACCTGCTTTCCAACTGCCCCTCCTACTTCTCCTACTCCTAGCTCTAACCTCATGCAAAATAAAAAATCCCCCCCCCCAAAAAAACCCAAAAAACTCCAAAACAAACCATTCCTCCTCCCTATGGCTTTCTGAGCTGAGAAGAAAGCCTCTTAAATACTTTTGTCCCCTTGACAAGTTATTTTTAAAAGGAAAGAATGTCTCTAAATCCAACATTTACGGCGATATTTTTTGAAAAGAAAACACTCCACAAATCAGCAGCTCTCTTGTTTTAAGCAGTTGCTAGGGTTTGGAGAGTGGCTGCTTGGTAAACACACTTTGTAAACACCCAGAAAAGATTGTATTCAGTGTCCTTAAGTCAAAATCAGCCTTCCCAAACTCCTACTTTCTGTTTCATTGACACAGGAAGAGGCTCTCTAAAAGCAGAACCCAGATGAAGGGTGGCTCTCAGGCTTCTCGGATGATATTTCTCTGGGTAATCAGGGCTGGGAGCCCAAACGTATCTGGGAGCAGCCATGTCCCCCTACTCCCCTTGTATTCCTCTAAAGATCTTTGGCTCTTTACCTCACACTGGAAGGGATCAGGTATAAATGTCACTAGGTCCATTTCACAGCTAGGTAAATACAGTCAGGGGAATCTGTCTCCAAGCAGAGCCGGGAGAGATTGTGTCTCCAGGTGCCTGCTAATACCACCAGCCCAAATAACCTCCTTGAATCCTTGTTTCAGTTTTTGAGAAACAAGCTGATTTCTTGGGGACAAATCTGTTTTTGTATCCCCTCTCAGAAGCACCTTCCTGTCTGTTTCCACCACCACATCTTAGTTTGGAGTATCCCCCCACTTCCTTCTTGGTCAATTCCCAGAGTCTTAGAACTCACCTCCAGTCCCCACCCTATTCCTCTAAGACTACCAGGGTCCTCTTTCAAACATGGATCATGTCACTGCCTTGTTTGCAAAATCAACAAGTCATTGGTCTTTGCCCCAGAAAAGAGCAATGCTTCAAAATTCAGTTCTGTTTATTGTCTGAGAGTCAGATTCCCCGACTCTATTTACCTAGCTGTGAAATGGACCTAGTGACATTTATATCTGATCCCTTCCAGTGCGAGGTAAAGAGCCAAAGGTCTTTAGAGGAATACAAGGGGATAAGGGGGACGTGGCTGCTCCCGGATATGTTTGGTTTCCCAGCCCTGATTGCCCAGGAAAAATGTCCTCCTGGAAGCCTGACAGCCACCCTTCATCTGGGTTCTGCTTTTAGAGAGCCTCTTCCTGTGTCAATGAAACAAAAACAGAACTATAGCTTTGGCAGTCCAAGATGCTGACGTCAGACTCTCAGGTGATTTGGGGAAGATTGAAGGGCAGAAGCTGAGTGCAAGAGTTTGCCCTGGCCCTCACATAATCTTCTGAAGGGGATCCATACTTGTCTGGCTGTTAGCTTGTCCAGCCTCTGTCTTCTTCAAGGTCAACAGAGAGTGACCTTGGGTTTTATATTTTTTGTATAATAGGAAAGTTACATATCATTTAGATTGTAGATACCATATGTCTCAAAGATCTTTCTTTTTCTCAAGGTCTCTGAAAAGGATGGCTCTCTTGTGTTCTTTTGGGAACTCACCTTCCTTTCTCTGTTGACATGGGGAAAGAGAGTATAAAAAAGAGAGAATGCTAAAATGGGTCAAAAACTCCAGCTCTCAAAAAAGTGGAAGCATTAGGCTGAACCCTATGAAATTGTTGATATGTAATAGGTTTATTCTGCATATGATAGACCTGTGAGCCCAAATGTTTTGAGGCATATTATCCAAGGGATTGTTTTTGGGTAGCAGAGGAATTGGTGATCACAAGGACCTAGAAATGGATCATTAAGAACACACCATGTCATACTCATTCTATTTTCATTTTGATAGGTAGATCAGGGTCTGTGAACACAAAGATCCTTATTTGACAGACACTTGCCATATGCCTGGCACTATTAAACGTTTTACCACTAACTCACATAACCTTCGTAATAACCCAGTGAGTTAGGGGGATATAATTATCCCTGTTTTCTGAATGAGGAAATGGAATCACAGAAAGGTTAAGCAACTTGCCCAAGGATGCACAGCTAGTAAATGCCAGTGCTAGAATTCAAACCCGGGAAGTCTGAATCTGGAGGCTATGTTGTTAATCTTTCTCCTTTTCTGAGGCCAGGGTTTGGATGATAGCTGAAGTTGGTGAATTTGTAACAGGCTGGAAAATGCTTCTGGGATTTTATTCAGTGGAGATTTAACTTTGAGAGGAGTGTCCCCCTTAGCCAGCTGTGCTTCCACTTCTTAAGCCATCTGTGCTTTGTTAGGGATATTGCCTTTAAATTAATTTTCTTGGCCTGGCATGGTGGCTCATACCTGTAATCCCAGCACTTTGGGAGGCTGAGGCAGGTGGATCACCTGAGGCCAGGAGTTTGAGACCAGCCTGGTCAACATGACAAAATCCTGTCTTTACTAAAAATACAAAAATTAGCCCAGTGTGGTGGCTCATGCATGTAATCCCAGGTACTTAGGAGGCTGAGAGGCAGGAGAATCACTTGAATGCAGGAGGCAAAGGTTATAGCTAGCCAAGATCGCGCCACTATACTCCAGCCTGGGTGACAGAGTGAGACTCTGTCTCCAAAAAAATATTAATTTTCTTTGGAAATACTGGCACCTGGTCCTCCTCAGAAACCACTGATTGCTCCCTATGGTAACCAGGACACATTTCCAATCCTTTAGCTTGGCCTTCAGGGCTCTGCAGCTTCAGCCCTTGCCCCTCCATTCTTTACTCTTCATCCTGTGCTCTGGCCAAACCAGTCTCCAGAAGCTGCCTGGAATTCAATGGCCTCCACACGTTTGTCTGAGTTGATTCCCCATGAAGCTCTCTGTCACTTGTAATCCTTCCCTCTTTAGGGAAGGATGCACCTTCTCCTGCATTGCTCCTAAAGGACGACATTTTCTTTCCTCTTAAATGCTCACTGGAGCCAGAATGGGGGTCTGGAAGAAATTCAGGTTGCAGAACCAGGTGAGGTAGGTATGGTAGATGTAGTTTTAAACCCAACTTCTCCTCTTCTGGCTGTGGAGACTGGAGCTGGTCACTTCATCTCTCTGAGCCTCCTTCGTTGCCTCTTGGTAAGGTGGGGAACATCTTGCTCATTTCTGATTTCAGGAGGGACCTTTGGAGACAGAACTTGTCCATGATGTTTTGTGTGTGGTGGCTGCTGTGATTGTGATGGGCATGGCTGGGCTTATCAGTGGTGTCTCCCCAGGAGGTGTAAGGGGGCTGGATCTGAGTGTATCAAAGTGTCTATGGCCAGGACTTACAGGAAGAGGCATGAGCTTAGGAAATACTCCTAGAAGCAACCTGGGAGGAAGAAAGCCCAGACTCTGCATGGCAGCTGGGGAGATTGTCAAACAGGTACAACCAGTTTTATCCTCTGGCCAAGATCTCTGGTTCAATTCACACTGAAATTAATTGGCAGGGAAGGAAGACCTTGGAAGGTGGTGTGCAAATCCCAGCAGGAGCTCCTGGGAAGTGGGATTTACAGCTGTGAATGTACATTGAAAGGAATCTGGAGTTTCAGTCCTGAGTGCAAATATTCTTACCCCCACACCCCCACAGTTTTTGTCCAGATGCTCAGAGCCCTGGCTGGGGAACGAAGATTTGCATAGTTGCAGCACAGACTTGCTTCCCACCTTGGGAACTGCTTTATGGAGTCCTGAGACCAAAGGCCTGGATCCCTAACTTATTGATGACACAGCCAGCTTTTGGTGTCCATGTTGCTGTGAGTCTGTGTGGGTTAAGTTCATCCTGGTATGCATGTGTGTGTGTGCACATGGGCTCATGGAAGAGTGTGTGTGCACATGCATATACAGCCACAGAAAAGCACTGTGCCTCAGTGGTTAAGATGGGGAGACTGAAGTCATCGTGCCTGGGTTTGACCATCACCTCTGCACTTACTGGCCCTGTGACCTCACACGTATTATGTCACCTCTCATGGTTTCAAATTTTACATCCTGTGAATGGAACTATACTACTGCCAAGTGTTAAAGCTCTTGTGAAAATTAAATGAGATAACGCAAATAAAGTGCTTAGCACAGTTTCTGATGCATAGTAAATGCTCAATAAATAGTGATTGCCATTTTCATTGTGTTGTAAATATAACATAGGCATTGTGAAGAAAAGCGCAGGCTCTGAAACTTGAGTGTTACCTCTAATACACTATTTGTGTGATCTCGGACAAATTACTTAACCATCCATGTCTCAGTCTCTTCCATAAAATGGGGATAATACTTGTGCCTACTCCATAGGATTATTATGTCATAAAGTGCTTAGAACAGTGTCTGGTGGATACATGGGCCTCTGCTATTATTGCCATCACGGTCGCCATCATTGCCACCACCCACCTTCTTCTTCTTTTTCTTCTTCTTCACTGCCATAATCATGACCTTGCCAGCCATGATTGGTGCCCACTTACTCCTCTAGAGGACAATCTGCTGGTGAGGAGATCTCTAAGGCGCTTGGTCCATGCTCAGATCTTAGAGAAGGGCCCAGTTAAGTTCCCAAGTGTCATCTAGGATAGCATGTAGCCTTGAGTTCAAGTCCTGCCCTGCTGCTTTAGGCCCTCTTTGCACAAAGTGCAGTCAGCTACAGCTGTCCTTCTCAAGGCACTCTGAATGGTGAGCAAGGAGCCGGCTCCTGACCCACACTCTGCCTTCTGGTAATGACACTTGGCTCCATCCCCTGCCAGGAGAGCTCAGCTGGCCCAGCAGCCTGGGCCCTCAGCGCTCACTGCTCACTGTTGTCCACTCTTGGCTCCTTGTAAAGGATCTTCATCCAGCACTTAGGAGAGCAGAGGCTAACCTTCCTTGGACCCAGGCAGGAGGTTCTTACTGGGGGTGGGGTGGTCCTCACTTTGGCATATTAGCAAGACCCTGGCTTCTGTAGATTGACACTCCTGGCCTGAAATTCTGGCTTCAACCCCTGAATGGCCTGGGGAGGCCGGGTAATCTCTCTAAGCCTCACTTTCTGCATATGTAACATGGATAGAATCATGGTAATCTGGTAAAGTGGTAAATGAGAAATGAGGGGTGAATGGGAAAATGCACATAAAGCATAAACACAGTGCCTGGCACAGAGGGGGTGCTCATCAGCAAATACAGCCCGCTCTCTACCTTCCCCTCCTAACATCCTTCCCATCCTAGGGGAGTTCCATGGGACAGGAGATGGTGAGAAGCTTGAAGGGGACAAGGGGGCTAAGACATGCTCCCCTAAAAGCAGGGACAAGTGTGGGTTCCTCTGAGGGTGAGATTGAGGATGGGCCAGGCCTGAGCCCAAGGTCTGTTGAGGCCTATCCCTCTCTCCAGGGTGTGTGCTCACCATGCCCTTCCTGGTGTCCCTGGGATCCAAGAAGGTCATGGACAGGTATATGGGCCACTGCCCAAGAGTTTGAGAGTGAAGTGTATATGTAAGTTACTAAGAACACGCTCAGCTTCTGGCACAAATCCACTCATTCACTCATCAAACACTCGGCGCCTGCTCCACGCTCAGCCCTTCTGCACTCCTGACTTTGCTGATTCTCGTACAACCCAACCATAACTCCATGTGACTGTGAGTGGGGGCTTCCAGAGCCTGGGAGGTTTGCCAAGTCCTCCTGCTAAGTGGCTGAGCTAGGATTTGAACTGAGATCTGTCTCACCACAAGGCATGTGGTGATGGCTCCAGAGTCTCTGTCTTCCTGGAGTCTGGCATCTTGTGAGGGATGTTTGAGCCTTATGGAAACTCAGGGTGCAGGGTCAGGAAGGTGGATAAAGGACATGGAGTGGGAGCCAAGAGGAGGATAAGAGCTGGTGGGGAGGATGGAGCAGGCTTAGGAGAGGAGGCAGCCTTTGGGTTTGTCATCAACTTAGACAGATGGAGCTGGGGGACAGGGCTCTCAGTGGAGGAATTAGCCTGGGTGAAAGCTCACAGGTGGCAATGGAGGGAGTTTCCAGAACAGCAAGTAGGCCCCATGTGGCTGGGGAGTGAGGTGCTGGATAACTGGAACTGGGAAGCAGAGGCTGCACACAGGTCCTAAGGGACCTTGAGAGCCAGGGTAAGGAGCCTGGTTATCACCCTGCAGGGATGGAATGCTGCTGCCATATTTCTGCTGTGTGACCCAGCCCATGGCCACAGTTGTTTGGAGCAAGTTGGGCCAAAAGCCTCATCTTTCCTTGGAAATTGGTGTTTGAATTCTGGGTACTGGTCAGAGTGTGGTGGGAGCTTGAATGGGAAAGGGTGAGAACAGGAAGCCAGGAAGCCTCACCCAGGCCTTGTGCATAAGGAGCCACAGAAAGGCTCTCTGCAGAGAAGGAGGGGCAAAGCAGGCATGTAGAGAATGCAGAAGAGGTTGGAGATGGCTTAATGAAACTGTATAATAGAGTGAGCCAAAGCACATTAAAAATTAGTTTAAAAAGACCCCCCAAACAGAAAACAAAAACAAAAGGCAGAAAATAAAAGCAAGGTAGATGAGTCCAGATTGAACTAGAAGTGACATGATGACATAAAAGCTGTGTTGAGATGGGCCAAGAGTTGATGCTGGGCCTCCTAGTGGCCAATGGGAAGAGGGAAAAAAGATCAACTGTGAGACCCATGGTGTTTCTCAAGGAAAAGCAAACCCACTGCTCAGGAGAGATGTAAGTATTGCTGGTTCTGGGCTGGAAAGAAATTTCTCTGGCGGCTCGTCAAATACCTGGGCAGATTTTTGTTCAGAGGGGACATGGGTAGAAGCAGCAGAATTTACTCTGGGAATCAGAAGACTAGATACTGGTTCCAACATCATACATGAACTTGGGAGGTTGCTTAGCCTGTCTGAGACTTAGTTTCCTGTACTGTAACATAGAGGCACATGCTGTAGAGGGCCATGAAGGTGATCTGACAGATGCGATGAAGTAGCAGGGACACAGCAGCTAGTCAGTAAGGCTAGCCTGCTTTATTCCCTCCCTCCAAAAGCTGCCTCTCTTTAATTAAACTTTTTATTTCTCTTTTACCCTCTCCTGCCCTGGGCCAGCTCCTCCTAAGGTCTACTCACTGCCTCTGGGACCAGGACACAGCCAGGCTGCTGCTGGCATGGTGCCTCCTCAAATCAGCAGGGCCCATAGCTCCCTCCTGGGCCTGTGTCCACAGCTGACTGCTCTGCAGAGCCAGGCTCTGCCAGCCTGCAATCTCCTAGAGCCTCCTCTGTGCCCAGCCCTGGGCGGGGCTGAGAACTGTGCCCCCAACCCAGTCCAGCCCCCATCACGTGCTCCGTTAGCACCCTGTACACCTCTTTCCTGCACAAATCCCAGGAATAGATAAATAATTATCTGCTAGAACACACGTTTCACAGGACAGGGATGTATGGGGTGCCTGGTCAGCACTTGCAGCAGAGTGGGTGCTGTATGTTGCTGGAATGAATGAATGGAATGAATTGAGTAAAATTTTGTCATGGCTGGTCCTGTGGGGTCAGGAGATCGCTGTTTCCATTTTATAGTTAAGAAACTTCATTTCCACCTCTTTACCCATTTCTACTTGCCTTTCAGGCTACTGCCAAAATGTTATTCCCTTAGGAAGGCAAGGACTAAAGCTTTAGATTGGGTCAGCTACTCCCCACCTCCACCATGGTTAAACCCCCATGTTTCCAAGATTTGCTCTGATTCCCTTGTAGATATATTCATCTGCTGGGCACTGTTAATTTGGATTTATGACCTCTTAACTCCTAACACCACCACTTACATAATGTGCAGGGCCCAGTGCAAAATGGAAATAAAATAAAATTTTGTTTAAAAAGTATTAAGACATTCAAGATGGCCAAAGCAGAACATTAAACCAGGCATTGCCCTTTCTAACTGCAGAGTCCTGTGTGACTATGCAGGTCGCATGCCGGTGAAGCTGGTCCTGTCTCTGTGGCAGCATGGACATTGTAGGTCTGGTTTACTGCTGTCTCCTCCTGGCCCAAGCCTCATGCAGTGCCTACTTCTCACACACATCTCATTTAAACATCAAATGAATCAATGACAGAAGATGTAAAAATAGAAGTTAAATAACCTTAGTTTTAGCTTTCCCATCTGCAAAAGGGGATTATCTTTCTTCCCTCATAGGTAAGCAGTGATGACTCTGAGCCTTGGGGCCACCAGATCATGTTACACATGTACTGATTCATCTGGGACCACATGTCTGGGTGGCTAGAGGACAGAAGTCAGCTCTGCGTGGGGCAGAGTGAGGCTGACCTGATAAGATCAGTGGACTCTGCTCTCTCCAGGCGGCCAGCAGGCCTCCTATGACATACTCCTATCTGGCTGGAGCCCAGGGAGCGGGGATGGGCTGTGGGCTTCCTCTTCTTCATAAACCCTATTTAGTGAGCACCTACCATGTATCAGGTCCTGCAATAGGCACTTTGGATGCATTATCTTTTATCTGACTTCATTTTGCAGAGGGGCAAGTCAAGGGTCAGAAAGTAACAATGCCATGTCCAGGGTCAGGGGCAGTCAGCTGTGGAAGCCGGATCTGCCACGGCCTAGACCAGGGCTTGCTGAGAACAAATAATGTGCACTGAAAGGGGGATTTGTGCATAGAGCTCTGTGTGTGTTGCTTGTGCCTGTGTGCAGGACTCCAGAAAACATCCCGTGTTTTGGCTTTAGATGCTGCTGACTTTCTCTGGGGCCCAAGCAGCGACTCTCCAGGCAGACCTGCTATGTCCCTGGGGCTGGAGGGAGCACAGATTTCCCACCAGCCTTGACTCGAGTCAGTATCAGGAATACCCAGTGGTACTGAAACTGTAAGACAAACATTGCTGATTTTCCTGGTGTAACGTTTTTACACAGACTTTTGTCATATATTTCCTTTTTTGTCTTTGTTTTTTTCTGATTAAAGGAGTAATAGTTTGTTAAGCTTAAACTTGCATTAAGACTTTTGGGATACTTGTATAAGCTTGTTTTAAAAAACTAAGAAAATGTACAATGTAAACAGAAAAAAAAAGACTCAGAGTCCTGAAACTCTTTTCTCCCACTACAAAGCCATCATGAACTTGTATATGCACACACGCACTATTACACATATACCACACACATGCACATATACACCCCCCACATGCACACACACCACAGAAACAGACACCATGTATACAATCCACATAAACCACACACTCTCACATACATCATCCCTTCACACACACATATATGTGTACACACACCATGTGCACACACACTATTACACACACCACACACATGCACACATGCACCCCTCCACATGCACACACACACCACAGAAACAGACACCATGTATACAATCCACATACACCACACACAGTCTCACATACACCATCCCCCAACACACATTTTTGTACACACACACCATGTGCACACACACACTATTACACACACCACGCACATGCAAGTGTACCACAAACACTACACACACGCACACACACTATGACACACCATACACACGCACACACACCACACACATGCCACTTGCACATACACATTATACACACATACCACATACATAAGCCACATACATACCACACATATACACACATATATGCACACATATACACCACAGATGCATACATACTGGACATGCACACACACACCCCACATGCACACACACCCCATACACACACAAACACGCAGCACCTGCATACCCACACATACCACATTTTTTTCACTCTCTTTTCTTTTTTTTTTCTTTTTTTTTTTTTTTTTGAGACGGAGTCTCGCTCTGTCGCCCAGGCTGGAGTGCAGTGGCGGGATCTCGGCTCACTGCAAGCTCCGCTTCCCGGGTTCACGCCATTCTCCTGCCTCAGCCTCCCAAGTAGCTGGGACTACAGGCGCCCACCACTACGCCCGGCTAATTTTTTGTATTTTTAGTAGAGACGGGGTTTCACCGTTTTAGCCGGGATGGTCTCGATCTCCTGACCTCGTGATCCGCCCGCCTCGGCCTCCCAAAGTGCTGGGATTACAGGCGTGAGCCACCGCGCCCGGCCTTCACTCTCTTTTCAAAGACTATAGAGGTCAAAAGCTGACTGCCTGCTTTGAAAACTGGGATTTGAATGTTTTTACACGGAGCTTACGCTGTGCAGTTTGACACAGGCCTCACTTCTCCCTGGAGCCTCACATCTGTCCACTTTCTACCTTGTGCCTTGAAAACATTTGCATTTTAAAACTTGGCAAGATGGCTACTTTAAAAAAAATGGGTCCAATCCATACTTGATGCTATGACACCCACTTTTTTCTTTTGCTTAACAATGTGTTTGGGACATCTCGTCTGTACAGAGTCTGACCTCATGCTTTTTCACAGCCGCTCGGTGTTCTGAGAATTTGCAATGTGAAACATTGCCCTTTATTATACAACAGCAGTGGGCATCCTCTGGATTAGGAAGTGTAAAACAGGAGACTTCAAAGCCATGCCTTGCACTGTGCACCGTGGTCAGGCTCGCAGAACTGTGGGGGGCTGTGTGCGCTGGCTTTAACTTTCAGGTGAACCTGGGTGGGAGGCTCTGGGCCCTCGGGAAGGGGCACGGGGCTGGGTTCTGCATGCCGGGACGCCCTCTCTTACACACTGATTTCCACTTTCTTGCTCCCACATCCACACTCTTTCCTACCCACAACACAGTCCCCCACCAGAACCTAGTCACAGTCCCTGATACCAGTATGGGTTTCCTTGCCACACACCTGCCTGCTGTGGTAATTGTGCACCTGACCTCCAGGTTGTGGAGAGGGCAGATTGAAACTTACCGAGCCCCTACTGCATGCCCCGCTGTCCTAGGAGCCTCGTGTGTTATTGTGTGGTCCTCAAAAGGTTTACAGACAAGGAATCTTAGAGGCTTAGACAGGGAGCTGCTTCCACACAGACACACAGCGGGTCAGTGGCAGAGCCTGGTCCACACCTTGCTGCCCTTTTGGATCTGGGAGAAGTTGCCAAACCTGGCCAGATATGGGATCTGGGGCCCTTAGTGGAGCTGTCGCTTGTCCATCGTGGGTCCAGCTGTCTTCAGCCTCTTTTAGCGCCCAAAGCCCCAGAAGAGACACTCACTGATGCGATTCCACCACAACAAATTGAGAGCCATGAGGGCCTGTTTCCATTATCCCCCTAGGCTAGGGGCAGAATAATGGTTTTCCAAAGATGTCCACATCCTAATCCCCAGAACCTGTGAATATGTTGCCTTATTGTGGCAAACAAGGACTTTGCAGATGTGATTAAAGTCAATGACTTTGAGATTGGAAAGATTGCCTGGATTATTTGGGTGGAACAAATGTCATCAACATGGTTCTCAAAAGTGGAGAACTTTCCCAGGTGTGGTCAAAGGGAGATGTGGCCAGGGAAGCTGGGTTAGAGAATGCAATGGTACTGGCTTTGAAGATGGAGGAAGGGAGGCACGAACCAAGGAACGCAGGTGGTCTCTATAAGCTTGAAACAGCAAGGAAATGAATTTCCCCCTACAGCCTCCAGAATTGAAGGTTGCACTGATGACACCATGAATTTAGCCCAGTGAGACCTGTGCCAAACATCCAACCTATAGAATTGTAAGGAAAGCTATAATATAGAGCTACCATTTATCCAGAAAGATTTGCTCATCCACGGGGCCCTTCTCCTATCATACCGCACACATGTGCATGAATACAATTAGTGCTACCAGTGAACTTGGAATGAATGCTTATGGGGTCAGGCATGTTTCTAAGTAGTAATCATGGTCATGATAATATTATTAATACTAATTCTATTAATACAGATACTAATGATAGTAATGATGTTGAACACTTCAGTCATGCCCACCACCTGCCTTCTGCTAAGTGCTACGCATTTATTAAATCATTCAATCCTTATTGCCATGCTAGGAGGCAGGTTACTCTTCCTTTATCCATTTTATATCTACTCATTTTACAGGTGGGGAAACCAAGACACAGAGAGGTTAAGTAACTTGCCCAGGGTCACACAGCTGAGAAGAAGTGGAGCTGGGATTTGAACCGAAGCCATCTGGGTTACATTTACTTACTCATACAGTTACAGACACGCATCCCTATACATTCACACTCACAATCACGCACACACATTTCATGCTGTTCCAACCAGCCTCCCTTCCCAGACTCTGCTCCCCTCCCCCGCCTTCCCCCCAACAACCTCTATCACTGGCTAAGGGGCATGAAGCACCAGGTAGATAAAACAGTCTGGAATCCCTGGCTCTGAAAGGGGTTTTCTAAGACAGGTCATGTCAAAGCTTCAAACAATGTATCTGTCAAGAAAAAAAGTTGCTATTTTTTTTCCTGAATTTTACATCTCCTTTTATGAAACTTCACTCATTTCAACCAGATGATTGGTTCCATGTGTAATTTAAACGTGAGTCAATGTGTCAGATTTGGCAGAATTGTTTAGACCTGTCAGCTCACAGAAGAGGGAGGGACATTTTGGGATGTCGTGTCCCTGCACTGTGGTAGGGTCTGAAATGCAGTCCCCTTGTCCGGAACAGCCTGCCCTGCCCGCCTCCCCCCCTCCCAACCCCAGGGCCCCTTGCTGGGCTGGCTGGGCAGGCCAGCGGACTGCAGAGGTAATTGGTGCTTTCAGACACTCCAGGAGTCGCCGCCCCACCTCCTTACCTGCCTCTGGGGCAGGGACAGGCCAGGCCAGGCCAGGCCAGGCCATCAGGTCCTCTGGGACCGGTTGGGCCGGTTTGGAGGTGATTATTACCAGGGCTCTCTGGGAAGAGATGGAGACCCAGAGGAGGAGGAGGGAGGGGATGGAGGAAGGGGTGATGGGGATGGGGAGGATGGAGACGGGGAGGGTGTGAGGAGGGCAAGGGGGATAGGAATTGGGTAGGAATGGAGAAGACAGAAAGCCATTTTGAAAAGCTCCCCCTAAATCACCAGCAGCCCACAAGATGAGAGTTGAGCCCCGCCCTGCTTCTGAGGCTTTCCACTCAGTCCAGTCCGGGGTGTGGGGGACCCTAATTGAGTCTGAGATGCCTTGCGGGTAGGAGGTAAGTGGGGCATGGAGTCCAGTCCACGGGGATCCTGACAAGTGATGGGCCTGCCTACACAGCCAGTTACCTGGGCAATCTGGCTGAACACAGTCACCTGCCTTCCTGTTTCGAGCCACTTTGGACCTAATTACCAAATAATTAAGGCCCAAGTCATTTTCCACTATTATTCTCCATTGTCCAATCTCATTTATCAACCCCCAGCTGCCTTCTTCTGACCCACTTAATTTTTTCCTCTCCCTCCCTTCTCTCTTCTTCCAACACACACCACACAGCTGGCCCTGTGCTGGGGCTCACAGCCCAGGGGCCAGCGCTCAGCCTCCCTGGTCGAGGGACTCACAGAAGGCATCTCAGGGGTGGGGATGTTTGAGCTGAAAGATGAACGAATGTGGAGAGAGGGTGACCACATGGGGCCAGCACAGGGAATATCCACTGAGTTCTCACTCCATGCCTGTCGCGCCTCATATCCCTTCTCAGGGAATTCCTTTGAAAACAGTATGAAGTAGGCCTGGTGGCTCCAGTTTTACAGTTGAGGAAATCAGTGTTCAGAGAGAGGGGATGACGTGCCCAAGGTGACACAGTTGGACCCAGGGACAGCGGTGGGATTCAGATCCCCATAGGGCTGACTCAAAACCCCATTGCCCAATCCACTGGAGATCCTCCACTGGGAAGGGTGTTCCAGGCTGGGGAAACTGAATGCACAAAGGCACAGGAGGGTGAAACCACGCGGGAGTTTAGAGAAGCTCCAGTGGTTCTGGACTGTTGGAGTGTGCCTTCTCCCCTGTGGGAGAGCAGTGTGTGTGAGGGCCATTACAGGGTAGAGGCCAGAGTAAGACAGACCTTGACAGCCAGACTACAGAGTTTGGGCTTTGTCCAAGAGGCACCAGGGAGTTTAACCTGAAAGCACTGGAGGCCTAAGAGGCAGGATGCCTGGTGCTTGGAGGCAGACAGGCAGGGTTTGAATCCTGACACAGCCTGTCTTACACACTTACTGCTGCTCGACCATCAGCAAGTCTCTTCATCTCATATTGCTCCCCATGAGGCGATAATAGCACCTACTTCCTGGAGTTGTCCTGAGCATTGAAGAAGTGTGGTGTTCAGCACAGAGCCTGGCGTACAGTAAGGGCTGACAGTTATTTTTTCAGAAAGCTAACAACAGGGGCTGGTATGGGGAGTTGTCAGGAAGCCCTAGGAAGGGTGGTTTTGATTTCCAGAAGAGAGATACCGAGGCCTCTGGAGGCTGAGATGGGGAGACTTCTACAGCTCAGGGTGAGAGTGGGCCTGCAGGTTCTGAGAGGCTGGGCTGGGGACAGTTGTCTCCCAACCCCTGTGCCCAGTCTTCTTGCCAGGAGTGATGGGGGGAAAGACAGAGATGCCAAAGGTCATCCATGGGGACCCAGCTCTTCCCAGGGAGCAGATGTCAGTTGCTGGAGCTGACAGTTCCAGGAGGAGGGCAGAGAGCAGCCGGAGCCTCTGTTCACCTCCAGTGCTGGGGGAGGGGCAGAGCTGGTGCTTCAGGTAGGCTGGATATTCCTGCCCTTGCTCTGTGTGCACAAATTTGGCCTGGTCTGAGTTTCATGGCCGCTGGACCTTTTCTGTCTCTGCCTGTTCAGTTGAAGAGGTGGAGATGTTTCAAGAAGTGCCATGGCAGCTGGGTGTGGTGGCTCACACCCGTAATCCCAGAACTCTGGGAGGCCAAGGCGGGTGGATCACGTGAGCCTAGTAGTTCGAGACCAGCCTGGCCAACGTGGTGAAACCCCATCTCTACAAAAATGCAGAAAAATTAGCCAGGCATAGTGGTGCATGCCTGTAATCCCAGCTATTCAGGAGGCGGAGGCAGGAGAATCGCTTGAACCTGGGAGGCAGAGGTTGCAGTAAGCCAAGATCACTCCTCTGTTCTCCAGCCTGGGCGACAGAGCAAGATTCTGTCCCCCCTCCAAAAAAACCAAGGCAATGCCATGGTCAGGAGGCTGGCCTCCTGCAGGGGTCCCTGGCATGTGCCACAGGAGCACCCCTGATCCACTGGGTAGCTCCCGAGGGCTACATCCTCACAGAGTGGCTTTGGTTAGTTTGAAAGGGGACTGACTGCTTGCTTAAGTACAGAGATCACACCCATGAAGCATCTTTGACCAGGGCCAACTTCACCAGCAGGCACAGTAGGCACTGTACCTACAGCCTGCAATACTTTCAGGGGTCCAAGGAATTGTTTCTATTTCTTTAAAATCAGCAGAAAAAATGTTAATATAATGCATCCTGGATTATATTCATCTTTATATTAATAGCCATAAATTAGAATTTTAGCATATTTTCATAAAGAAAGGGGTCCATAAAAACAAAAGTTCCTAAGGGCCCATGAAAATCATATGCAGCCTGGTCTTTGCACTTCCTTCTCCTGCAGGACAAGATCCCAAGAGAGACAAAGAACTCAGGTGTTGGATTCACATGGAACTGGGTTCAAGCCATGATTCTATTACTTACAAGCTTTGTGACCCTGGCTAAGCCACTTAACCTCTCTGAGCCTCTGTTTCTTCATCTGTAAAATGAGATAAAGAATGAATGGAAGGCCTTTAGCAAGGGTGCCCCTGAGTACATAAAAAGGATCCAAAGTACCAAAGCTGCCAAAAAGCTATCAAACCTATCAAAAAAGGCCATCAGCCTGGTGGCCAAGACCATTCTGAGCATCTGCTATGGGTCAAGCTGTATCCTGGGTACTCTTATCATTTGGCCCCTGCCTGTTCCTGTCTCTGCAGACCCTGGTCCCCAGCCCGCCCATGTCTGGATCTTCATCACCCCACTCACCATTCCTGTCTTACAAAGACCCTAAGATTCCTTGTCTAATTTCCCTTTCTTTTCTTTATCTTCACTTCCTTACTTGCCACTGGATCCTTGGAATCTTCTCCCTGACCTGGGCAGGCAGCCCTACCTGACCCAATGGAGATCAGCTATCATCTTCTCACCTTTTTCTCACTGCAGGAGGAGCTGCCCCAAACTGTATTCCACCCTCACTCCCACATCCCAGTGAGTCCCAGCTGGACACAAGACCCACCACTTCCTTCTCTTCTGCAGAGCCACATCCAAATTCACCCCCAAAGTTGTCTTCTTTAACTTTTCCCCAACAATCTGCAGAAACGTGGGTCAGGTAACCTCCCATTTGAAATGTTGACAACTCCACTTCTTAATAAAATAAAAGCCTGCTTTCTATCTTTTTCCTGCCAAAGGCATCATGAATGATTGATTGATTGATTTAAAGAAATTAAAACATGTCACATAATTTTATAAGCAACTTAACCACCCGTACTGGAGTCTGGACACCTGACGTAAAAAAAAAAAGCTTTATTTTTTTATTTTTTATTTCATTTATTTATTTAGTATTATTATTTTTTGAGACGGAGTTTTGCTCTTGTTGCCCAGGCTGGAGTATAATAGCGCTATCTTGGCTCACTGCAAACTCCAGCTCCTAGGTTCAAGCGATTCTCCTGCCTCAGCCTCCAGAGTAGCTAAGATTACAAGCATGGGCTAGCTACCATGCCCGGCAAATTTTGTATTTTTAGTAGAGATGGGGTTTCCCCCTGTTGGTTGGGCTGGTCTCAAACTCCTGATCTCAGGTGATCCACCTGCCTCGGCCTCCCAAAGTGCTGAGATTACAGGAGTGAGCCACTGCACCTGGCAGATTCCAGCTTTAAATGTGGAAATAAATATTTTTCAATACCAAAATCATATAAGATATGAAAAAGGTGAATAATGAGCAAAAATAACTTTTTTTCCCTTTTAAATGGCACTAAGAACTTGTTTCTGGAGCTGAAGATTTTTCATGGCTGTATCTATGACTTAAAATAGAAGAAAAACACAAAAAGTAGGTATACAAAAGTAACCATGAATGCAGTCAAGGACACTAGGTCAATGAGTTGGAAGTTGACTTTTCCCCTTGACACATGTACAGCCAAATCTAAAACCCTCCCCTCATTCTCATCTGCTCTTAGGCACTCAGAGCCCTCTAGACCCTGGTCCAATTCATCAGCAGCTTCTTCTCAACTTGCACTTCATACATGCTCCACTTGATGAACCCCATATTCTTCCTTCCCAAGACAAACCTCTTTTCCCTCCCTGCTCTACATGCTCCGCCTGGAACAACCTCACTCCCTGGTCCTCTTAAATATAAGTCCCCTGAGGACAAAAATCTTACATCCTCACTGATGGATCCCAATCTCCTAGAACAGTACCAGGCATGTGATAGATGGTTATTAAATATTTGGAGAATGAATGGCCAGCCCAGAAAACTCCTATGTAAGCTTCAAAACCTCAATCAAATGGAGTCTGCTTTTTGTGCTACCCTTGGCCCCCTGGCAATGCCTGACACTGTAGTTTCTGTTTCCACACTGCTTTGTGTTGACTCCTCTTAGTGCACATTTTACGTGTCTGCAAATTAAGAGACATCTTGGCCGTTGGAGCAGACAGACCCCACTTCCAGTCCTGCTTCTGACACTTCATTCATTTATTCAACTCACTCATTCAACAAAGATTTACTGGGCATCTACATCTGTTGTACCAACCATTGGGAATTAAATGGTGAGCAAAGGCAGATTAGCACCTGCTCCTCATGGAGCTTCCCATAGGCATGCCCATTAGCCTTGCTGTGTCTCTGTTTCCTCAGCTGTGACACAAGTAATGGCCCCTTCCTGAGAGGATTGTTGAGCAGATTAAATTGGGAGGTGCAATAAGGCACTCAGTGCATGGTAGGTGCTCAGTAGATTTTGCCCTCATTGGGGACTGAGCTATTCCTCAGGGTCAAGGAAGGATTCCCATTTCTTTCCTCTTTCCGTGGGCACAGAGGAGGTAGCAGTAGATGCTGGCTAGTAATGAGGACGGTGGAGCTGCACTTGGTGCCTGTCTCTCTGTGGCTCTCTCTGGCACACACACACCTACACAGACACACAGACCCACACACGCATACAGAGAAAGAGAGAGAGAGAGAAAGAGTCAGATCCAGCCTGTCCTTACCACACTAGCTCTTGCAAGGCCCAGAACAATCCTTCACCTCTGAGTGGGCCAGTGCTAGGGACAAACAAGAGTCTCTAGCACATTGGGACAAAAACCCAGGATTCCCAGGCCTGGAAAGGTGCAGGATTGACCAGGGGGCATAGTATGCCGCATCCCTGACCCAGGTGGCTGAGGCTCCAGAGATGGTGCGCTTTCACCCAATTTCTCAGTATCTCTGGGGACAGTGATGCAGAGCAGTTTAAAAAATTACCCTCCATCCTGCGATCCACCCCCACACCTATGCCTCTGTCTGGCCATTCACACTCCAATGCCTGACATGTGACCAGATGGCCACAGGCCTGTTCCCTTGAGCAAACAGCAGTGCATGTGAGCAGTGTCTGGCCTCAGGCTTGGACATGGCCAGCTGGCCACTCAGGACTCTTGCCCCACTCTGCAGGAGTGGAGGGGTAGATGGAGCACTGGGACACCTGGTTTCTAGCCCTAAGCTCAACCTCAAGGCAAGGTCTGATGTGTATCCCTTTTTGTCTCTAGGTCTCCTCAGTTTCCCTATCTGTATCAGGCAGGGTCTGGCTGGCTGGTTGGAGAAGTAAGCCTGAGAGCCTTTTTAGCCCCTGTGTTTTTCTATCGTATTCTTGGGTTCAGGGCAGAAATAAATGCATGGGCCTTTCAGATTTAGATTCTGGGCACCTTGGACACCTGCCATAGGCCATTCTCAGCAATTGCTGGGATCATCTCCAAACTTATTTCATTCTGAGTTTCAACCTCTCCAACCTGCTGTTTTCCTCAATTCCCTCTAAGACTTTTAATGTTCTTAGGAACCTTCCAGTGGATGTGGAAGAGTCTGAAAAGATGAGGGTGGTGAGAACCCTCTGGACCAAAATGGAGCAGTGTCTCATATCTAGGAGTTGGGGTTGAGGCCTTGGGAGGTGTGGTTAGAGGGGCATGGTGGAATTCAAAGGGTTCAGATTACATAATTTTATTTGAAATTATTATATAATTTCATATTTGGAAAGATTTGAAAATGACAAACCTCAGAAAATAATAAAGTCAAGACTTTCTCTGCTGATTGGGACACTGCAGAAGATAACTTGAAAGGGGCAATAGCTTAAAATTAAGCTGAACCATTGAAATTGCTGGGTGATGTTTTTTCTTAAGTCACACATGGTCAAATATTGCCATTCCCTGTGTTTCAACTTAATATTTTGGGGTTATCAGAAGAGCGCATGAGCAACTGAGAACTATGAGTGTTTTGTGAGGAGGGAATGCTCACATGTGGCAATGATTGGAGAACGAGAAGGCAGCCAAGGAAACGGAGAAGGAACAGTCAGAGATGAGAGGAAAGCCAGGGGACTCCAAGAAGCAGACGTGGTCAGCTGGCCAGCAGTTTGGGACTGGGGCTGGATGGGGACCTAGGCTGGGATAACCCATCCATTTCCACCCAGCAGCCCTGTCCAGCATCTCCTCTCACCACTCTGCCTCAGTGTCTTCATTCCAGCCACACCAGATATCTGTTGTGTCCTTGAATGCCTCATGCATTCTCTCAGCACAGCCTCCCCTCCGGCTGTTCTCTCTGCCTGCAGTTCTTGTCTCTGCCTCTTCCACATCAGATGGGCACTGCCTCTGTTGTTCAGCCCTCGGATGGTCACCTTCTTAGGCCAGTCCTGCTCCCTTGGCCACACATGGTTAGATGACCCTAAGGCTGTGCATCTCCATTTTTAACTTAAAATTTCTTATGTGGTATCTGTCTCCCCCACTGGAGTGTGAGCTCCTGTGGGCAAGGCCGATGTCCATTTTGTTTATCGTGGTATCTCCATGCCTAGCACAGTGCCTGGCACAAGGTGGCAATGCAATAACTACTAATAAATGAACAGATGGGACACCAAAATTATCAGGACGCTGAAGTCCAGGTCTCTAGCAAGCCTAGCCTCTTACTCAGCCAAAGTATCTGGGTCAGATATGACTTTCTGAATGGTCCATATGGAACTTCTGACTTTGAAAATCAAAGTGCATTTCCATCAACAAGTTCAGAGCATTGAGAAATGAGCTGTTGGGTCAGATGGTGTTCTGATTATCTCTTTTTTGCTGCAGAACAAACCACCCCACAACTTGCTGGTATAAAACAACACCCCTTTCAGTACACTCACAAGTTCAGTGGGTCAGGAATTAGGAAAGTCACAGAAGAGACAGCTCATCTCTGCTTCATGACATCTGGGGACCTCACCTGGGATGACTTGAATGGCTGGGGCTGGGGAATCCACTTTCAAGATGGCTTCTTCATTCTTATTTCTGGTGCCTGGGTTGGTCTGGTTGAAGTCAGGGCTCACATGCAACTGTCAGCTAGAACACCTACATATAGCTTCCAGCATTGTGGTCTCAGGTTAGTAGAGCATTAGAGTTTCTTAATAGCAGTCTCCTGACTCTCAGTACAATGGCTCCATTAAATAAGGTAGATGCCTCATGGCATGTTATGATATAGCCTAGGAAATCATATAGTGTCACTTCTGTACTCTATTGGTCAAAGCAGTCATAAGTCCCTCTGGTTCACGGGGAGGGACCATAGGTGCACATCCTACTGGGAGTAGTGTCACAGGATTTATGGCTATGTTTTAAAACTGCCATAGATGGTTTATGCTGTTGCAGCTCTCTGGGATCAGGCCTGTGAGCTGAACTGCATGACCAAATACATTTTCCCCTCAACTTTTAGCATTAGAAAAGCACTTTAAAATCTTCCAGGTCACCACGTGTGGTGGCTCACGCCTGTAATCCCAGGACTTTGGGAGGCCAAGGTGTGTGGATCACCTGGGGTCAGGAGTTCGAGATCACCCTGGCCAACATGGTAAAACCCCGTCTCTCTAAAAATACAAAAAATTAGCCCGGCGTGGTGGCACATGCCTGTCGTTCCAGCTACTCTGGATGCCGAGGCAGGAGAATCGCTTGAACCCGGGAGGCGGAGATTGCAGTGAGTGAAGATAGCGCCATTGCACTACGGCCTGGGCAACAAGACCAAAACTCTGTCTCAAAAAATAATAATAATAATAAAAATAAAAAATAAAAAAATTCTTCCAGGTAGAGGAGGAAGGTGGCTTGTAGCTTTATAGGCCTGGGTTCAAATCTTGCTTCTATCACTTTGTGTCCATGGGGTCTTGGGCAAATCACTTAATTCATCTGAGTCTCAGTTTCCTTACCTGAATAGTGGAGGCAGCAATGATGCCGTAGTGAGGATTTGGTGAGCCAGTACAGGAAGATCTGATGCCTGCTGAATGCCTATAACAGCTACCTTTGTGATCATTAATGCTGTTTCATGTAAAATGAGAATAAAAATAGAGACCTCACAAAAACTGTCTTCCTGGCTCTAGGCCATCTGTGAATAGGGGAAATTCAATTCATGTTCTTGGGCCAGTCACTCGGCAAGAATCTGGAGACACAGAGATGAACGCAACAGCGTGGTCAGCCCTTGGATCTCCACATCCAGGGGACAGGGGAGGCATAGCGAGGCTGAGGGAGGTGATAGGGGGCAGAGCATTCATTCCCACGGAATGGTCATCAGTGCACTCATGGCACTCTTGATGGGGAGTCTCTGGACCATGCCAAGGGGTCTTCTTTGGTCCATTCTTAGTCAACATATTTAACATGGACTCAGTTAAAGTCTGACAAAGTCTTGCTGACTTTGTTGGAAAAGACCAAAGATGGGAAAAACCCAGTTTCAAAAGACCTCATGTGAAAGAGGCATAGCTATGGCTTTTAGCCGGCTCCCAATATTACCTACACTTTTTCAGTATTGTGTTAAGAGCTTTTCGTGTATCATTCCATTTAATCATCCCAACAGCTTTATGAGTTAGGTGCCTGTATTGTCTTTACTTTATGGATAGACACTGAGACTCAGAGAAACCAAATGGTTTGCCCAGGGCCACATGCTGTGTTCCAGCTGCCAAAATGCTGATGCAACCCCTGACTGCATGAATAGAAGAAAGTGTCCCGAGCAGGGGATGAGATACATTGTGTTCTGCACTGCTTAGATCACCCTCACGGGTGGCTCTCATTTAATTCAGAGGTACTGGAGACCTTCCAGTGGAGGGAAAGAGTGAGACCTTGGAGACATAGGACCTCACAGTCATGTTCTGTGAGGGAACACGCTCCTGATGTGGGAGAGAGAAAGCTGACATCAGGACCACTCCCTCATATTTCCAAGAGGCTGTTGTGGGCAAAGAGAGCTCCATGTTTCCTGTGAGCATGGTTCTGTATTAGACATTTAGAGCTGTTTGAAAATCTATCTGGTTCCCTTGTGATGTAGTGAGTATCCTATCACTAGAGGTGTTCAAAGCACAATAGGTTAGAAGTGCCATTGAAGGCAGGCCCGTAGTGGATGGGCTGCTGGACGTGTGTAATGCCTCTAGCACAATGCCTGGCATAGGGTAGGTGCGTGTATCAGGGAACCCTTAAGGTTTAGGATTAAACCTGGCTTTTCTGTAAAAATCATTTTTTTTAAAATCCAGGCAGCTCATTATATACTTAGGAGGTAAGAATCATTTTAATGATGACCAAACATATTACATACACAATTTCATTAGAATTTTGTAATAATGCTATTAATTGTGCCTACCTTATGGAGTTACTATAGTTGAGGAAACTGAAGTACAGACAGATTGAGCAACTTGCCCAAGGCCACACAGTAATTGGCAGATCTGGGATTTGAATCCAGGCCTCTGGCTCTGCCTGCGGTTGTCCTTGCCCATGGATCTTCCAGGGGCAAGCTTGACCCTCGAAGTTTCTGGCCAACACTTATAATAATGGAAGGTGCTCCAAGTTTCTTCTCAAGGCTCTGCCTCTGGGATCTTTGGGTTTACTAGCTGGAAAAGTGAGGACATGTGATAGAATCCCTCAACCAGTGGTTGGCTTGTGGACCCACCCCAAGCAGGACATAATTTTGATTCACCCAATGTGCCTATGTAGAGAATGCAGTCATAAACAAAATTGAAGAGATGCCTGTCTGCCTGAAGCTTATTTTCTGGTTGAAGAGACAGCAGAGAAGAGGCAACTGCAGTGTGGGCTGGTGGGGCTGTGAGTAGAGCAGATGTCAGGGCCTACTTATCTCCCTTTGGACCTCACCGTTGTAGTCCTGACTTCCCCCTGACTACTCAGTCCCAGCCCAGGGACTTTCTCTCCCTGCCCAAGCCCACTGTGCCTACACTTGGGGCAAGCTAGAAAATTGACGTCCATCTGGAATAGCTCCAACCAATGATTGATGGGCCTGGTGGATTAATACCACGGCTCCTTCCCTCTAGGCTGAGATAACTCAGAGCTGTGTGTTCTACACTGAACTCTGGAGCTCCTAGCAGAATGAACCTCTAGTTGCCCATGGTGGGAACTTGCCTGATAATATTCTTTATTGGCTGCCTTCCTGTCCCTGCCTCATTTCTCATTTCCCTGCCAGCAGATGTTGCGTTCACCTTCCACATAAATTACCTTCAATCTTCATTGTAGAGTTTACTTCCAGAGGGACCCAAATGACCATGGCATAGGACAAAGCTCGGGGGCTCTGTGAGCCTAGAAGAGGAGGCACTGAGCCCAGCTGGGACAGAGGTCCACAGAAGATCCCTGAAGGAAAAGAATGGAAGGAAAAGAATGGAGACCTCAAGGGTGAGTGGGAGTTAGTCGGCTAAAATGGGGTGAGCAGAGAGAGAAGAGAGACAAGTGTTCCAGTAGGGGGACCGGCATTTGAGGAAGCTCAGAAGCAAGGAAGGGTGGTGTGTCTGTGAATGGTGGGTGGACCATTACAGCTGGTCTGTGGGGGTGGGGGTGGGGGATTGTGAGTGATGAGGCAGACCCCAGACTTGGAAGCCACAGGGAATGATTTTTATTTTATTCTAAGAGTCCCCAGGGACAACTGAAAGATTGTCGGCAAGGGAGTGCCAGCCAGTGGGCCAGGTAAGAAGACCTGGGAGCTGGGAGGGTGTCTGAGGAGGCCAGGCCCCACAATGCCTCCTGGCTCTGCTTTCAAAGCCTCTCAGAGAGCAGGGAGAAAGAGGCCCTTCTGGAAAGATTCCTGGGTCCCTTTCAAGGAACCTCCTCTTGCTGCAAAGTCCCCCTCGCTGGAGCCCATAAAGCAGGGCACTGAAAGTAATTACAGGCTGGGAGAGGCCAGGGCAGAGACGCTGGGGATGTGCAGGGGGCAGGGAGGCGGACAGGAGCCGTCATGCTGGCCTGGCTGCCAGGGAGGGAGCATGCAGACACCAAAGCCCCCATAAAGTCGCCCAGAGTAGGCCCTCTTACAGGCATTCTGGGCTGGGGCATGACATCACCAGCAGCCAGTCAGAGGCTCCCCCAAGCCCCTTTTTCTTCTTTGGGGCCTGTTTCTGTGGTTATTGAGGTACATTCTTGGTGAAGGGGGTGTTTTCTTTTGGAATGCTTGAACCCAATAGGTTTTGCAGCCGCTGGCTGGGCCAGTCCTCCTCCTTCAGGCAAAGCCAGCCAACTGTATGTTCCCTTTCAAGACAGAAGGGCCTCCCAGGCAGCCTGAATGGGCTGCCGGGAGTTCCCTTCAAGCCACAACTTCGAACTTATTTTAGTGAATCAACTTCTTTTAAACTATATCCATTTGAGAAAAATAATCAACATGAATTGGGAAACACAACAACAAAACAGGCTATGGAGTGAAGAGTTGTGGATTTGAATCCTGGCTCCTCTCCTTACCACCTGTGTTGTTCCTGGACAACCTTCAGTTTTCCCATTTGTAAAATGGGGATGATACAATCCACTATGCAGGGTTGTAGAGGACCAATTTTTTTTCTGACAGAGTTTTGCTTTTGTTGCCCAGGCTAGAGTGCAATGGCACAATCTTGGCTCACCGCAACCTCCACCTCTCAGGTTCAAGAGATTCTCCTGCTTCAGCCTCCCGAGTAGCTGGGATTACAGGCATGCGCCACCACGCCTGGCTAATTCTTGTATTTTTAGTAGAGACGGGGTTTCACCATGTTGGCCAGGCTGATCTCCAACTCCTGACCTCAGGTGATCTGCCTGCCTCGGTTCCCAAAGTGCTGGGATTACAGGCGTGAGCCACCACGCCCGGCCCATGAGGACCAAATTTAATGGATGGGTATGAAGTGCTCAACTACCATCAGCCATTGTTTTGACAAATCCATTCTTCCTCACAGCACTGGACTTAGAGACTTAAAAAGACTTGCCAGGCCCGTCTATTTCCCACACTACATTTATGGGGCAAAGGATCTTAAGGAACATGGAAATGAAGCCTAGACAGGCTGAGGGTCTTGTGAAAGCTGCTGTGTCTAATTAGGCACTGTTTGTAGTTCTTTCGTGAAGCATGATCATTTGTCAGCTCCAGTTAAAAGAAACTATAAAACCATATAGAACCCAACTGGAAGTTTAGAAAACAAGGGCAAAAACCTTCTCCATAAGGCTACCAGCCTCCCATTGCAAGTACAGTGACTTATATGTTAATATGTAGTTTGTACATGCTGGTCTTAAACTTGAAAGGTGAATACAGTATACGTGTGCCTTTGCTTGCTCCACCAATATTACAGATTATCATGTTAATGGTTCCCTATTATTTCATCAAATTGATGTTGAGTATTGTTGAATTTTACTTTCAATTTCCCCCTATTTGAAATATTGCTTCAATGAACTCTTCTCCTTTTCCACAGAGTGTTTCTCTTTGTCTCATTTCCTTAGGATAAATTCCCAGAAGCAGAATCAGTGGGTCTCAGGGTAGGAACATTTTTGTGGTTTGTGATACATATTTTCCAATTTACTTTCCATAAAGGATGTCCTCATTTACATTGCCTCCAGCAAAGTTTGTCCGTTTAGCCACTTCAAGGAAACCTTACCAGCATTAGGTATTATTGTTTATTATTTTGTTTGCTGCTGGATAAACAGTTATTCCTTATTCTTCTAAAATAAAATAAAATGATTGATTTGTGGATTCAAAGATGTATACATATATAGAATATGTATCAATAGATTTATATTCTCTTTTTAACATTATTTGATATTTGGGGAGGTATTGAGTCAGGTGAGTCTTTTGCTACAAAATGCAAGAATGCCATTCCTATGTGTGAAAGGCAAGTATATTCTCTCCCATCCCAGACAGTGATAACTGTAATAAACCGGGGCTGCCGCCAAAGTTGAAATAAACAAATGGTTACAGCAGACAATGGAAGCTCAATCCTGACCCTGATGAATGAAGTTGCTAATGTGACTTCCTGGAGTGGATGTCAGCCAATGGCCTCCCCTCTGACTTACATTAGGTCCTAGTGACAGTGGTAAGTGGTTTGAGGAGGTAAAAACGTGCTTATGGGGCTGAGGAGGGGGTGCTATTTGGGGTGAGTGCGCAGTCTGGTTTCTATAGCCAGCAGAAAAGGACTGATTTGGAAGAACTTCACAGGGAAAGTTTACAGAGTGTTCATGAAAAGACAGAAAATGAGAGTATTTGAGGTAGGGGCATGTGGTGGTGAGGTTAGCCACCTCAAACTGAGGCTCATAACCCAGCCCAGAACTGAGCACCTCTGTTGAGTCTGACAGAGTGTCATGAACAGCCAGATACAGGTTCCAATCTTGGCTCTGCAATTGACACTTGTGGAAGATGTCGCTGTGGATTGAGGGACCACTGAGAACTCAGGCAACACATTCTGCCCTTTTGCTCCTCCTGGTTCCAAGGCCGAGCCTGAGTCCAGCTGGCTCCAAGCTTCTCAGATTTCTGTCCTCAGAACTCCACCACTTCTCTGTACACTGGATGGGTAATGAGTAAAATCTGCCTGTGTCCACCCCTTCTTGTGTCACTGAAGACATTCTGATTCTCTTATTAGAGTGTAAGCTTGCTCAGACTTAAAAGGTGAAGCTTCAATGCCCATTCATCCTTGCAGCACCAATGCTAACTCTTTTTCTTCCAGGAAGCTTTCCTTGACGTCACCAGTTAGCTAATGACCACCTCCTTTGCCCTCCTCTGTAGAAGCTTTTGTGGCTGTTCTTATTGCATCAGGATCATAATTGATCTTCATTCCCAGATGCCGGACTCTGTAGCCACATCTGTGTTTCCCTTACCTCTTGCTCCTGTTTGATAATCTCATTCCTAGCTGTAGCCTTGGCCCTTTGCAGGCTGTCAAGGAATGGTTAGCTGAATGAATGAGTGATAAAATAAGCACTCCACCATTTATAAAGCACACTTACCACACATGATCTTATTTGATACAACTTCATTATAAAGGTGGAGAGGCTGGGTATTGTTATACCCATTTTACAGAAGTGATCAATGACACCAGCTGGCACTCACTGAGAGTCTCAATGCAGCAGGCCCAGGGCTCAGCACTTTACAAGCAATGTCCCATGTCATCTCCCCAACAACCAAAGGAGGTAGGCACCATCATCATCCTCAGTCCACTTAATGGGGACTGAGACTTGCTGAAGACAAGTCACTTGCTGGGGTTGCGTTTCTGGGAAGGGACAGATCTGAAATCTGACCCCAGTTTGTGTGTTGCCAAAGTTTCCACTCTGCTACGCTGCCCCTCCTGATGATATCACCTCCACTGTCTCCACCTCTGGCACTCGAGTTCTTAGAAACAGTGTCTTATTTGTCCATTCACTTCCAGTGCCAGGTACGAGGCTGGGCATAGGTAGGCATCCATAAATGCTGATGAAATGGAAGGATAGATGGATGAATGGACAGTTGGTGTCGACAGACACTCAGACAGGTGACTTGCCCAGGGTCACACAGCTCTGAGCAGAAAAGTCAGAATCTAAACCCAAGTCCTGCTAACTCTGATATCCATGCTGTTAAGCACTTTGAGATATCAACAGCTTAGAAGAGAAATTCCGTGTAAAGTGCTTGACACGGAGCAAATGCACAATAAATGTTAGCTCTGCTCATTTCTATCATTGCCCATCTTGGAATCCACAGACGGTCTCATAAACAAAGTTGTGTGCTCTGATGGGAAAACCAGATAAGACACACGTGAAAACCAGTGCCCTGTGTTTTGCACTGGGACCTTGGGTGCAGATCAAAAACTAAGCTCCATGTCCAGCCAGGTAGGCCCCACACTCCATTCTTAGAGCAGAAGAACTAATTCCAGCTCTACCTTCCATGGCTGGAGTCTGCTAGCCAGCCCTTCAGGCTCTGCCCAGAGCTGGGTGAAGAGGCAAATACTGACCCTGGCAGGCCCTCTCTGACATTACAGCCCTGGGATATGGGATCCTGCTTCCCTCAAGAGTCTGCAACCTGGAAAGACATGGAACCCACTTCATCCAGACACATAGGCCATTGCAGCTCCCACTACATTTACGACAGCTGTCCCCGTACTCAGGGACACACATGGAACACATTATCTCCCAAGGCCATCAGCAGGGAGAGGACAGGAATGCTTGTGTAGACAGAGCAAAATGATTCTGCTCTCCTGGCACAGGAGGGAGGCGGCTGTTTGCTCTCCCAAGACATTTCATTTTGCCCTCAGAGATTGGCAAGACATATCTGATGCACTGGAAAGCAGGCACATGGCTCACCATGTCCCCAAAAAGACACACCCTCATGTTTTATGACCAGAAGAACTCAGGTACAAGATTAGCCCCAAGCTAAACCCAACTCCCATCCCCTGACTGCACTGCATGAAAGCAGAAACTCCCTCCATTTGCAACAGAGCTGGAGCAGACCTCCTCACCCTGAAGCATGTTTTGACTAGTGACGGCCCTCGTGCCTTGCAGGTTGACAGAGAGCCTGCATGTGTGTGTTTCTGTTCAGGACAGTATGGTGTTGGTGGGCAGGCATCATCATTCCACGAGGCCTGCCACTCTGCTGTTCCCTGAGATCTCTGCTCTCCTAACTGTGAACCCAGGCTGCTTCCTGGCCAGGGTTCTGACCTTCCTTGCCCTGTCCCGGTCAGCTCCCTCTTGCTGTAGCCTCTGGCCTGGAAGTCCTTTTCGCCTTCTCTCCTCACTTGCATCTTGGATGAGGGCTTCCTTCTTTGGTGCTGTTGAGGACTCTGTCTGGGAGGGCTTTCCTCTGCTGCCTGCTTCATTCCCTGCCCGCTCCATTCCCTGCCTGCTCCATTCCCATGTGCTGTCTCCATCATGAGACTCTGGGTGTGTGAAGGGGTGAGAAATTCGTGTGAGTGCCTGTGACTGTGAGGGTTGTATCCATGGCTGATATCTGGCTGTTTGTGCGTGTGTATGTGTGAGTCTGTGCCGGCATGGGGAGGAGCACGGATATCTATGGTGGTGAATGTGCAGGTGTGACACCCTGTGTGCCCATGAGTGAGACCAGGGAGGGATGCAGGACTCTCACTTGTGGCATTAAGCCCACATGTGTGCAGCCTGCGGACATGTGATGTCGGAATGTGCCAGTGAGGGGCTGTGTGTGAGATACACACATATGCACATACACACAAGCACTGTGTGAAGAGGTGTGCAGGACCGTGGGCAAGGACATCTGCCTGTCAGGGCCCCACTCTGCACTGCTGGGGGCTCATTCTCAGCTCTTTACGAAGTCCAGGGCAGGGGCAAACCCTCCCTGGTGGGCCAAACCTGTCTGCTCTCTTTCTGTCCCACATAGGCTGGACTAGAGACAGTTCTGGGATTTGCTGAGGGAGAGGCAGGCCTAGGGCCTGGGAGAGTTGGTAAGAAGAGGAGGCCTGGCCTAGGGCAGGTGGATGGAGGAAAGAAGAGACCCCCTCAACCTGGCCTCTGGAGCCCTAGAGGGGACCAGAGCTTGCCTGGTCACACTTAGGTCTGAATTCAGCTCTTGTATTCCCAGCCATGCTCTCTCCAATTCTCTATGCTGCTTCCCCAAACTGGGGTAGGAATCACAAAGCAGGTGACAATGACTTTTCTTCCCCAGCTGTATGCAGAAGACCAGGGATGTCTCTCATCCTTATCACCAGTGTCCTAATGAAGCTTCAAGAAAAATGTTTGTTGAATGAATTAATGAAATGAGAGAGAATGCTTATGGTTGCTGGGGGAAGGAGAGAATATTTGAAACAAACTCACCCTACAACATGTGGGACAGGGCATGTGGTCGTGCAGGGTAGAGTGTGCGTGCATGTGTGCATGTGTGTGTGTGTGGATATGGGTGTGTGGAGGGAAAGAATCAGATAGCCACTCCCTCTGACCATAGCTGCCCCTAGAGCTGAAGTTTCCCAGGCGGGATTACAATCTACACGTTTCACCTTCCGGCTACTAGGAGGATGGCATGGGGGCTTTGGGGGGCTGAATGTCAGTCTGGGGCTCCGGTCTTCCTGGGAGGGGGCACAAGTCCTCAGCGGGGGATTTGTACCAGCCGCTAAGCAGATAATTGCTTGTCAGATTGATTGAAGGCTTTTCAAAATGTCTTTTCCTTGGAACACCCTCCCATTCCCCCCACCCCCCGATGAGTGGATTATTTGAGTTGGAACTGTTCCCCCTCAGTTTTTTTCCCCTCCTTTCTCAAAGTAGTAATTACTGCCGAGTAGCCCTCCGTGGCGTTTCCTGTCATTTGGAGGCTGAAGCCAGCGGCTGTTTCCTCTGCTGGGTGAAGGACGAGCAGGCCAATTAGGGAAATACCCCACCCCCTAGCCTGGCCCTGAGCCCCTGGGGCCCCTGGCGGCCTCGATGGGGCTAATGGGGCCTGGCAGGTGGAAAGGAACTGGTGGACTGATCAACTGAGGTAGTCCTGGCTCTCTTCCAAATCCTGAGACTGTCTTCATCCTTTGTGTCCTTGCTCCCTTGTGTGTGTGCGCGCACACACTCACGTGCGTCTAACTGTGTGTGTACATGTAAACTGTGCACAGGCTCTTGGGCCCCAGTAAAAATCTCAACCTGCGTCACCCACAGTGATTTTCCCAAGGGAGCTTAGCCTTGACCATTTCTTCAGATTTGAAGAAGTCTGCAAAGTATCTGCATTGTAAGTGGATCGATGGCTTGCAAGATGCATAGACAGGAGATAAAGCAAGAATAGTGAGAGGCTCATTGCTAAATCAAGGTAGTGGGTTTAGGGGCGCTCATGGCACAGTGCTTTCAACTCTTCCATGCTTTCAGAATATTCACAATAAAATGTGGGTAAAAAGTTTACAAGGTCGCTCTACAATCCTCCTATCCACCCCACCCACACTCAGGATTCGTAATCTCCGCTAGCCTTGAGTTTTGTTTTAATGCTGCTCCTCTTCCTCCTCCTCCTCCTCCTCCCTTCCATCTTCTCCTCTTCCTCCCTCTGAGACTTTGTTCTCAGTCACAGAAGCCAAAGCTGAGCAGGACGCAGACTAAGATGAGATGAAGAGTTGAGGCTCATGAGTCAAGATGGTTTGAGTCCATTCCAAGCTCTCCCTCTTTGTGACCTTGCGGGAGTGACTTAACAACTTTGTGCCTCAGTTTACTCATCTGTGAAATGAGGCTAATAACAATAGGACATTCATAAGGTTGTAGTGAGGGTTGAATGAGAGAATGCACGTAAAATGCTAAGCACAAAGCCTCAGTCCATAATCTGTGCTTAACAAATGTTTGGTAAACAAATAATAAAACGGACCTCATAAGGAGATGTGGACCTCGGAAAGAGATGGAAGGGAACATGTCAGAGAGATGAGCATGGCAGCGAATTGTGTGTTTGGGGGATCCCACGGGTTTCAACGTGTCTGGACCACGGATGGGTGGTGAAGTGTGGAGGGCTGGGAGTGAGAGGGAGGCTGAGAAGGATACTGGGACCGCTTTGCTTTAGTGATTATCAGCATGGTCTCTGGGATCAGGTGGCCCAGATCAAATCCCACCCCTACCACTTCCTAACTATATGACTTTGGATAACTGACTCATCTCCATGGCTTAGTTTTCTTATCTGTAGAAATGGGAATCCCAATAGTTCCTACCTTAGAGGGCTGAATTAACTGAGTTAATAAATGCAGAGAACTGCCATCTGGCCTGTGGGAAAGTCGGATAAAAGTGTTTGCTATGATTATCATTCTTAGACATGTGGACATGGGCTGCATGTGGTTGCACATGTGTGGTTGTCTCACATGTGTGTGAGTGTCTGTGTGCACGTGGGCATCTGCAGCCAGCACTTGTTTGTGGGTGTGTTTGTGTCTATATGTAAGGGTGTGGTGGGGACTGGGGTCAGGGAATCCATGGAGCAATTAAACCTCTGGGAGAAGATCCATCCATCCTGGGCAAAGAAGCCCTTTGGTGAGAAGTAGATGGCATCACTTAGAAATAATAATCAATATTACTTCCTTACTGAAAAGCCTCCAGAAGTTCCCCTTCATTCATTCAGTCGACAAACATTTGCAGAGCTCCTACTATGCAGCAGCCCCAGCCTCCCTTTCCATTTGCTTTTGGTTACATATAGCTTGTTCTTCCATGCACATTTCTCTTTGGCCTGCTAGACCCAAGTCAGATGCCGCTTTCTCTGAGAAGCTTTCCTGACTACAGAAGCCCATGCTGACGAGTTCCCTTGGCACCCAGGTTTTTATGCCCACAGCAAGGTCAGCGACTCTTGTCTAGTCACCACTGAATCCCCAGCACCAGGTGAGAGCCTCAGCCCAAGTGTTTTGAATGAGTGGATGAGTGAATTGTTCAACAGGAGGACACCCACAAGGGGTCCCGATTCTGCGGTCCAGTTCAACCAAGAGCCTGGGAGCTGGGGTTCACCAGCTTCTTAATTCCTGCCACTGTCACTTCCATCTGTGCCACTGGCTCCCCACTAGGAAGGCAGCAGAGCCTGGATGCAGACGGCTCAGTAAGAGTTAAAAGAGCAGTAGTAGGCGTTGGCTGCTGGGGACAGTGAGCTCCCCAAGGCTGCTAGAAATGTTGGAAGCAGAGGGAAGCAGGGCAGGAAAGTGGTCAGCGTCCTTCAGATAAAGAGGGCATTTGACCTTGGGTGCAGTCCAAGGCCCTTCCCTGGAGGCCCCTAGCATGCCAGGCCCTGACCCCAAGGGGAGGCCAAGGAAGCTGCCTTGACTGCAGGAGCCACACATGGGGCTGGACACTAAGCCTCGCATTATCTCCTCAGGCCACACGTTGGCTAGGAGTGTTGGGCACACAGCAGGAATGGCTCACAGGAAGCTGGAGGAGTTTCTGTCTTTCTAAGGGTCAGAGGTGGCTGAGATTTGGCAGTCAGGGAAATGGGAATTTCCTGTGTCCCTCCCCGGAGCTGAGACTGGCAGCAGGAACCCAGACGGAACTGGTAGGCCAGAAATGCAAAGATGTGATTTTCACGGCCTGTTCCCCCTGCAAGACGTAGCGGGATTGGATTTCACTGTATATACATGCATAGCATGTGTGCATGTGTGTGCGTGCTCACATGTGCATAGTGTGGGCATGTGCACATACATGTGCATAGTGTGTGTGTGCATGCACACATGTATAGTAGCTGTGGGGCAAAAATTCGGGGTTTGTGTGTCTCTAGATGAATCTGTTTTTGTGCCCAAATTTGTCTGCCTTGTTGTGAATACTCTTGGTATATGTGTGAAGCAGGAATTTGTGTGTGTCCATGTGTGCTTATATATGTAAACATACATCTACCTGAGGTGTATGTAAGCCTGTGTGCTGAACACATGTGTATGAATGCATAGGGGGCCTGATTTTAACATATGTATGTGTGTGTTGGGGCGGGGTGCACATCCTGAAAAACAGTTTTGGAGCCTAGCAAGATGGAACCACCGAAGGAGGGGACACAAAGCCATGATGCTGGAAACATCTGTCCCTTCTTTTGGCCCTGGGGTCTCTGGAGAGGGTTTTATGTTTCCTTCTTGCCAAGAAGGAAAATGTGACGCTTCTAACTCAAATATACGAGCACAGTCACTCTCTATTAAATAAGATGCCCAGTTTGGCTCACCCTGGGTTATAATTGGAGACAAGTTATTGGAAGGAGTGGCAGGAGGATCATCTTTAAGGATGAGGGGTGAGCAGAACTTCCCTTCTGCTAGGGAGGGGTCCTAAACAAGGTCCACCCCAGCCCAGCCCCATCTGGCCCCAGAGGGACACCTCAGGCAGGAGTAGGTGCAGCATCAGCAGTGGGTCTTAAGGCATCTGGTTGGAAAGGTGGTCCCTGCCTTGAATGACCACACATGAGCCCCCTAAACTCAGGAGCTCTGAAAGCACAGAGGAAGAGGCCACTGCTAAAAGATCTCACAGAGTGGGGAGAGTTTGAGTAGAATCTTCGCCTTCACAGGATTGAAGAAATTTGTTAAATCCGGCATTTGTGTGATATTTGCTCAATGTCCGTTTTGAACAGACCAGGAGTTGGTGAACTAGAATCAATAGGCCAAATGTGGCCTACTGCCTTTTTTTGTAAATAAAGTTTTATGGGAACACAGCCATACCCAGCTAATACCGTCTATGACTGCACCCACACTACAACAGCAGAGTGGAGTAGTTGTGACACAGACCCTATGGCCTGCAAAGCCTAACTATTTACGATCTGTCTCTTTACAGACAAAAATTTGCTGACCCCTGCACTAGACTGTTGATTTCATAAGGGCAGGAAGGATAAGCTCAACACATAGCAAGTGCTTAATAAGTATCAATTGAATGAATGAATGACTTAATTTTGGAGGATGATTCCAGGAAGAGGAAATAGTGTATGCTGAGGCATGGGGCCAAGAAACAACCCTAGGTGTACTGGTGATGGGAGGGTGGAGCACAGAGAAAATACGCACACACAAACACACACACACTCACACACAGTACACACATGCACACACACGCACACACAAATGCACGCGTGAATGCACACACACACACACATGCATGCAAGCATGCTGGGGAATGTGGCAGCACAGAGGTTAACACAGCAGAACGAGTGTTTGGCCAGGGAAGGCATCTCTGAGGAGGTGACACTGGACAGTATCCTGCAGACCTGCAGGCATTTTGCAGGAGAAGATGGAGGAACAGCATTCCAGGTGGTTGGACCGGCAGAGGCAAAGGCCTGGAGGCCTGACGGAAGGAAGTGTGGGTGCTGGGCACCACTAATTACACTGAATCTATTGCATATGCCTGTGATGGGACCCTTGGGCTGACATGAAGCTAGAGAGGACTTTAGGGGCAGATTTGCAGGGCCTGGAAGGGCTGTCCTCAGGGAGTGTGGACTTTGGTCTCTGGGCACTGGGGAATCAATCACTGGGGGTGTCAGTGGAGACTCCAGGGAGACCCAGGTAGGTGAGGAATTCAGGACTCTGGGCAGGCCGCTTTTCTTCTCTAGACTAGTTTTCGTGGCAAAATGGGAGTGATAATGCCTGCCTCCCAGAGTAGGGGAAGGATTACCTGAGATCAGAGATGTGAGAAATTCAGCCTGTGCCTGGCACAGAGTGGCTAACAAGCAGGGTTGTTGGACAAAACGCAGGACACCCAGTTAAAGTTGAATTTCAGATAAATAACAAACCATGTTTTAGTATAACCATGTTCCAAATATTGCACGAGACATGCTTATACTGAAAAATTCTTCATTGTTTTTCTGAAATTCAAAAATTTCAGAAATTCAAAAGTTCTAACTCAGTGGCTTGTATTATTCTTTGCTAAATCTGGCAACCTAACTGCCCAGGGATGCTGGCTGAACCTGGGTCTTTGTTGGTGGCTTCAAGGCCCTGAAAACCTGCCAGTGATGCAAGAAACAGGATGACAAGCTTGTGGGGCTGAACACTGGGGAGGTGAGGTGTCATGGAACCCAGTCATCTTGGCTAATGGGGAAGGAAGTAAAGGCTCAGAGAGGGGAAGGAACTAGCTGAAGGTCACCCAGCCAGATGAGGTCCTAGTGTTCTGCTTTTCTCCGTGGCTGGTCAAGAGAGAACTTTGACTCATGGGGGTGTTCCTTGGGACAGCTTAGAGGGATTCTACCAGACAGATGTGAGAATTCCGAGTACAGCTTCTAGAATCTTCAGGGCCATCCCAGTCTTGGCAGCAGATGCAGCGTGTGATCTTCCCCACATCCCTCACCCCATCCATGCCTCAATTCATCCAGCCATAAATTGGGTCTAATTACACCCACCTCACAGGTGAGTTGTGAGGATTAATTAATGTTTGTAAAGGCTTTGTAATCCTTGGATGAAAGATGCTCCTTACATACAAAGGGTCATTATTTTTATTATTATACAAGTGCCAAGTATTATTACCTTAATTAGCTTTTCTAGATATCAAAAGCAATTAGGCAGATCACTTGTTGAATGCCATTTTGGAAACCCAAGTCACAGAAACTCACACATTCACCTGTCATCTCACATTTTTGGCAAGGGGCCAACCTAGGCCAAAAGGTAGGGCTGAGATTTGCAAAAAAAAAATTTGTTTCTCTTTCTGGCCAAGTTTTACCCCATTGCAAAATTTTCCAGGCATTTAAAAGTACCTAAAAAACAGAGGCTTTCGTTTTTGTTTTTGTGGAAATTCTTATAAAGGGGGTTTTTCGGGGAGAAGGCTTAGTTTTGCAGCACAGGCAACCTGGTCTAAGAATGTCAATTTGTCCTGTTTTCCCTGATGTACAGAGAAGACCAGGACTTAGCCACCAGAGCCAGTCCAAGTGAGGTGAAGGCATCTCTCGATGGGGGACTACTGTGTTTCAAGCTCTATCCCAATGTATGTATATTTTAAAATTATAATCCCATGCAGTAGGTAGGAGCTTTCTGACCTTCATTTTACAAACAAGGACACTGTGGCTCAGAGATATTAAGTGACACAGCCAGGAAGTACAAGAAGAATACAAACCCAGGTCTTGCTGATTCCATAACCTACATCTAGGTTTGATGCAGTTTCTACCTCTCTGTGTTACCTGGAATCTACCTGGCCTGGGTCTAAACTGACTCATAAGTAGTCAAGAGGTTTTCTGGTATTTAAGAGATGGGACCATATAGACTGAGTAGGCCACTGTGGTGCTGGGGGCCACCTGCAACCTCAGCCTGGTGAATCTGCTCAGGCCTTGGTTCAACATGGCTTTGGCTGGTCAGGGTCTTTGGAGTTGGCTCAAAACCCCGGGGTTTAGGCAGAGGAGGGGACTGTGGCCTGGTTGTGTCCATTAGGGCAGGCAGAACAGGTCAGGGCAGAAATCAGGGGGGTGAGCCTCCCTCTGTACTGTCCAGTTAGTTGGGGTGGGTGGAGAGGGGTGAGGAGCTGGCTGTAATTAACTTTACCAGCGTCCTTAACAGAGGTGAGAGAACCTTTCCCCTACTTCCCTTTCTACTCTGTCCAGCTTCCTCAATGGCCTTGAGGACCTTCCCAAAGCTGTGACTAGGCCAGGGAGCACTGAATTGAGCCATGCTGCCAGTGTGTTCCAAACCAAGATTATATCCCAGCTCTGCAGTTCTGCAAAACCATTTTCTTTTTACAGAACTTCCCTGAGGGCTGGGTTGGGGCCTTTGTGAAGTCAGTGGGTGCATTAAGAGATTGTTGGAGTGTTGGGGGATTGAAGGATGGAAGGAGGGAGGAGTTGACAGTGTAGGAAGAGGTTGACATATTGGAATGGAATGGAAGGGTTGCTGAATGGACAGATGAATGAGATGGTAGATGGGGTTAGGTATTGGTGGATTAGACATGGAATTGTATGTATAAATGGAAGGGAGCATGGCTCCCTGAAGGGATGGGTTAGCATGTGAATGTAGGAATTGATGAGGGTGGAAGTAAATGTAGAGAGGGGTTGGAAATTTTGGTGGTTGGATGGAGGATTTGGAAAAAGAAGGGATGGTAGGTGAAGAGTTGGAGGAAGGGGGAGGGGTTGACAAATGTATGGACAAGTTGGCAGATGGGTGGAGGGATTGGTGGATGGATGAAGGAGTTTGGAAGATAAGTGGAGAATGGTGCATGGATAGAGAGAAGGTCAGATGGAGAGGAGCTGGGAAATACAGGGGCTGATTCATGGATGGAAGGATTGGCATGTGGATAGTGGAAATGGTGGTGACTGAAGGTTCTGTGGAGGTTGAAGGAGTTAGAGGAAGGGTGGAAAAGTTGGCCTATAAAGAAACATGAATCGATGGAAGAGTGTTTGGCAGGTGGGTAGGCAGTTGGTAGAAGGATGAGGAGTGGGATTTTGGAGCTTCCGGTGGGTGAAAGTTTAGATGGATGGGTGGAGGTGGGTAAATGGAAGACGGTAGATACAGGAGGAGATGTCAGATAGGAGAAAGGATTGGCAGATGGGGAGAGGAGGTGGTAAAGGGGCAGAAAAAAATGGCAGACTGGCAAAACCCTCTGGGGAAAGTTATAGGGATAGGTAGAAGTGTGGGAAAGCTGTCTAAATCCATAATGGAAGAATTGGCTTTGTGGCTTAGGCATTAGCCCCGACAGACCTCCCCTTATTTCCTTGGGCCTCAGACACCTTTTGCCTGTGGGTGCTTAGGGACCATTCCAGGTAGTAGAAACCTTCAGTGCCCAGCTCAGTAGGTGACCCTGACCGTCCTCTCCCTCCCCTCTTCCCTCCGCCTTCAGAACCAGGCTCTCCTGAGGCTCATATATCCCCAGTCTGGCAGGCTTTCTGTAATTAACTCTGCAACATTAGCCCAAAAGGTGGGGCAGGTGGGGCTGTGAAGAAAGGAGCTGACTCAGAGGCAGATGTCTATCTCCTGCTGCTGTGTCAAGTGTGGCCACTGTCCAGCACAATGGGGGCAGTGGCCAGGGTGCCTCCCTTCCCCACCAGCTGTCTTGGGTTCCACTCTGGTCTCCCCCCAAAAACTTGGGACCAAGGGAGAAAGTTAATTATGTAGGAACCTGGCAGTCACCTCTCTCTCTCTCTGTCTGTCTTTCCCTTTCTCTGTCTCTCTCATTCTGACTCTCCCTTCTATTCTCACCTCTTTCATCCATCTTTTTCTCTTCTTCTATACCTATTTCTCCCATTTATTCTCTGTTTCTATTTTTCTTTGTCTCTGATTCTTTCTCATTTTATGTCTTGTTCCCTTTCTCTCCCTCCTTTATATCTAGGTTACTTCCCGCTTGCTGTTTTTGGTGGTTCCCCCTCCCCCTTTCCTCTGTCATTTTCTCCATTTTCATCTGTTTTCTTTTCTGCCTTTCTTTGCCTCTCTCATGGGCAGGTCTCCACACCTCGCAATGGAAGCCTGTTTCTTTCTTCTGCACCGTCTCTCCTATCATATGTGTCTTTACACAAGAGCAGAATAGTTTTGAGGGATGTTCTCTCCTGGGTTTGTGTTTTTTTTTGAGATGGAGTCTTGCTCTACCGCCCAGGCTGGAGTGCAGTGGTGCGATCTTGGCTCACTGCAACCTCTGCTTCCTGGGTTCAAGCAATTCTCCTGCCTCAGCCTCCCTAGAAGCTGGGATTATAGGCACCTGCCACCATGCCTGGCTAATTTTTGTGTTTTTAGTAGAGGCGGGATTTCACCATCTTGGCCAGGTTGGTCTTGAACTCCTGACATCAGGTGATCTGCCTGCCTCGGCCTCCCAAAGTGCTGGGATTATAGGCATGAGCCATCATGTCCAGCCCTCTCCTGGGTTTTTAATTAGGCTTAGAATCTTCTCAGAAAGCTTTTCTCCTTTTCCTATTGATTTGTAATAAAAATGGGATAATCAACCCACTGGGAACCTCTGGCCAGAGCTAGAGGGGAAACAGGGGAGAGAAAATAGTGGCCACTCTGCAGACAACAGGCCCTTGTCAAGGAAGCCTCTTCCCGTGTCACAGTGGATGAGCCTTTGTTGGGGGCACAGAGGAGCAGGATCCTGGCATGGACACAGGGGAAAACCTGATATTGCGTTGACCATCTCATGGGGCCCAGTTTTCTTCTGAAGGAGCTCACAAAATACCATAGTGGTCAAAGTACTGGTGTTTGAGAGGCCCGGGTTCAAGTCTCAGCCCCAACACCACTCACTAGCTGTGGAATCTCAGACAGGTGACTTAGCCTCTCTGATTCTCACTTTGCTCATCTCTAAAATAAGACTAACAAGAATGTTCTTGTGGAGTTGTTCAGAAAATTAAATGAGAATGTTGGAAGAAAAGCACCCGTATCAGTCATGATTCAGCCAGAGAAGCAAAACCACTAAGAATGGCATAAACTGAGGGCTTTCTTATGAGGGTTTGATCCTGTGCAGTTGTGGAAGCTGGTTCAACCATCTACAGGGGGCCATTGCTTCGGTGTCTGGGCCTACAGTCAACAGAACAAGCAGGTGGGGAAGGAAGGATTGACAGGAACTGTAGGGCAAGGGCAAAGCAGAATGTGAGCTGGATTATATAAGGAGGCATTGAATCTGCATAGGTCTCTTATCTCCTCGAACTCCCCAACTTTGATGATGTGAGTAACCTGCTGGAGAAGTGATGGCTATTGTCACATTGCTGCACACATTCATGGCCAGGAGTTGAGGAGGCTGGAGGAGGAGGCCTGGCAGGAAGTGGAGGAGCTACAATCTGGGTGCTGCCCTATGTCAACCAGCAATACCTACCAGGGGCAGAGAGGCCTAAAGTTACACAGCTGGTGAGTGATGGCTCTTCCATCCGACTGCAAGTCCATGGTTCCACTGTACACACTGTGCCCTCAGTGGGAGTGGAGACATTCATGGACTTGTGTCATTGAGAAGCAGTCTAAGGAAGATGAGGCCCAGGTATCCATCTTTCCATAGGTCCTGCTTCCCCTTCTCCCATGACTTCCAGAGCATGTTCTGTTCACAGTACATTTTTAGCTCTCGGAATCTGAATTGAGGTTGTGGCTGGGCTAACCCACATCTTGGTGGCAAGGCCCAAGATTTGGAGATGAGGTGATGACTTGTCATGTACGGCAGTGGCAGTGGCTCAACACTAAGTGATCTGTGACCCCTTTGCATGCCTGGGAAGAAAGTGGCTTACTAAGAAGGAGCCCATCCAAGGACTAAATTTCCCAGGTCCTTTTGCAAAGGTGGGGCCTATGACATGTGAGTGGAAGGAATGTGCATCACTTTCTGGCCAGGGAGCTTAAGAAGAAGGTGGAGTTTCTTCATTTGTTTGCTCTCCTGCCAGTGGGATGTCAACACTCAGTGTAATCTTAGAAACCAAGTGTTGATTATGGTGGAGACTTCATCAGCCTGGGTCATTGACCTAACCCAGTGGTTCTCAAAGTGTGATCCCCAGACCAGCAGCATCAGCATTGTCTGGGAATGTGTTAGAGATGAAAAATCTCAGGCACCACCCTAGATCTACTTAATCTGAAAACTCTGGGGTGGGGCTCAGTCATCTGTGCTTTAAAAAACTTCCAGGGGAATCTAATGCATGCTCAAGCTTGAAACACCCTGCTCCTCTTAGTTACCATTCCATTCATAGCTCCTGAATGGACAGCCAGGCTCATGACGGCTCAGGAGCTTTACTGCTTACTCCCATGGCCATCCTCACCTTCCACCCCACCCTTGCCTCTCAGGGGGTTTCATGAAGAAGACAGCAGTGGCACATGCTCTATATAATTCTTAACATGAAAGAAGCAGAGGAAAATGGCATTCTCATGAAATAATTCATTAATTCCTTCCTCATTTTTTCATTCCCTGAACAGCCATAGAGAAGCATTAGGTTGACTGGAAAACTTCCCTGGAGGAGCTACAAAATACAGTTTGGATCAACAGCCCTATAGGTAGGTTTTATTATCACCACAGTTTTATAGATGCAAAACTTGAGGTTCAGGGAGTGTGGGTGAGAGGTGGGGCCAGGATTCAAGTCTGGTTCTCTCTGCCTCCATCTTCCACATTTTTTGGCACTCTCATGGCTTCCACGCTTGCATTTCCAGGTGGTTGGTCTTTTGCAAACAGAACTCACCAATTGCAACCTCTTTGCACCTAAGGAAGAATCACATCAGGCATCCAGATCATTTGAGAAAAATCTGCTTGTCACATTTCCCCAAATATGTTACACAGGGGCATATGTTTGCATTATGCCTGTGACTATAAATTCAATACATCCTGAAAGAGTGAATTAATGAGTTAATTAGCAACTGGGTAGCTAGCTTGTCCTCATCTAAGTTTGCTTATCTAGAAACTTCTTGTATTTTTCCAGCTTGAGAAAATATTTTCTGCAAAGAAGCTGGCATCCAGCTGTAATTGCTGCAATTGTTTGTGGAGGGCAAACAAATGGACATAGTCCTCGTGGAAGATGAATGACATGGTACAGGTTAGGGCAGTGGTTCTCAAACTTTAACATGTGTTCAAGAATCACCTGTAGAACGCCAGAACACAGATTTCCGTGACCCACCCCAGAGTTTAAGATGTGGTAGTTCTGGGACAGACCCCCAAATTTGCATTTCTAACAATTTCCTAGATGATGCTGATGCTGCTTCTGTGGGAACCACACTTTGAGAACCACTGGATTAGGGTAATCTAGATCCTGCAACAAAACGGCAATGGCTTAACGCTGTGAGCATGTATTTCCCACTTCCTTACAGGGGAATGACTGAATATGGTGTGATATGACATAGGATACAGCTATGAAATGAATCAAATATAAGTGGATTGATCTGAAGTGATAGCTGTGGTCTGATGACTGAGATAAGCAACTTGCCAAGAAATTTATATAGCATAATCTCATTTTCGTAAAACAAAACAAAAAACTAAACCAAAACCAAAATAAAACAACCTACTTCTCCAAACCTCAAGCCGTATCTATGTTTTATAAATATAGGACAAAATACATAAGACTATACCTGATTATTAACATAAGGGTACCTCTGAAAGTTAAGGGACATTATTAGCTTTCTAATAATATTCCCTTATTATTGATTCATTCATCAAAACTGCCATGGTTCTGACATCATGGGCATCCTAAGAGGAGGTAATGTTTAAAATAATTCTAAAATGCAAGAAATAATGAAAATCACTCAGCTCATAAAAGGGTGGATTCAAGGCTGCTTTGTTTCTTTGTATGTGTAGCCCCCGACAGGGATGGGGCAGTGTTTCTTCTGTCTAGAGGGCACATGATGCTGGAATCATGGCAGTTTTGTTGAATGAATGAATGACCATGTCAGTGACCACATGCATGCACTGAGAATCTAACTTTTGGGGGCCAAGGCATGCCTACGAGAGCAAACCATCTAGGAGCCCCCAAATGGGGGTGTATTGAGAAGGCAGCTACTCCAGGATGTACTCCATGATGCCCTGGCTTTAGATGGGTGAGTATTGCACCAGCTTAACCCTCCCTTCTTGAGTCTAAGTCTCTGTTGGATCCCAGAGGTTCATCCTCGAAACTGATAGTAAGCGGTAGAGGCTTCAGCACTGATAAGCAAGGACGTATTTCTCCCAAAGGAGGGAAGTAGAGATGTGACTCAATAGACACCAAAATCAGAGTCTTTGGGCCCAAAGTGTCCCAAATAAAGCCAGGGTAGGATTCCAGACTCTACGCTCACAGGCTGCAGTCTCTTCCTCCTTGGTGAATGGCTAGGCTGACTTTCACAGGGATATTAGAGACCGGGTTCCTTGGGGTTTGTGAGCCCACAGTGGGAGGGCTGCTTTCAAAGTTCACTTAATTACACCTCCGAGCAGGTTCAGGGGGCTCTTGGGCACAGGGGCCTTGGGCCATGTGTTGGGGTCTCTGATAGCCCTCCTTGGTGCTGGCTTTCAGGGAGGCTGAGGCTGAGTTATACCCTGCAGCTATGCCTAGTGATCTGGTTCCTTATGGGAAGTTGGGAGGACAAATCAGCTTGAGAGCCACTTGCAGTTATTCAGTGGGGGAAGAGAGGAGATCATTTCATGTGGCGGAGACGGTGGGGGGAGGAGGGAAGGGAGTTCTTAGGGGGAGAATCTCTGAGGAAAGGATCCAGTCCACAAGGTTAAGACAGGAAGTCCCTTCATGAGAACTAAAATCATCAGCAACTTGATTCAGGCTGCTTGGCACAGGGTAATAAGCACCAAATAGGAAATTTGGATCCCAGTTCAGCCAATGTTTAGCTGTGTGGCCATGTGCCAGGCTTTTTGCTTAGTTAAATGTCAGAAATAGTGGCTGCATTCATCTTCACAACAGTCCTATGCAGTAGGTGTAGTCACCATCCACATCTGCATATGGGAAAACAGAGGCTCAGAAGATCTCACAGCTAGAAAATATCAGAGTTAGACCTGAGCTCAGGCTCTGTGCTGGTGTTTTCATTACTGGCATTTCTTTTTTCTTTCTTTTTTTTGGTTGAGTACTCATATTTCTATATCTTCTCTCTTAAATTCTCTGAACCTCACTTTAGGGTTCACCTATAAAAAGGGTTTGTATTCATCAATTGCCAGCCAAGAAATGGGAATTGCTCAAGGTTTTTCAAACAAAGAAAATTTAATACAGGGAGTTAGTCACACAAATGACTGAAGACACTGAGAGGCAATTCAGATTTTAGTAAGAGCCGGAAGCTGCACCTGCCCCCTTAGGGCTGCAGGAACAATGGGAGGAGGTATTGTTATCAGATTCTAGGAGTCTGGCCATTGGCAGAAGCTAAGACCATGTTGGTTTTTGCCCCGTGGGTGTGGCACCATAGCAGTAATTACTGCCAGAGATGTCACTAGGAGCAGAGGGGAAGGGAGAAACATATCCTGGCTTCTCCCTTGTAGTCTTGCTCACATGCTTCCCATTGGTTAAAATTACCCTGATGCCGGAGGACAAGGGACCCTGGGGAGCGTAGATCCCACAGGAGGTCAGAGGAAGGGTGCCAAATGGATCTAAGACCAGACAGGCTGTTGACGAGTTCAGAGCTAAGGGTCGTTGGGAGTACTAAAGAAGACCATGTGGGACACAACGTGACATAGGGTGACAAAACTTGTAGGGCACTGCGTGTGTGACCAATCCGGTTGATTACCGGCTACCACTGTCAGATAGGAACAGAATAATAGACTAAACCCCAGAAAGGTTTAGAACATAGGAAGGAAATAACAAAATAAGAGCAAAAGTTAATAATACAAACATAAGGCCTGTTAGGGAGGTTCAACAAACCCAAATGGACTCTACAAAAAAAGCTAGAAATGAAAAGGAAAGTCTCGCTACATATACAGCAGACAGACATTACAAATAACAAAACGATAGGTGAATAATTTTATACCAAAACATTGGACATACATTTTTTTTTTTTTTTCTGAGATGGAGTCTCACTCTGTTGCCCAGGCTAGAGTGCAGTGGCGTGATCTTGGCTCACTGCAACCTCTGCCTCCCGGGTTCAAGCAATTCTCCTGCCTCAGCCTCCTGAGTAGCTGGGATTACAGGCATGTGCCACCACGCCCAGCTAATTTTTGTATTGTTAGTAGAGACAGGGTTTTACAGTGTTGGTCAGGCTGGTCTTGAACTCCTGACCTCATGTGATCTGCCCACTTCGGCCTCCCAAAGTGTTGGGATTACAGGTGTGAGCCACTGTGCCTGGTCACCAAAACATTGGACATCTTTATGAAGGGAATGCTTCTAGGAAAAATATAATTTGCCAAAACTGACTTAAGTAAAAATAAACAATTCAAATAGATCTATGGCCATTATCTTATTATTCCAGACAAAATAGTATAATTCCTATTTTATGAATAAGGAAATTGAGGCCTAGAGAGGTGAAGAAAATTGCTTAAGAATCTGCAGGTTGGAAGGGGCGGAGGCAGAGCCAGGTGTGTCTGGATGGCAGGATTCTTTCTCCTGTGCTGGGAGGTGGGAGGAGGTGATAGGGCGAGGCCCCTGCTGGGAAATTCCCCAGAGATGCCTGCTATTTGGGTTGGTCAACTACTAGACACTTTTAATGCGCCTCTAGGAGAGGCATTTGGCACCTGAATTTCCCCTGAAGGTTTCACCATCACCGTCTCCAATTAAAGTAGCACAGCAGCCCTGCATCGCCTGGAGAACATTCAGTACCACCCATCTGAGGGGAGCAGGATAGGGCAGCCCGTGCCTTGGCCCTCGGCCCTTTGACTCAGCAACTGCCCAGGCCCAAGAATGCCCAGTGCCTGACTGGGCGCCCACAGCCGCAGCCCAGGCCTCTGAGCGAGTTTGCCTCTTATGAAGAAGCAGGTGGCGGCTTGCTGCAGAGTCCATGTGGGTGACAGACTCCCACCATTTGAGGCCTCCAAGAAGCCCACACCCTGTGGGTGGGAAATGAGTCTTGAAATGGAAATTGTGATTGAAGATGCAATGGCTGACCTTGGCCATGAGAACCCTTGTCAAGTGGCATCTCTCTGTCTGTTTTGCATCCCTTCACCCTTTCTCTTGGGAATATCACCTCACCCTTCCCTTCTTAGGGTTCTGGTGAGGTTGCCAAGGACAATATCCTACCATCTGTGGCCACATGAGGCAAGCTGACGAGCTCTTCCCTTGGTTGATGCTAAACAGCAATGATGTCAGCCTGGGGTTGTCTGGGGACATGCCCACTGCCCTCTGCATCACGATAGCTAGAGGAGAAAATGAGGAAATGTACAGAGGGACACAAAGCTGAGAGAAAGTGGAGATGCCTGACAATATTATTTGAGCTCCTTGATCCAGATAAGCATGCAGTACCATTACCCCATTTCCCTTCTGTCGTAGGGGACAATACTGTCTTTAAAAAAATTTTTTTTGAAACAGAGTCTCATTCTGTGGCCCAGGCTGGAGTGCAGTCGTGCGATCTCAGCTCACTGCAACCTCTGCCTCTGGGATTCAAGCAATTCTCCTGCCTCAGCCTCCCGAGTAGCTGGGACTACAGGCGCCCTCCACCATGCCTAGCTAATTTTTGTGTTTTTAGTAGAAACAGGGTTTAGCTATGTTGGGCAGGCTGGTCTCAATCTCCTGACCTCAAGGGATCTGCCTGCCTTGGCCTCCCAAAGTGCGGGATTGCAGTCGTGAGCCTCCATGCTCTGCCAATCTTGCCTTTTTATTCTTAAATATGTTTGAGTTGGGCTTTTTTCTATTGAAACCCAAAGAGTCCTGACTAACACAGTTTGTCTTGGCTTCCCTCTTTCTGTGTCCCTTCTCAGTGACTAATTTCTCCGACACCCTACGACTCCCCTCAAGTGCTCTCAGGAAACGGGCCACACAACGCATTCAACTAGCTGTTTTTAGTTGAAATGTTTCGCTTGGCCCTGAATATTTTAATGGTTGGCATAATGATAAAGAATCATGAAAAAGAGCCTGCAGAGGTGGAGACTCAATAAAACATATCTGCCTGGGGAAGGGGTAGACAGAAATATTCATCACTGCTAACATTGATTGAGTCAGAAATGGTGCCCTGTGCTCCCAGTGAATCAGCTCATTTCATCTGCACAGTGACTCTACACTTAGCTTCTATTGTTTTTTCTGTTTTACAGATGAGGAAACTGAGGTTGCAGAGCTTAGATAATTTGCCTAGAGTCACAGAGTTAGGAAGCGGTGGTGCCAAATTTTGAAGTGAGGAATTTTACTTTGCAGTGTATGTTCTGAACCACTTTGTTCACTTAGATAATTAAGTGACTTAAACAAGTTTAGCTTGGTGAAATTGGTTGGCCGCGGTAGGGGGGAGTTCTGGGCTTTTTTCAAAATTATCTTTAATGTATTTAATACAGTTTTCTTAATTTAAAGACACTTAAATAGAAAAGGTATTTTTATTTTGAGGGGGGTTGCATAAGAAATGCTGTGAGTTAAAAGAAGAAACTAAAACAAACAAACAGTAAACCCTGAAGCAACCCTTTCCATGGCTGCCAGAGTTCCCCCACCAACACAAAGTGATTCTGTTCTCTTCGTTAAAGGAAAAGCCCCTCTGCCTGGAGGTTAAAGGCTGTATTTCAGCACCTGACTGAAAGCTCTCCAAATCTGGTCCCGACCACTTTCCCAAAACTACCCACGGCAGCCACTGCCCTGAGGCAGCCTCACTGAGCAGCCCCTGAGGTTTTTCAGCTTTAGAGTCCTTGCTAGCAGTCCTAGCAATGTATTCCCATGGCCATGTGGTTCTGCCAAATTTGTGAAAATAAGATATTTAAACTGATATAGGTTAAGGCCACTCTCTCTTCTTCTCTGATATTTGTACCATTCCTCTGTCTCTTCTGTACTGTTAGAGCGGTCCCAAGGACTTTGGGAATCTGGCTAAGAAGATACTGAGTTGGGGATACACTTAGTTTGGGCTTATAGCTGTGTGATTTGCAGTCGCTTCCATATACGGGTAAGTAATTGCTAATCATCCCAGTGTCGAAATCTGCTTCCAAGGACACTGGTACCACCTACTGTGCCGACTCACATGTGATGTGTGAATGTTGCCAAGTGAAGGTTTGGGGCCAGAGGCTGTTTCACGACGTGAACGTGTTCTGTGGTGCCCAAAGTATGGCGGAGAAACCAAGTTTGAAATGTACAGAGCTGGAAGCTAGTCTGTGGACAATCCTTACAAGTTCCAGAGCTCAAATACGAAAAAAATTCATGGAGGTTTTGCCAAACTTTGTGACAATCCTTAAAAAATACAAAGGATATGAACAAAGAGTTAGGAAGTGGAGAGACATTTTCTAAATTATCAGTAATAAAAGTCAAACTGATCAACCATTAATATTATAAAACTTGTTATACTACTACTGACATGGGAAGAGACAAAGAGAATGAAGCCAAAACAAGTAGGAAAAACAATGTTATCAAAGTAGGTCGGCAGTTCATTAATGCACAAAATGGCTATTTTTCTGAATGGCTGAGATGTTTCTGGTACTATTCAGCTTTTTATTGACAAAATTTATAATTAGTTGTAATTTCTTTTCTCATTCTAAGTGAATATTCCCTTTTGCTCCTACATTTTTAAAAATCATCTTTATTGAGGTATAAATATACAATGAAATCCACACACCTAAGGGGACTGTTTGTGAGTTTTGACAAATGTATATACTTGGGTAACCATCACTGCAATCAAAGCATAGAACATTTCTGTCACCCGGACCACTCCTTCCTGTCTCTTTACACGCAACCTCCCTGCACACTTTGCCCCAGACAAGCACTAACTTGCTTTTTTTTTTTTTTTTAATCACTATAGATTTGGATTGTTCTAGAAACGTCACTTAAATGGAATCATGCAGTACCCTTTTATGTCTGGCCTTTACTGAGGGAGAGATCGGCATTTTGGTGGGGGACTCGGAACTGTACCTCATTTTGTGTTATTCACAAATTTATCTTATTTTCTTTCAATAAGACTTTCTAATTGGGATACTCTGCGTATGGCCCTACTGCTGCTTTGCACTCTGGGTATGTTGGACATCCCACCTCCTCAATAAACTTCCCATGCACACTTCTGAGTCTATGCCTAGAACACACTGTTCCCTCTGCCTGGAATGCCCTTCCCTCCTGAGCCACTGGATGGATCAATGATCATCCCTCCTTGTCCACGTCCAGTGTCTCCTCCCTCCTGGCTTTTCTCAGGCAGAATAGCACACTCCTTTCTTAGATGCCCTAGGATGTTTGGCTTATATTTCTCATCAATGTTCAGTTTATATTGAAATCGTTTTATTTTTGTCATTCTTTCCCTCATAGAATCTGAGTTTTTTAACGGAGGTTTTTGATGGGGGCATTGTGTGTTCAACATGTGACACCTGCTCCTCTCTGCCCCCCTGCTCACCCTAAGTCAGTAGACTGTCCTATGCATTGCAACAAATGTTCATTGTATATGAAAAAAAAGTGAAACTCTTCACATGACATTATAGAAACAAGACAAACAATTCCTTTATTTAGTTGTAGCCATTACTATTTGCTTTCTCATGTGTCAAGAGAAACCAAATAGTGGGGGCAGTAGCACTCACCATTCAGCTAATGGAATGGAAGTGAACTGACTCCATGGGGAACTTCAAAGGAGCCGGGCTCTGGAGGCATAATGGACTGAAAACTGTTCCCTAAGGGATATGTCCAGTCCTAGCCCCTGGAACCTGTGAATGTGACCTTATTTGGAAATGAGATGTTTGCAGCTATAATTAAGGTAAGGAGCTTGAGGTGAGATCATCCTGGATTAGGGTGGGCCCTAAATCCAATGACAAGTGTCCTTCTAAGGGACAGAAAAGGAGAAGATGCAAAGAGACCCAAGGAAGAAGGTCATGTAAAGACAGAGGCAGACATTGGGATGATGCTGCCACCAGCCAAGGAATGTTAGGAGCCATCAGAAGTTGGAAGAGCCAAGGCAGGATCCTACACTAGAACCTTTGGAGGAAGCATAACTTTGCTGGCACCTTGATTTTGGACTGCTGGCCTCCAGAATTATGAGAGAATAAAATTCTGTTGTTTTAAGCCACCAACTTTGGGGTAAGTTGTTGTGGAAGCTGTAGGCAACTAATATAGAGTTGGCAATCTTAAAAAACTACATATATGGAGAGCATGACAAAAGTCAGTTGAGATGTGATAGAGAAACTCTATGGAATTGAAAGTTTGAATGAAGAACCAAAACTCCCGAGGGCTCTGTGAACATTTCAAATATCCAGTCAGCAGGGCAGAAGGCTCTCCTTGTTTTAAAATACTTTTTTTTTTTGAAATAATTTAAATAATTGTTGAAATGGTGAAAAAAATAAAAATTAAGTAAAAAGATATCATTTTCACCCATCAAATAGACAAATATATTAAAAAAAAGATAATCCCTAGTTCTTGCCATGGTATGGGGAAAAATGAAATTTTATTCCTAATGTTGGGAGTCTACCTCCTGAATTTCTCAACAGATGTAAAAGAATCTTAAAAGATACATATCCCTTGACCAGTTAATTCTGCTTCTCAGAATTTATTGCTAAGGAAATATCAGAGATATGAATGATATAAAGATACATTCAAGCTTATTCATTATAGCACTGTTATGGTTTGGCTGTGTCCCCACCCAAATCTCATTTTGAATTGTAGCTCCTACAATTCCCACGTGTGTGGGAGGCAATTGAATCATGTGGACATGCGTTTCCTTGCTATTCTCATGGTAGTGAATAATCCTCATGAGATCTGATGGTATTATGAAGAGAAATTCCCCTGCACAAGCTCATTCTGTCTCTTGCCTGCCATTTTGTAAGACATGCCTTTTGTCTTCTGCCATGATTGTGAGGCCTTCTCAGCCACATGGAACTGTGAGCCCATTAAATCTCTTTTTCTTTATAAATCACCCAGTCTCAGTCTCAGGTATGTCTTTATCAGCAGCGTAACAATAGACTAATACAGTTGAGGTGAGATCATCCTGGATTAGGGTGGGCCCTAAATCCAATCACAGGTGTCCTTCTAAGAGACAGAAAAGGAGAAGATGCAAAGAGACCCAAGGAAGAAGACCATGTGAAGACAGAGGCAGGCATTGGAGTGACACTGCTACCAGCCAAGGAATGTCAGGAGCCACCAGAAGCTGGAAGAGCCTAGGCAGGATCCTACACTAAACCTCTGGAGGAAGCATGACTTTGCTGACACTGACTCAACTGACTTGTGACTTACTACAAGTAAGAGTAGAAAGTTAGAGTAGAAAGTTAGTAGAAAGTTAGAAACAATTTGATATACTCTAAGAGTGGATTGGTTAAATACATGTTGGTATAGTGGCAGAAGTGGAAAAATGCAGCCCTCAAACTTCTTATTTATATTATAGTGAGATACCTAATAACTTGACGAAATGCTTAAGATAAAATATTATATACATATACCCACATACATATCATGAAATATAATAAATTATCCCTGTTTTAATGGTAATAAATTTTGGGTAAAGAGAAGGGACATTTCTTTCTGAGGATCATATAGCTAGTAAATACTGAACACAAGTTCCAAACCCAGGACAATGTCATGCTGTTATGGGCTGACTTGTATCCCCCCAAATTCCTGTTCTTGCAACCCTAAACCCCTAGTACCTCAGAACGTAATCGCTTTTGGAGATAGGATTTTTAAAGAGGTAATTAAGATTAAATGAGGCCTTTCTTTCCTGTGGGCCTTCATCCAATATGACTGATGTCCTTCTTTTTTTTTTTTTCTTTTATTATTATACTTTAAGTTTTAGGGTACATGTGCACATTGTGCAGGTTAGTTACATATGTATACATACGCCACGCTGGTGCGCTGCACCCACTAACTCGTCATCTAGCATTAGGTATATCTCCCAATGCTATCCCTCCCCCCTCCCCCCACCCCACAACAGTCCCCAGAGTGTGATGTTCCCCTTCCTGTGTCCATGTGATCTCATTGTTCAATTCCCACCTATGAGTGAGAATATGCGGTGTTTGGTTTTTTGTTCTTGCAATAGTTTACTGAGAATGATGATTTCCAATTTCATCCATGTCCCTACAAAGGACATGAACTCATCATTTTTTATGGCTGCATAGTATTCCATGGTGTATATGTGCCACATTTTCTTAATCCAGTCTATCATTGTTGGACATTTGGGTTGGTTCCAAGTCTTTGCTATTGTGAATAGTGCCGCAATAAACATACGTGTGCATGTGTCTTTATAGCAGCATGATTTATAGTCCTTTGGGTATATACCCAGTAATGGGATGGCTGGGTCAAATGGTATTTCTAGTTCTAGATCCCTGAGGAATCGCCACACTGACTTCCACAATGGTTGAACTAGTTTACAGTCCCACCAACAGTGTAAAAGTGTTCCTATTTCTCCACATCCTCTCCAGCACCTGTTGTTTCCTGACTTTTTAATGATTGCCATTCTAACTGGTGTGAGATGGTATCTCATTGTGGTTTTGATTTGCATTTCTCTGATGGCCAGTGATGGTGAGCATTTTTTCATGTGTTTTTTGGCTGCATAAATATCTTCTTTTGAGAAGTGTCTGTTCATGTCCTTCGCCCACTTTTTGATGGGGTTGTTTTTTTCTTGTAAATTTGTTTGAGTTCATTGTAGATTCTGGATATTAGCCCTTTGTCAGATGAGTAGGTGGCAAAAATTTTCTCCCATTTTGTAGGTTGCCTGTTCACTCTGATGGTAGTTTCTTTTGCTGTACAGAAGCTCTTTAGTTTAATTAGATCCCATTTGTCAATTTTGTCTTATGTTGCCATTGCTTTTGGTGTTTTAGACATGAAGTCCTTGCCCATGCCTATGTCCTGAATGGTATTGCCTAGGTTTTCTTCTAGGGTTTTTATGGTTTTAGGTCTAACGTTTAAGTCTTTAATCCATCTTGAATTGATTTTTGTATAAGGTGTAAGGAAGGGATCCAGTTTCAGCTTTCTACATATGGCTAGCCAGTTTTCCCAGCACCATTTATTAAATAGGTAATCCTTTCCCCATTGCTTGTTTTTCTCAGGTTTGTCAAAGATCAGATAGTTGTAGATATGCGGCGTTATTTCTGAGGGCTCTGTTCTGTTCCATTGATCTATATCTCTGTTTTGGTACCAGTACCATGCTGTTTTGGTTACTGTAGCCTTGTAGTATAGTTTGAAGTCAGGTAGTGTGATGCCTCCAGCTTTGTTCTTTTGGCTTAGGATTGACTTGGCGATGCGGGCTCTTTTTTGGTTCCATATGAACTTTAAAGTAGTTTTTTCCAAATCTGTGAAGAAAGGCATTGGTAGCTCGATGGGGATGGCATTGAATCTGTAAATTACCTTGGGCAGTATGGCCATTTTCACGATATTGATTCTTCCTACCCATGAGCATGGAATGTTCTTCCATTTGTTTGTATCCTCTTCTATTTCATTGAGCAGTGGTTTGTAGTTCTCCTTGAAGAGGTCCTTCACATCCCTTGTAAGTTGGATTCCTAGGTATTTTATTCTTTGAAGCAATTGTGAATGGGAGTTCACTCATGATTTGGCTCTCTGTTTGTCTGTTGTTGGTGTATAAGAATGCTTGTGATTTTTGTACATTGGTTTTGTATCCTGAGGCTTTGCTGAAGTTGCTTATCAGCTTAAGGAGATTTTGGGCTGAGACAATGGGGTTTTCTAGATATACAATCATGTCGTCTGCAAACAGGGACAATTTGACTTCCTCTTTTCCTAATTGAATACGCTTTATTTCCTTCTCCTGCCTAATTGCCCTGGCCAGAACTTCCAACACTATGTTGAATAGGAGTGGTGAGAGAGGGCATCCCTGTCTTGTGCCAGTTTTCAAAGGGAATGCTTCCAGTTTTTGCCCATTCAGTATGATATTGGCTGTGGGTTTGTCATAGATAGCTCTTATTATTTTGAAATACATCCCATCAATACCTCATTTATTGAGAGTTTTTAGCATGAAGGGTTGTTGAATTTTGTCAAAGGCCTTTTCTGCATCTATTGAGATAATCATGTGGTTTTTGTCTTTGGCTCTGTTTATATGCTGGATTACATTTATTGATTTGCGTATATTGAACCAGTCTTGCATCCCAGGGATGAAGCCCACTTGATCATGGTGTATAAGCTTTTTGATGTGCTGCTGGATTCGTTTTGCCAGTATTTTATTGAGGATTTTTGCATCAATGTTCATCAAGGATATTGGTCTAAAATTCTCTTTTTTGGTTGTGTCTCTGCCAGGCTTTGGTATCAGAATGATGCTGGCCTCATAAAATGAGTTAGGGAGGATTCCCTCTTTTTCTATTGATTGGAATAGTTTCAGAAGAAATGGTACCAGTTCCTCCTTGTACCTCTGGTAGAATTCGGCTGTGAATCCATCTGGTCCTGGACTCTTTTTGGTTGGTAAGCTATTGATTATTGCCACAATTTCAGATCCTGTTATTGGTCTATTCAGAGATTCAACTTCTTCCTGGTTTAGTCTTGGGAGAGTGTATGTGTCCAGGAATTTATCCATTTCTTCTAGATTTTCTAGTTTATTTGCGTAGAGGTGTTTGTAGTATTCTCTGATGGTAGTTTGTATTTGTGTGGGATCAGTGGTGATATCCCCTTTATCATTTTTTATTGTGTCTATTTGATTCTTCTCTCTTTTTTTCTTTATTAGTCTTGCTAGTGGTCTATCTATTTTGTTGATCCTTTCAAAAAACCAGCTCCTGGATTCATTAATTTTTTGAAGGGTTTTTTGTGTCTCTATTTCCTTCAGTTCTGCTCTGATTTTAGTTATTTCTTGCCTTCTGCTAGCTTTTGAATGTGTTTGCTCTTGCTTTTCTAGTTCTTTTAATTGTGATGTTAGGGTGTCAATTTTGGATCTTTCCTGCTTTCTCTTGTGGGCATTTAGTGCTATAAATTTCCCTGTACACACTGCTTTGAATGCGTCCCAGAGATTCTGGTATGTTGTGTCTTTGTTCTCGTTGGTTTCGAAGAACATCTTTATTTCTGCCTTCATTTCGTTATGTACCCAGTAGTCATTCAGGAGCAGGTTGTTCAGTTTCCATGTAGTTGAGCGGTTTTGAGTGAGATTCTGAATCTTGAGTTCTAGTTTGATTGCACTGGGGTCTGGGAGATAGTTTGTTATAATTTCTGTTCTTTTACATTTGCTGAGGAGAGCTTTACTTCCAAGTATGTGGTCAATTTTGGAATAGGTGTGGTGTGGTGCTGAAAAAAATGTATATTCTGTTGATTTGGGGTGGAGAGTTCTGTAGATGTCTATTAGGTCCGCTTGGTGCAGAGCTGAGTTCAATTCCTGGGTATCCTTGTTGACTTTCTGTCTTGTTGATCTGTCTAATGTTGACAGTGGGGTGTTAAAGTCTCCTATTATTAATGTGTGGGAGTCTAAGTGTCTTTGTAGGTCACTCAGGACTTGCTTTATGAATCTGGGTGCTCCTGTATTGGGTGTATATATATTTAGGATAGTTAGCTCTTCTTGTTGAATTGATCCCTTTACCATTATGTAATTGCCTTCTTTGTCTCTTTTGATCTTTGTTGGTTTAAAGTCTGTTTTATCAGAGACTAGGATTGCAACCCCTGCCTTTTTTTGTTTTCCATTTGCTTGGTAGATCTTCCTCCATCCTTTTATTTTGAGCCTATGTGTGTCTCTGCACATGAGATGGGTTTCCTGAATACAGCACACTGATGGATCTTGACTCTTTATCCAATTTGCCAGTCTGTGTCTTTTAATTGGAGCATTTAGTCCATTTACATTTAAAGTTAATATTGTTATGTGTGAATTTGATCCTGTCATTATGATGTTAGCTGGTTATTTTGCTCGTTAGTTGATGCAGTTTCTTCCTAGTCTCGATGGTCTTTACATTTTGGCATGATTTTGCAGCAGCTGGTACCAGTTGTTCCTTTCCATGTTTAGCACTTCCTTCAGGAGCTCTTTTAGGGCAGGCCTGGTGGTGACAAAATCTCTCAGCATTTGCTTGTCTGTAAAGTATTTTATTTCTCCTTCACTTATGAAGCTTAGTTTGGCTGGATATGAATTTCTGGGTTGAAAATTCTTTTCTTTAAGAATGTTGAATATTGGCCCCCACTCTCTTCTGGCTTGTAGGGTTTCTGCCGAGAGATCCGCTGTTAGTCTGATGGGCTTCCCTTTGAGGGTAACCCGACCTTTCTCTCTGGCTGCCCTTAACATTTTTTCCTTCATTTCAACTTTGGTGAATCTGACAATTATGTGTCTTGGAGTTGCTCTTCTCGAGGAGTATCTTTGTGGAGTTCTCTGTATTTCCTGAATCTTAACGTTGGCCTGCCTTGCTAGATTGGGGAAGTTCTCCTGGATAATATCCTGCAGAGTGTTTTCCAACTTGGTTCCATTCTCCCCGTCACTTTCAGGTACACCAATCAGACGTAGATTTGGTCTTTTCACATAGTCCCATATTTCTTGGAGGCTTTGCTCATTTCTTTTTATTCTTTTTTCTCTAAACTTCCCTTCTTGCTTCATTTCATTCATTTCATCTTCCATCGCTGATACCCTTTCTTCCAGTTGATCGCAGCGGCTCCTGAGGCTTCTGCATTCTTCACGTAGTTCTCGAGCCTTGGTTTTCAGCTCCATCAGCTCCTTTAAGCACTTCTCTGTATTGGTTATTCTAGTTATACATTCTTCTAAATTTTTTTCAAAGTTTTCAACTTCTTTGCCTTTGGTTTGAATGTCCTCCCGTAGCTCAGAGTAATTTGATCGTCTGAAGCCTTCTCTCAGCTCGTCAAAGTCGTTCTCCGTCCAGCTTTGTTCCATTGCTGGTGAGGAACTGCGTTCCTTTGGAGGAGGAGAGGCGCTCTGCTTTTTAGAGTTTCCAGTTTTTCTGTTCTGTTTTTTCCCCATCTTTGTGGTTTTATCTACTTTTGGTCTTTGATGATGGTGATGTACAGATGGGTTTTTGGTGTGGATGTCCTTTCTGTTTGTTAGTTTTCCTTCTAACAGACAGGACCCTCAGCTGCAGGTGTGTTGGAGTACCCTGCCGTGTGAGGTGTCAGTGTGCCCCTGCAGGGGGGTGCCTCCCAGTTAGGCTGCTCGGGGGTCAGGGGTCAGGGACTCATTTGAGGAGGCAGTCTGCCCGTTCTCAGATCTCCAGCTGCTCTCCAGCTGCGTACTGGGAGAACCACTGCTCTCTTCAAAGCTGTCAGACAGGGACATTTAAGTCTGCAGAGGTTACTGCTGTCTTTTTGTTTGTCTGTGCCCTGCCCCCAGAGGTGGAGCCTACAGAGGCAGGCAGGCCTCCTTGAGTTGTGGTGGGCTCCACCCAGTTCGAGCTTCCTGGCTGCTTCGCTTACCTAAGCAAGCCTGGGCAATGGCGGGCGCCCCTCCCCCAGCCTCGCTGCCGCTTTGCAGTTTGATCTCAGACTGCTGTGCTAGCAATCAGTGAGACTCCGTGGGCGTAGAACCCTCCGAGCCAGGTGTGGGATATAATCTCGTGGCGCGCCGTTTTTTAAGCCCGTCGGAAAAGCGCAGTATTCGGGTGGGAGTGACCCGATTTTCCAGGTGCCGTCCGTCACCCCTTTCTTTGACTAGGAAAGGGAACTCCCTGACCCCTTGCGCTTCCCGAGTGAGGCAATGCCTCACCCTGCTTCGGCTCGCGCACGGTGCGCGCACCCACTGACCTGCGCCCACTGTCTGGCACTCCCTAGTGAGATGAACCCGGTACCTCAGATGGAAATGCAGAAATCACCCGTCTTCTGCGTCGCTCACGCTGGGAGCTGTAGACCGGAGCTGTTCCTATTCAGCCATCTTGGCTCCTCCCCTGACTGATGTCCTCCTTATAGGAATGGGAAATTCAGATGCAGACAGGTGCTGAAGACCATGTGAAGGCACAGGGAGGAGGTGGCCATCTGCAAGCCAAGGAGAGAAGCCTCAGAAGAAACCAACCCTGCCAACACCGTGACCTCAGACTCCAGCCCCCAGAACTGTGAGAAATACATTTCTATTATTTATGTCAATCTGTGGTACTTTGCTATGGCAGCCCTGGTGAACTAATATACATGCACAAGAACTTTTTCCAGTATGCCATTATTTTAATTGTTTAGAGCTGTCTAATAGAAATCTACTATGAGCCACATATGTAATTTAAAATTTTCTAGGAACCACATTAAACAAGTAAAAACAGAGGTAAAATTAATTTTAATAACACATTTTCTTTAATCCAATAAATCTAAAATATGATTATTTTAACATGCAACTTCTCAGAGACATTATTAGTAAAATACGTTCCTTTTTTCATACTATGTCTTTGTCTTTGTACTTGTATCTGGTGTGTGTTATATACTTACAGCACATATTAATTTGGATTAGCCACATTTCACATGGGTTAATAGCCCCATGTGGCTAGTTGTTACCATGTTAGACATGACAGGTATAGATAAGCCATTTTTTTCTGCAGATCAATTTTAAAAAATCCTTGTTCTATTCTGTCAATACATGATCATTGTTAAAACGCATTTAAAAATTGAGCAAGTTTGCTCTGGAACATTATTCCTGGGAATTTTGTCTTTGCTTTGACATTAGCAACTCAAATAGCTGAGTTAGTTGTTCATCAAAAGACTAAGCTATTTAAATATTTTGGCCATTAGCTTTCTTCCTTGGCATTAGACTGTAAGTATTCAGAAGCTGATCCTAATCCTGGAAGATACAATCTTAATGCCGTAATTGCAAATGTTGAAATCCCAAAAGATCAAAATCCTGAAAATATGATTCTGGAAAAAATAATAAAATATTCTTTAAAAAACATTTATTTACATGTTAAAATGGGTTTTCCTGAGAAACATATAAAAACATGACAGAACACTTCCTAGGCCAGTTTACACAATGAAATAGGGAATAATAACATACATTTTTTATAAGCATAAACACCCAGGTATACTAAAAACATTTACAGGAGTGTAACAGTTATGATCAGACAAATGTATTCATAAAGAAATAGGTCAAAAAGCGAAATGTATGAATGCATATCATCATGGTTGGTAATTGGCTGCACCCGGCTTTATAACTGTGGTCACTTGAAATATCGTGTCAGACAACCTGTATTTTGATGAGACTGACCAAAACCCTCAATGGGTCACCACTGCATATGCAGTCTTGCAAAGAGCTGAGATCTCAATAAATTTTAGCTTTCAAAAACGAAAACGAACAAAAATAACATCTCTTACACTACAGAGGAAATTTCAATGTTTTTATGTTGAGAACCAGAGAAGCTTATGGTCTATCAGTCAAGAACCGAAAGCTTCACTACCTGCGGGGCTGTAGGTATAACAACTGAAGTCCAAAGGCCAGCAAGCCTGGAGTACTGATGTCCAAAGCAGCAGAAGAGAGTCTGCCCCAGCTCTCAGAGAGAAATTGATTCGCCTTCTGTGCCCTGGCTGATTGGAGGGTGCCTGACAAGGTTGAGGGCAGATCTTCCCTACGGAGTTCACTCAGACTCACACTCATCTCATCTGGAAACAACCTCACAGACACTCCCAAAATAATGCTTTATCAGGTTTCTAGGGACTCCTTAATCTAGTCAAGGTGACACCTAAAATTAAATTCACAAGTCCACCTCTTGTCAACTTGGCACCCATATGCATCTCCTTAAACCATACTTAACTTCCAAACAAAGACACTAACAGAGTAATCGTTCTCCCTAACCTGATGCAACTATCCTGTGTTTGTGATTTTTGGGATTTTAGACCTTAGGAATTTTAGACTTTAGAAATGTGGATGTCAGGGATTTCAACATTTGGGTTATGGCATTTGGCATTGTGTCTTGTGGGATTATAATCCACAGGAAAGCATCAAATTCAGAATGTTCCTAGGCCTAGAGGGAGATCCTTTTTGCCCCTCATCCCTTTTATGACATACCTCTGCTAGCTCACTTGCATATTATTTGTAGCAGTTAAGGGACCATGCTTCTCTTTCCTTCACTGACATCTCACATCCAAGTTTTAATTTGCTGATGGATGAGGTGCATGAGCCAGAGATAACTGAATGGGTTCAAATAGCCTGGTATTTCCAGGATCTTATAAAAACTTTGCAGTAACCAGGAATGCAGATAAGTTGAGGAAGACTCAGTCGGAACTCTTAGCCATTGCTCTCAACCCTTACTGATTCATGAAGGGAATCCCTCATTTCTGAGTATAATTGAGGACATGATCAGCTGAAGGAGCAGAAGGAAGGGAAAAATGAACTACTAAATGCTGAATGTGTGCTTACGTACCAGTCATTTCCTTGGTGCCAGCCAGCAGTGTGTCTATTGAGCAAAGCATGGTAGATTTTCAAAGAAATCAGCTGGATAAATTCCAGTTTAAAATGGCATCTGGCTAGCTATTGCTGCCCGTGACACAGCCTCTCTTGATTTCCAATTAACCTCTCTAATGAAGACACAGAAACAGTGCAGCCCTGCCATCGTAAAAGTGGAGACGCTCTTTCCCTCTCCCTCTCTTTGCATTGGCTCAGAGACATAGCATCTGCAGCAATTAAAAAATTGGATGGCCATCTCTCAAGTCTGTGAGTTGCTTTTTAAGGCAGCCAAATCTTGCCATCCTCAATATATTTGTTGAAGATCATATGTTTTGTAAAATGACAGGGTAGAAAGTTGTGACCTTAATACATGGATCCTGGGAGGAATAGATACTATAAGTAAAGTTGTGTGATGAGGACAGAGACAAGGACAGACTGAGCAGCAGGGCCTGCTGGACACTGTAGACTTTCATATGTTCTGCTGATTTTGAATGTTAAAGAATAAGGCAAGAAAATTTGGAAGCGATTCCACCTCAGTAGAGCAGAGCTCCATTAGATAAAAAGCTGAAAAAAAAAAAGAATAAAAAAGAATAATAGGGTTTAAAATAACCCCCTTCCCCAACACACAAATAAACACATACCAAATTCTCCAAGTAAATGTGGAGTCAAAGAAGTTAATAAACATCTTCCCTCAAAGAAAATTCTAGGTCTCAATATTTTCACAAGTGAATTCTCTCAATATTTAAGAAGAAATAACATCGTTTACAAACTCTTTTCAGAAAAGAGAGGAGGAAGAAACACTCCCTAATTCATTTCATGACCCTCATTTATGAAACTATAATGCCCAAATCTGACAGATATTTCCTCTTGTTCCAAAAAATTAAAGGAAGATAGAAAGAATTACTGACAAAAAGTCCTGGATGAACAGAGCCTCAAAAACCCTTAACAAAATATTAGCAAACCCAATCCAGTAGTGTATATGAAAAGAATGACACATTCTGACTTTTTTATTATGTCAGAATTATCTCAGAAATATAAAGTTCATTTAACACTTAAAAATCCAACAGTATAATCCACTGCATTAACAGAACTAGGAAGAAACATGCATCAAGGAGAAAAGAGACTTGACAGAAAATGAACATCCCATTGATAAAAACAATCTAGTCATTAATCTAGCAATAAAACCATCTAGTAATAAAAGAGAAACTTCTCAATCGATAAAGATTATTTATTAAAAAGATACATCAAACATCATACTTATTGGTGAAATATTGAACACTTTCTCACTAAGATTGGAAACAAGGCAAAGATGCCCTCTCTCACCATTCTATTTAACATTGTACTGCGATTGCAGCCATTGCAAAAGGAGAAAAACCAAAAATAAAAAAAATGCATACAGATAGGAAGAGGTAAAATTGTACTTATTTGCTGGTGTCATGATTGTTTACATATAAAATCTTAATAAATCTATGAAACAACTACTAGAAGTAATCCGTGAATTTAGAGAGCTCGTAAGATTCAAGGTAAACATACACAAATCAATTTTATTATTTATATACTAGCAACAAATGTTTGGGAAGTAAAATTTTAAGAAACCCTTTACAGATTATCAAAAACAAAAAATACTGGGGATTAGATTTAACAGTATATGTACAAGACCTCTACACTGAAAACTATAAAACATTGCTGAGAGTAAATAAAGAAGACCCAAATCAATGGGTGGTTATGGATACGAAGATATAATGTTGTCAAGATGTTAATCCTCTCCCAACCGACCAATAGATTCAACATAATCACAATAGAAAGACTTTTGCAGAAACTGAAAAAAATGACTCTACTATTTATATATAAATGCAAGCACATAGAATACTTTGATAAAACAATCTTGATAAAGAAGAACAGTTAGTCAACTTATACTATCTGATTTCAAGACTCATTTTAAAGCTAAAGCAATTAAGACAATGTGGTACTGGCATAACCATCAACAAATGATTAGTGGAACAGAACAGAAAGCTCATAAACACACTCCACTGGCCAACTAATTTTTGATAGAATCATCAAAGCAATTCAATACAGAAAGAAAAGTCTTCTAACTAAGGATGCTGCAATAGCCAGTTATTCTCGTGAGAAAAAGGACTTTAACTGCCACTTTATACAATATACAAACCACACAGTTTTCAATAGAAATATAGGATAGTATCTTTATGACTTAGGGATAGACTAAGTTTTCTTTGACAAGACTCAGAAAAACTGATAAATTAGACTTCATCAAAGCTTGAAACTTCTGCTCATAAATAGACGTTATTAAGAAAACTTCTGCTCATAGATAGACACTGTTAGGTAGGCAATCTACAAACTGGATAAAATTATAAGTAAAACAGATGTTATCTGACAATAGACTGGTATCCAGGATGTATAAAGAACTCCTGCAATTTAATAATAAAGGAGTAAAAATGAGCAAATTAACTGGACAGGCATTTCACAAAATATATACACCTGGCCAATGACCAGATATAAAAATACTCAATATCATTACTTATCAGGAAAATTCAAACCACAATGTGACATCCTTATTCACCCTTCAGAAGTTCTAAAATGAAAGATGGAAACAATCCCAATTGTCAAGAATGTGGAGCAACTGGAACTGTCATACATTGTTAGTGGGCGTTTGGCAAAATGTCTCATAATTTTTCATAAATCTGAACACATATCTACCCTGTGACCCAGAAATTTGAATCCCAGGTAATTAACCAAGAAAACTGAAAATATATGCCTACAAAAAGGTTTGTACAAGTATGTTCCTAGCAAGACCTTATTAGTATATAATAATAATAATTATAAACTGGAAACAGCCCAGGTGTCTATCAATAGGAGAATGAATAAACACATTACAGTATATTCATGCAATGGAATACTACTTAGGAATAGAAAGGAACAAATTATTGAACATGCAACAGCACAGAGGAATCTCAAAAGGTTTTGTCATGTGAAAGAAGTCATCTACAAGAGTACACATGGGAACGGTATTCCATAATATGTTGTTCTAAAATAGGCAAAACTAATTCATGGTGGAGAAAAACAGAATAGTGATTTACTCTGGGGGAAGAAATGGTTATTGATGAAAAAGGGACATGAGGGAATTTCCTGGAATGATGCAATGTTTACATCTTGATGGAGGTTTGGGTACATAGATGTAAGCATTTGTCAAAACTCAGCCAATATATAGTTAAGATTTTTGTCTTTCATTGTGTGTAAATTTTACCACAAAAACCTGTAAACAAATACTGAACTGCAGTTAATGATATGTATTCTGAAATATTTAAGAGGATATGTACTGATATATATATATACACACACACACACATATACACATACATGTGTATATATATACATAATTTAAAGTGTATAAAAATCTCAAGATGGATTGAGATAAAGGAATTAAGGTGTCAATGAGATAATCTGTGTAAGTGCTCACTATAAAATTCTTTCAACTTTTTTGTATACCTGAAACTTTATTATAACATATTGGAAAGAAACCAAAATCAGATCTGAAACTTCAACTTAGAAATATAAAAAAAGAATGAATAGAAAGACAACTATATATCTAGTTGGAAAGATTGTATATTGCAAAGATATTAATTAGTCCCTCATTCATTCATACATTTAACATGGTTTGGAATTTTGATTTTGAAAGTGATTCTGAATTTCATTAGACAAAACAAGCATTGCCTCCTGCAACAGAAGTAAAAATGTCATTCTTATGTATTTGACATATATACTACTGTAGTTGAAACAATATGGCATTATACAACAATTAAAATATGATGTCATGAAATAGAAGGGATAGTCTTGAATTGCATGCTAGAATACCTATAAGCTTAATAGAAGATAAAAGAAATGTTAATTATTTGGAAAGGGGTGAATTTTTTAATGAGTGTTGGAATAAAATAAAATGAGAACCTTACCTCACATTATCTCCTAAATTAAATTATAAATGGATTAAAGAGTTACTTTTTAAAATACAGGCAGTTATTGCTTTGGGCAGTTATGATATACACAAATTTTACTTAACACAGCATAGTGAAAAGTTAAGATTGCCAGTATGAAATACTAGAATAATATATAATAAATATTTAATTGAGTTTCAGATGATGAAAGATATTTTAAGCCTCAGAGCAATAGAAGAGATCTTAAGGATAAGAATAATATATTTGGCCACTGAAAAAAAAATCCATATCTTTAAAAATATTATAAGCAACAGTAAAAGAAAAATGTCCAAATTGGAAAAGTACTTACAATATATACGGCAGAATGGTTACTGTCCTTAATACGTGCAGAGATTTTAAAAAATCACCATATAAAAAAGAAAACCAGAGAAAAAGTGCCCATAAGACTTGCACATATAATTTGCTGAGGCATCAAAAGATAATACATTTGTAAAAATATCTCATTATTATCAAAAACTTTACATTAAAAATGAAAGATACTTTTTTTTTTTTACATTCACAAAGATGAAAAAAAAAAAAACCTTCGCTGAGATAGTTTTGTTAAGTTTGTGTTTCCCTTGGAGATGAAGTCTCGCTCTCTCACCCAGGCTGGAGTGCAGTGGGGTGATCTCGGCTCACTGCAATCTCCACCTGCTGGGTTCAAGCGATTCTCCCACCTCAGCCTCCCAAGTAGCTGGGATTACAGGCACCTGCCACCACACCTGGCTAATGTTTGTATTTTTAGTAGAGATGGGGTTTCACCATGTTGGTCAGGCTGGTCTCAAACTCCTGACTTCAGGTAATCCACCCCCCATTGGCCTCCCAGAGTGCTGGGATTTACAGGTGTGAGCCACTGCACCCAGCCAGTGTTTTCCTTGTTTTACCGTTAAGGGTGGTGCTGGGGTGAGCATCCTATACATCTTGGATAACCTCTGATTATTTCCTCAAGATAATTATGCATGTAGATGGTGTTTTCTTCTATTGATGTTGTTTTATTCCTTAAATTGCTTGGTAAGCATGTAAGGGTTTGTTAATATAAATATATTTTAAGATGTTCAAAATGGCATCCAATACATTAAAAGGATTTTGAATGGAAGAAACAGAGAAAATGCATGAAAAATATAAATAATGGCTGTCACTGGAGGTATGATTATAGATGATTTCTCTTTTCTTCCTTATAGTTTTTCTTAATTTTCTAAAAATTGAGGAAGAATCATTTAAAAAACAAAGAAGACACTCAGTTTATGTATTTGACATGGCTTTTATATCAGCACCTGTATGGTGCCTGGGAGGTACTTGGTACCCAGTACACTTAGTAAAGCAGCTTCATTGAGATATAATTTACATATCATAAAATTCATTCATTTAAAGAGTACAATTCAATGGTTTTTAGTATAGTTACAGATATGTTCAGCTATCATTACAGTCAATTTTAGAATATATTCCTCACTTCACAAAGAAACTCTGCATCCTTTATCAATCACTCCCCTACCCCGCTATCTTCCCCAGCCCTAAGCAAGCACTAATCTACTTCCTATCTCTATAGATTTACCTATTCTGGCCATTACATTTAAGTATAATTATATAATACGTGATATTTTGTGACTGTCTTCTTTCATGTACTTTAACTTTTTCAAAGTTCATCTATGTGGTAGGATATATCAACATTTCATTCATTGTGGCTGAATTTTATTCCAGTGTATGGATATACCATATATTGTCTATAATAAGTTGATTTATATTAATATTTGGGTTATTTCTACTTTTTGACTAATTAATTCATAATATAATTTATTATTATGAGTAATTACATAAACACTTGTGTGAAAGTTTTTTATGTGACGTATGTATTCATTTTTCTTGGTTATCTACTGTGAGTGAAATTGCTGGGTCATATGGTAACTCTGTGTTGAACTTTTTGAGGAACTTTCAGGCTGTTTCCCAAAGCGGTTTCACCATTTTATATTCCATCAGCAGTGTATGAGAGTTGCAATTTCTGCATAGCTCCAACACTGATGTTTTGTTCTTTCTGATTTTGTTGCTATCTAGGCAATCCTATCTAGGCAATTTTGTTGTCGTGAAGTGGTATCCCATTGTGGTTTTGATTTGCATTTCCCTGCTTAATGGTTGAGCATCTTTTTATGTGTTTATTGGCTATTTGTATATCTTCTTTGGATAAAGGCCAATCCAAATCCTTTGCCTATCTTTAAATTGGGTTATTTGTCTTTTTATTACCCAGTTTTAAGAGCTCTTTACATGTTCTAGAACAAGTCTCTCATCAGAGACAGCATTTGAATATATCTTCTTTCATTCTGTGGGTTGCCTTTTCATTTTTGTTTCTTTTCTTTTTCTTAAATTTTATTTTTTATTATACTTTAAGTTCTGGGGTACATGTGCAGAACATGCAGTTTTGTTTTAAATTTTACTTTAAGTTCTGGGATACGTGTGCAGAACGTGGAGGTTTGTTACGTAGGTATACGTGTGCCATGGTGGTTTGTTGCACCTATTGACCCATCCTCTAAGTTCCCTCCCCTTATCTCCCACCCCCTAATAGGCCCTGGTGTGTGCTGTTCCCCTCCTTGTGTCCATGTGTTCTCATTGTTCAACTCCCATTTATGAGTGAGAACATGCGGTGTTTGGTTTTCTGTTCCTGTGTTAGTTTGCTGAGGATGATGGCTTCCAGCTTCATCTACATCCCTGCAAAGGACATGATCTCATTCCTTTTTATGGCAATGTAGTATTCCATGGTGTATATGTACCACATTTTCTTTATCCAGTCTATAATTGATGGGCATTTGGGAAAACTTTGTTTTCTTCAAGATGATTTTGACTATTCTGAGACCTTTGAAATTACATATGAATTTTATAATCAGTTTCAATTTCTACAAAGAAGCAAGCTGGGATTCTGATAGGGATTGTGTTAAATTTGTAGATCAATTTGAGGAATATTGCCATCTTAACAATATTAAGTTTCCCAATCCATGAACCTCGAATGTTTTTAGAGTTTTATAGGTCTTTTTAAATTTCTTTCAACAACGTTTTGAAGTTTTCAGAGTTAAGTTTTATATTTTTTGTTAAATTACTTTCTATTTTACTACTTTGTTTTTTTTAAATTTTATTATTATTATACTTTAAGTTTTAGGGTACATGTGCACAATGTGCAGGTTAGTTACATATGTATACATGTGCCATGTTGGTGTGCTGCACCCATTAACTCGTCATTTAGCATTAGGTATACCTCCTAATGCTATCCCTCCCCCTCCCCCCACCCCACAACCCTCCCCCAACCCCACAACAGTCCCCAGAGTGTGATGTTCCCCTTCCTGTGTCCATGTGTTCTCATTGTTCAATTCCCACTATGAGTGAGAATATGTGGTGTTTGGTTTTCTGTTCTTGCTATAGTTTACTGAGAATGATGATTTCCAATTTCATCCATGTCCCTACAAAGGACATGAACTCATCATTTTTTATGGCTGCATAGTATTCCATGGTGTATATGTGCCACATTTGCTTAATCCAGTCTATCATTGTTGGACATTTGGGTTGATTCCAAGTCTTTGCTTTTGTGAATAGTGCCACAATAAACATAAGTGTGCATGTGTCTTTATAGCAGCATGATTTATAGTCCTTTGGGTATATACCCAGTAATGGGATGGCTGGGTCAAATGGTATTTCCAGTTCTAGATCCCTGAGGAATTGCCACACTGACTTCCACAATGGTTGAACTAGTTTACAGTCCCACCAACCATTGCATATTAAATTATTTTCTTAACTTTATTTTTAGATTTCTCATTGCAAGTGTATAGAAATACAGTTGATTTTTGTAGATTGATCTTGTATCCTGCAACCTTGTTGAATTCATTTATTAGTTCTATTTTTTAGTGGATTCCTTCGGATTTTATATATATGAGATCATGTCACATAAAAATAGAGATAGTTTTACTTCTTTCTTTCCAAGCTGAATGTCTGTATTTCTTTTTCTTTTTCAATTGCCTGCGACAGAACCTCCAGAACAATGCTGAATTGAAGTGTTAAGGGCAGACATCCTTGTCATGTTCCTGATCTTAGGGAGAAAGCATCTCCTTAGGGAGAAAGTTTCTCACCACTGAGTATGACGTAGCTATGGGTTTCTCATAGATGCTCTTTATCAGGTTGAGGAAGTTCTCTTCTATCCCTAGTTTGTTGAGTGTTTTTATTAAAAAAAGAGTGTTGGATTTTGTCAAAAGTTTTTTTCTGCATCTATTGGAATGATCATGTGATTTTTTATTTTTATTTTTTTACTCCTTTGTTTTTGCTTTCTATTCTATTGATGATTACATTAGTTGATTTTTAGATGCTATCACTACACTTTTGCTGAGTGTGTCCTGGGCTAATTAGGTACATTTGGAATTGAAATTGAACCCACAATGTGGTCTGAGGGGTACAGGCTGTGTGTAGCAGTTTTTGGAGGGCAAATGCCCTATCTGAATCCCTAATAGACCTTTCCTTGCTCTGTTTTTGGTGCCGATGCAGTGCCCTGAACTAGTCAAGTCCAAACTCACACCTCCAGCCAGGTAGACGTGTTTCAGGTTAATTAGGGGCCTCAGTCAATTTAGTTCATGGGCTGTAATTACAAGCACCTAAGACCTGCAATTTCTGTTTTAATTAAAATAAACAATGTGGAGGGGCTGACATCACACCAGGGCAACTGGTGTGCAAGGAATAGGTAATTACACCAAAGCGGAGTCTCTTGCTGTGAGGCAGGCTGTTGGGATCCACAGTGGAAGCTGGGCTTGGCCATCCTGGTGAATGCTAATTATTTGCTGCCAACCACAGCTCAAAACAGATGGGTGGGTGGGTCATGGCGATGACATTCGAACATGCTTACTTCAAGTTGGGACTTAGCTGTGATCTTTGGGGCATGTGTGTGTATGAGAGTGTGTGGGTATTTACATGTGCGATGTCCCTTTAAATGTATTTAACATATAATATACTTCTATGTATAAGTGCAATAGGATGAAAAAATTCTGATTTCAACTGCAGTATTAGGGATCCTCTTGGGGAGGAAGTTACCCTTGCTTAGGAAATTAACACCTCTCTCAGCTTTAGAGGCCAGAAATTAACATTTATCACCTGGAGAGGGTAAGACATATCTTAACTGCTCAGTCTGAGAAATTGCAGGAATTTCCGGATGGGGTAGAGCAGAGAAAAGGAAAATAATAAAAAAAGAATGAAAATAAGCAGTCTGGGAACATGGTAGAAGGGGAAAGTCTAGAAAGAAGGTAGCCAGGGTGGGTCAAGGATGCATCAAAATGAGATATTTAATGCTTAATTTAAAATTGTTTGCATTCTATGATGTCAACTCAGTCTGACATTACAAACCTTTAGTAAAGTCATCGACACACAAAAATGTCTTGTGTGAGTGAATTTTTTTGGGGGGAGGGGGTAAAGATCAAGGAAGAATATTTTAATTCTGCATTTGAGCAGAAGTGCAGGAGATCATAGGTAAGAGGGAAAGAAAGGGAGCTAGGAGTGACAAAATAGTGAAAGCCTCTGGGACTTTTCAGAAACCTCGAGCAGGGAGTGGATTTGCCACAGGCCATGAGAGAGTCCACATTTATTTCAGGAAATAGATCTCATCATGGCACTCTGCCACCAGAGACCTTCCAATGGCTCCTTGGTGCCACCAAGATGTAGTATCAGCTTATTTAGATGGTGTAGTAGGCTGAAAATGCCCCCGAAAGATAATTGTTCCTAATCCCTGTAAATATTCCTTTATTTTTTCTTTTGGAAAAAGACTGTTTGCAGATGTGATTAAGTTGAGGATTTTAAGGTGGGTAGATTATCCTGGCTTATACAGGTGTGCCCTAAATACCATCACATGTCTCTTTATAAGAGGGAGACAGAAGGAGGTTTTACCACACACAGACTGAGAAGCAAAGTGATCACGGGGGCAGATACTGGAACAATGCAACTGAGATCAAGGGAAGCTGGCAGCCCCCAGAAGCTGGAAAAGGCAAGGAACAGATTCTCCTCTAGAGCCTCCAGAGGGAGCACAGCCCTGCCAACACCTTGATATTGGCCCACTGAAACTCGTTTTGGATTTCTGGCCTCTAAAGCTGAGAAATAATAAATGTTTGTTGTTTTAGGCTGCCAAGTTCAGGAAACTAATACAGATGGCTTCACTAGACCTTCAGGACCTGGCCTCTGCCTTCTTTCTATCCCCACTGCCTGATGTTCATGGGTCTTCATCTCTGGTCCACACACCTGTATGTGCTGATCTCCCCACACTCTTCTGGTCTCCACTGATCCTGAGAGGTGTGGCGTGCTAGACCAATTTGCAGATAAGGAAACAGTGTGCAGGCAGGATGATACCCCTTACACAACTGCTAAGCTGGTCTCTTGAGTCTGCACCCTTTCCCTGGCACAATTTCAGGCAGAGACAGTGCTTTCTTGCTCAGTCACCCTGGCTAAGGCTATGTGTTAAGGCAGATTGGGAAATCCCAGCTGCCTCACCTATGACCTTGCCAGGTGCACCAGTTTGATACCTTCGTGGGCACAGTGGAATAAGCGCAGGTTTTGGTGTAGGATGGAGCTGCTCCAGGATCCTGTCTTTGCTGCTTATGTGCCCTGTGACCTTGTGTCAATTACTTAAACATTTTGAACCTCAGTTCTCTTATCTGTAAAATGGGTCTTATAAAAGTGACTATTGATGGTTGTTGATGTCTTTAATTTATATTTATGTAGCACTCACTCTATGTGGAAAAGCCAAAGTCCCCTCCTTTGTCACGGCGCGTTTGCTTAGGTATTGAGAGAGGAAAATAAGACCTGGAGCAGGTATCCTCTCCCCTGGCCCCTCCACATTGTCTGAGGCTCCTTTTTCCCAGGTGGCTATAACTGGCTTCCTTACTCAGCCTAAGGGAAATCTCTGAGAGGACAGTTTTGGGCCAAGAGTTGACAAATGGGCAGAGCGAGGGACTGAGCATGCATTTGGGAGTGGAAGCAGCCTTGATCTTCCACTCATGCCATAACCCAGACTTTCAACAGCTGGGAGGGAGCCATAACTTCGGTAGAAAATAAAGTTTCTAAGTACAACAGGCAAATGGGTATAATGAGTGAGGTCTGGATACCTTTTCCGGACCCACAGTGCATAACCAGGGGCTCTCAAGAGAGGAAACAGACATGATTCTGCTACGCATGCTCACGTGTAAAAGCATTTACACACAAATGCACAGACCTGCCCAGGGAGCTGCCACATACACAGACACACATGGGCCACACAAGTGTCTATGTATACTCACTCATGCTTTGTATTTCTATTGCATTTGTGCTTGTTATTTCAGAGCCATAGTTTGTCTTCCACAACTGGAGGTTTGAAAAGAAGGATGAGGACACTGAATCTCAGAGACGTCAAGTTCTTTCATCGAGGTAACACAGCTTTCATATAGCAGAATTAAGCTTGGAGCCCAAGGTTCCTAAATGTCTCTACTAAATATCTCCACCAAATTAGGCTGCCTTTCTAAACACACCCACACACACACACACACACTCTTTCACCTATTTTATACAACACAGTATCATGGTGGGACTGTCTGAGCATAGACTGCAGTCAAATCCTAGCTCTGCTGCTTTTTCATTATGTGACCTTGAGCTAAGTCACTTCACCTTTCAAAGTCTCAGTTTTCTCATCTGTAAAATGGAGATAATAAGAGAATATATTTCATAGGGTTGTAGTGAGCATTAAAGGTGATAGATAAAGAATGTAAAGTTCATGGTGCCTTGCCTATCACATAGTAAGTGCTCAATAAATATTTGTTATTTCTAGTACATACCAAGCATCTTTCTAGGCACTGGGGATCCCCAGCGAGTCAAGTACCTTGTGTTAGGGTGATTACTGAAAAGTTATTTTTAATGTGACTTAAAAGGAAAGGCAATAAACCATCCAGCAGGTCCTAGTTCTGGAAGCCAGATGAAAGGAAGCTTAGAACAAAGGCTTATGGTGGCGCTAAAATTCCCACCAGGGTCTGCTATCTGGGGACCCTTTTCTATCCACCTCCTCAACCTATAGACCTGTGCATGGTTCAGTTCAAGGTCCTGGGTCTGGGCAGGCCTGGAGAGATGAGCCCTATGGCACACAGGGCAGTTTCCTCATGAGCACTTGGGACAGGGGGGCCAGTCCTTGATCATCTCATCCCAGAGATCTGCACACGCAAGCTGCTACAAGTTTGTAGAGGACAGGAGACAGCAGCGCCCCAGACGCTTCTGCGGTTTGTCTGGGCAGAATGTCTCCCTTGCCTGGGTTGGGCTGGGCTGTCTGCTCCCTGGGGCTGCCTCGGGGTCTGAGAAGCCAGGATCTGCTGTGGGGCAGTCTGTTTCCAGCCTGTCCTGCATGCCAACCTCCAGCCCCAAGCCCCAGTAGGATTATTATTGCTCACAGTGACAATTTGAGCCCCTTTTACACTCATGGCTGAAGAGGGGTTTATGATAGCCCTACCTTATTGTGTTGTCATGAGAATTAAGTGAGGCAATGCATGAAATGCACCAATTTTGGCATATTATAGGCACCCCATAAACGTAGCAGCAGTCACTGTTGTTGTTACCATCACTGTTACTATCCCTGTCACATCATCATCAACATTATCATCATTGGATCCTTAAGGCAGGCTGGCCTGGGATTAGAACCAGTCACTAACCATGTGACGTTAGGCGAGTAACATCTCTGTGCCTCAGTTTCCCGTAATGCAAACTGGTTGCTCTTTTTGAAGCCTTCTCCCTCCAGCCCTGTTCAGGATCTCTTGCTGAATGATTCTAATAGCCAGCCCTGTGGGAAGTGGAAAGTGACCTTACTTTTTTGAACCTCAGCAATAATGGGACAAATATAATAAGTCACTCATAGTGCAATTGATAGAATTAAAAAGGACAATCAATGTAAATTGCCTTGCTCAGTGCCTAGCGCGCAGTAGATGCTCATAAATGTCTGCAGCTTGGTCAAGAGGCCTGCCTTTCATGATCATTCACAGCAAGGAGCCGGGAAGGTAAGTGTTTTGGCCCATGCACTGTGGAAATGGAAACAGAAGCAGAAAGATTTCTTGTTTTCACCTGGTCCAGTCACCACTGGCCTTTGATGACATGTGGGTCCACAAAGCTCAGCTGAACTTCTGGCAGTTTTCCTCAGTGTCTTTTGTGAGCAACTCCTCAAGTTATCTCCTAAATGCTGGTACTTTTCAGAATTTCATTCATTGTCATTTCTTCTTTGCACTAGGGCATTTCTTCCATTTGCAAAACTCACTTACTCCTCTGTCTGGGTCACCCGCAAGTCATCTACTGCCCTGAGTTTCCTGTTGAACTCTGGATCTAAATATCCAGCAAACTACTGAAAATCTGTACTTGGATGTACTGGAGGAAACTTGAATCCAGCGGTCCCAAACCTGACTCATCATTTTCTCAAACCTGCTCTGTCTTCTGCCTTTCATGTCTCAGTGATAGCACTACCATCCACAAAGTTGTCTAATCTGTATATCATCCTACACTCCTTCATCTCTCATATTACATACACTCTGTTTATCCTTCCCTTCATCCTTCTTTTCTTCCCCCTTCCCTCTCTCCGTCCCTTCCCTCCTCCCTCCCTTCCCTCATTCCCTCCTTCCCTCCCTTCCCTTTCCTTCCCTTTGCTTCCCTTCCCTTCCCTTCCCTTCCCTTTCCTTCCCTTCCCTTCCCTTCCCTTCCCTTCCCTTCCCTTCCCTTTCCTTCTTGCCTGCCTTCCTGCCTTCCTGCCTCTCAACAAGTATTTGAGGTATACTGAATGTCTGCTATGTGTCAGTCACTGTTCTAGTAGTTGGGCTAATAGGTCACTAAATCCTCTTAATATTACCCATAAATAACCAAGAATTGTATCAGCCAGTTTCTCGGTTGCAAATGACAGAATACAAAACTAGGAAGAAAAGTAATTTAGCAAAATATGTCAAGTAGCCCCCATAGTTGATGGAGGAGACGGAGAAACTGGCTTGAGGCCAAGCTTCTAAGAACATCCGAAACCACGTAGCAGCTCTAGCTTAATGTTGAGACTTTGATTGCTGTTGCTGAAGCTGCCACTGAATACTAGATGCCAGAAAACTGACTTTATTGCAATGTTACCAGCATTAATGTCACTTCTGGGTTGGCAATTTGGCTTGGCAAACATGCTGCCCTGAAAGCTGGTGACTTGGTTGTTTCCTACACCAGCAAAACTGTGCGTGAGCTCCAAATAGACCAATTCCTCAAATTGACCACTTCCCAACTGGAGTGTCTAGTTGATGAAGGCTGGTTATGTGCTCATGGCATAGCAGCAAATGAGTCTGGAAATCACTTGAGTTCTGATTTCTACATCAGAAAATTTCCAGTGGAACTCATTATGTTCTATTTCCCCCAAATTGCAAAAGGCTGTTAAAAAGATAATGAAAAAAAAGCTGGGCTTTGTGGACCTGTAATCTCAGCTACTTGGGAGGGTGAAGTGGGAGGATCTCCTGTTCAAGAGGGGCCTGGGCAACACAGTGAGGCCCCCATCTCTACAAAAAATTTAAAAAATTTGCTAGAAGTGGTGGTGCAGGTCTGTGGTCCCAGCTACTTGGGGGACTGGTGCAGGGGGATCACTTGAGCCCAGGAGTTTGAGGCTGCAGTGAGCTGTGATCATGCCACTGTACTCAGCCTGGGCAACAGAGCAAGACCCTCTCTCTAAAACAACAAACAAATAAAAACATTAATGGGCAGCCACACATGTAAAATAATAAATATCAGCCATAGAAATCTATCTCCTATCCTCCGTCATCACTGCTGATGCCCCAGGCCCATCTTGAGATCTCTCACCCTGGTCTGTGTCTGGTCCAGTCCTCACTCTGGCTGCTGGAGCATTTTAATCTAAAACACAGTATTTTTTGTTTTTTTTTTTTTGAGACGGAGTCTCACTCTGTCACCCAGGCTGGAGTGTAGTGGCCTGATCTCAGCTCACTGCAAGCTCCGCCTCCTGGGTTCACGCCATTCTCCTGTCTTAGTAGCTGGGACTACAGGCGCCTGCTGCCACGTCCAGCTAATTTTTTTTTAATTTTTATTTTTAGTAGAGATGGGGTTTCACCTTGTTAGCCAGGATGGTCTCGATCTCCTGACCTCGTGATCCGCCTGCCTCGGCCTCCCAAAGTGCTGGGATTACAGGGGTGAGCCACGGTGCCCGGCCTAAAACACAGTTCTAACACTGGCTGCTCAGCATTCTTCTGTGCCACCCCATTGTCTTAGTACTTCAGTCACCCACTGTGGTCTGTCAGCCTTATCCTCTGCCACTACACTTTCTGCCTCCCCCTACTTCCACTCTTCCAGAAGAAATAAAGAGGGGAAAACCATGACAGTCATTGGATGACAGTTTCTCAGTGGCATTTTGAGGATGACATGGTGACTCCTCTCATGGATCCAACATAACTTAGAGTCTTAGAGGAGGGTGGGGAAGATTTTGTTGACTGAGGGCACATACAGAGCCTGCCTGTGGCTGTCTTGGTAACATTTTAAGTAACGACTTTCAGATGTTTCCACTGGACCAGAAATCTCATCACTGGGGCTCACATGTCTGGGTACAGCAACTCTGTGTATGTTCCTATAAATAGTAACCTATTGAGAAGGGCCCCTTATGCCTAAGACTTTGAAAACAGGAGTGTTTCTGTATCTGTCTTCATCTTTTTGCTTCCTTCTCTCTCTGGCCTCTCTCAACTTCTTAATTCCCAAGCTGGGGCCCAGCCCTCACCCCTCCTCCCCTGCCTTAACCTGATGCAATTGCACCTGACAAAGCCAACAGGGCAGTGAGCCATGAGAGAACTGGTGGGGAGAGGGATTAGGGGGAGAGCTCATCACCCAGTGAGCACGGGCCACCAAGCTTAAGTAGAACAGGATGAATAATTGTTTCAGGACCAAAGTCATGACTACAGGGTGTGATCTCACCCTTCATAACAGCAGACTCAGAGAAGCAGGGGAATTTTCAAAGAAAACCTTTCCTGGTGTTAAAAAGAGGGAGAATCTGAGGTTAGAAGCAGCCATGTGCAAACTTTTCATTCTGCTAGGAGTGACTGGTCTCAGATTGACTAGGGGCCAGAGAAGACAGCCACACTGGTCAACCAGGCTCTTCAGATTGGCCTCCAACCCCACCCAGCCCTGCCCAATCCTTGACCCACCCTGACATGTACAGGAAGTGCGTTAGGAACCTTAGCCCCACCCTGGGTGGGGTTCAGAGTTTTCTCTCTTACTTGGAGCCCCAGGCCTGATGTGTGTGTGTGTTTCTTGGATGCTCATGTCCTTCATGGTTTAGCCTATGTGCACACCTTCCCTTCAGTTTCCCTACCCAGCTCTCTTTTGGCTGAGGCCTATGATAGCATTTGTCTGATCCAGCTGGGGTGCTGACATTCTCTCCAGTCCCTGACTGGGCTGTCCTTCAAGTTAAAGATACCCCACTTGCCCATGATATTGACATTCCCAGGGGTGGACTTGAAGTACCACCTCTGCAAATAACAATACAAGCACATTATTAGTAACAATCATTTATGTACTGATAATTACTCAAGTGTACACAGAGAAATTTTCCCATGCTTTGAAAGCCATATATTCGCTGATTAAGACTACCTAAATTCTAATCCTGGATTGCTTATTAGTGGGGAACGTTGGTTACATTATTTCACATTCTTCCATGAGCCTCTGTTTTCTCCTCTGTAAAATGGGCATGATGTTAGTGTGCGTAGATCAGAGGGCTGTTGAGAGGATTGAATAAGATGGTACACATAAAGGGCTTAGCAGAGTTCCTGGGAGATAGTAAATAATAATAATAAAACCAATAGCTTTCATTATTTGTTTTTTTTTAAATTATTTTATTAATAATTAAGGTATAATTATCACATGACAAAATGCACTCATTTTAAATGACCAATACAATAAATTTTGACAAATGGATATACTCATTAACACACTAACTACAATCATAATCAATATATGGAACATTTCCATCTCTCCTAAATGTCTCCTTGTGATACTTCCCAGGGACTCCCTCCCTATTCCCCACCCCTATCTCCCACCACTGGACCCAGGCAACCACTGATTTTTCTTCTATTACTTTAGATTAAACTTAGTCTTTCTAGAACTTATAAATAAAATCATATAGATTTATTCTTTTGTATTCTGGCTCATTTTGCTCAGTAAGGTGTTTTTCAGATTTATACTTGTGATGGCATGTATCAGTACAGTATTTTGCTTCTTTTTATTGCTGAGTATGATGCTATTAATATGGATGATACAAAAACTTGTGTGTCTGTTCACCAGTTGATGGGAATTTGTGTGGTTTCCAGTGTTTGGTTACTATGAATAAATTTGTGCTAAACATTTGCACACAAGTGTTTGTATGGGCATCTGTGTTCATTTCTCATGGGTAAATAGGTACAAGTAAGATTACTAGGTTATATAGTAGACATATGTTTAACATTGTAAGAAACTGCCTGAATTTTTTCCAAAGTGGTTGTACTGTTTTGTATTTCTCACCACAGCGTATGAGAGTTCCAGTTGCTCCACCTACTTGTCAACGCTTTTTGTTGTCAGTCTTTTTAATTTTAGTCATCCTAATTGACATACCATATGATCTCATTTTGCTTTTTACTTCCAATCCCTGATTACTAATGATTTTTTAATGTGAACTTTGACAGTTTGTGTATCTTGAGAAACATTTTGCCTACTTACAAAATTTAGGCTGTTCTTTTTACTATTGAGTTGGAAGAGTTCTTTAAATACTCTGGATATAAGTCTCTTGTCAAGCATATGTGTTGTAAATATTTTTTCCCATATGTAGCCTGTTATGTTAATGGTGCCTTTTAAAGAGAAGACATTTTTGCATTTTGATGAAGACCAATTTATCATTTTTTTACAATGGGTCCTTTTTTCAGGTTCTATATAAGAAATATTTGCCTATCCCAATCTTGTAAAGATCTTCTGTTACTTTTAGAACATTTACAGTCTTAACTCTTAAAGTTAAGTCTGTGATCAATTATTTGAATTAATTATTATCTGTTGCATGAGGTAGAGGACAAGATTCTTCTTTTTTATATTTACTTATTCTTTATGCATATGTATGTTCAGTTATTCCAACACCATTTGTAGAAACAGTTATCCCTGTCCCATTGGATGACTTGGCATATTTGTCTAAAACCAAAGGGACCGTATATGTGTGAGTTTATTTCTGTACTCTCTGTTGTGTTTCATTGATCTGTATGCCTATTCTTTTTTTTTCTTAGCAAGATGGAGTCTTGCTATGTTGCCCAGGCTGGTCGCAAACTCCTGGGCTCAAGTGACGCTTCCACTTCAGCCTCTTGAGTAGCTGGGATTACAGACCTGTGCTACTGCACCCAGCTTTTCTATTCTTATGCCAATACCACTGCCTAGATTCCAGTAGCTTTACTGGAAGTCTTGAAACCAGGTGTTGAAAGTCCTCAAAATGTTCTTCTTTTGCAAAATTGTTTTGGCTCTTCTAGGGCCTTTGTTTTTTTACACACATTTTAGAATCAATTTTTCAATTTACTTTTAAAAGTCTGCTGGAGTTTTGATTGGGATTACCCTAAAATTATAGGTTAGTTAGGAATAAATTTATATTTTAACAATCTTGAGTCTTCCAACCCATGAATACAGTATATACTTTCACTTATTTAAATCTTCTAAAATTTTCTTTTAGCTATGCCTTATAATTTTGATTGTGTAGTTTTTATATATATTTTGTTAAATTTATCCCTAAGTATTTCATGGTTTTAAAATGTATGTATAAATATTTTGTAAATAATATTTTAAATTTCAATTTTTAATGGTCTGTTGCTAGTATTTAGAAATGCAACTGATTTCTGTATTTTGACTTTGTATGCTGTGATCTTGCTAAACTTACTTGCAGTTCTACCTGCATTTTTGCAGATTCCATAGAATGTTCCCTGTTTCTTCATCTATGACATGGGGATAATGTGAGTATACCTACATCAGAGGGCTGCGATGAAGACTAAATAAGGTAACACACCCAAAGAATGTGTGCATATTCCTGGTGCATTTTAAATTATAGTTAACAAAACAAATGGTAGCATCTTTTTTTAAAAATCAACTTTTATTTTAGATATAGAGGATACATGTGTAGATTTGTTATCTGGGGATATTGTGGGATGCTGAGGTTTGGAGTACAAATCTCGTCACCCAGGTAGTGAGCAGAGTATCCAATAAATACTTATAAAAATTCCCCATCCCCCCTGCTCCCTCCACCCTCTAGTAGTCCACAATGTCTATTGTTCTCATATTTATAATATGTCTGTATGTGCTTAATGTTTAGCTTCCACTTATAAGTGAGGACATGTGGTATTTGGTTTTCTGTTCCTGCATTAATTTGCTTAATATTATAGCCTCCAACTTCATGTTGCTGCAAAAAACATGATTTCATTCCTTTTTATGGCTGCCTGGTATTCCTGGAGTATATGTACCATATTTTCTTTATCCAGTTTATCATTGATGGGCATCTGGGTTGATTCCATGTCTTTGCTCAAGTAGTACCATCTTTAATACAGGTGAAATTTATCTATGCTGTAAGAAGTAAGGATGGGGTTATTCTTGGGAGGAAATAGTAACCAGAAGGTATAGTCGGGGTGTAGTGCTGAGAATTCTGTTTCTTGAATTGGGTGCTGCTTCCACAGGTGTGTTCAATTTGTCCAAAACAGTGAGCTATGCACTTATGCATTTTCTGGTATGTTCATTATACTTCAATAAAAAGCAAAAATGGAGACAAGTGACTAGTGTTTCCTGAGCACTTGTCATGTAACTGTCCCTGGCAAGACTCTCTTTTCATTTAACCCTGTGTGCTGGGTGCTACTATCATCCTCATCTCACAGAAGACAACACAGGTTCTAAGAGATGGAGCCACTGTCCAAGTTCAGAGTGAGTGAGTAGTGCCCTTCACCACTATGCTGTATGGCCTTGTGTTAGAGTTGGGTTGGAAAGCATGTAAAATCCTTAGTTCCAGGGTCCTGCCTGGACCCTGGTGGTGGATCCTGCCTCACCCAGGCAGGATGGGCAGTGGGGGCAGGTTTCTGAGTGGAAAGGGCAGTGGGAGAAGGGCACGAGGGGTCCTGGGAAGACCCAACTGAGCCAGCTGGGTTTTCTCTGCTATCACCCCTCCCTATCAGCTTGGTCTCTCAGAACCAGTCCTCTTCCCACACAAACACTGTGTAATTGCTTGATCTGGCCTAGTGCACAGGGTAGGGGTGGACAGACGTTTATTTTTCATTAAAATGTTGGAATGAAATTGTGGGAGGTGGTGCTCAGCAAGGGGAGCTGCCTCAGAAAATGTGCTGACGGGCCCAACCTTATCAGCTGGAAACACCTGTTTCTGGTACCTTCTGCCACCTATCCAAGCCTTGCTTTTTTTTATCTGAAACTACTAATATTGCCAACCTTACCATGGCTCTCGAGATGGTGACATAAGATAATGCAGGGATGGAAGTGAGAGGAAGCAGGAGGTCAGGATTTAAATTCTCCTTCTGTCACTCAACAAGGTGGATTTTGAGCAAGTTTCTTACACCTCCCTGGGCCTCAATTTCCTGATCTGAAAGCTGGGATATATTACTTATCCTGTAGGGCTGTCATGAGAAGCCAACTTCATGCTAGATATTAAAATACCTAGCAGAAGCCTGGTGCACAAGTGCTCAGTAAACCTCAAGATGTTTGTAAACCATGAAATATTGTTCAAGAACTTTGCCCTTCTTCCAATCCCAGGTTGAAACAACACACATTCCTTAGGAGATGCCTCTTGGCTGTTGAGTGGAGTAATCACTTCCAGGAGGCTGTCTGGGGCACCTGCCCCAGACGGATACCTCTACCTATTGTGGAGGCTTGTAAACCTCTACGACGTCTACAAACCTCCAGAAAATGTGACTGAAATTCAGCCAATTGTCTCTTTTTTTGATCACATGGTGACAACCAGCTTCTTTGACTGTATTGGACAGGTGTTTGGGTCTCCCTCCCCAACACCCACCCCATCCCACCCCAATGTCCATTCCCATTCAAGATGGCAACCTTCTTGCTGAGATGAAGCCACCACAGAGCAGGAAACCAGGCAGGGCAAAGAAGGGTCTCGGGTCATGGCTGCAACTTTCCTCTTACTCTTCCTTACGTCATGAAGCCTGGGAGATTCTGAGCTGCTGGGCTTGGGGGTTCAAGGACCATTTGGCCTTGCAGCCCTGGTGAAGCTGAAACTTCACATCCACAATTGAGGTGAGAATGGAGTATCAGGTGGGGGCTGATCCTGAGCTGTGCCCCCAAATTTCTGGTCTCTTCCTTGGTAACACATGTATAGATGGGCTGAACTGGGCTGGGCCCATACTTGGACTTGTCCTGCTCTTCTCATTTTCCCTTAACAGGCCACACTGTCTCTCAACTTCAGGTCTTGGCACATGCAGTTGCCTAGCTTATATGCCTGGAGCATGCCTTGTTTTCCGTTTCCCTTCACGTTGTCTAATGGGATGTCTCAGCATGGACATCATTTCTCCAGTAAGCCTTTCCTGACCCTACTGGTCTAAAGTAGAGTCTCTGTGGCCCCCTCTAATGCCCCATCACAGTACAGAGTATTGTGCATAGACTGTATTGCAAGCCCTGGCTGCTTGTCAGTGTCCCTTTTCCCCTTAGACTATCAACTCCCAGAACACAGGGTCTCTTGTTTATTATTATACTCCCAGTATCTGGTGCATAGTAGGCACTCAACAAATACTTGTTAAATGAAGGAATGTCCATGTGGGCATCCAAATCTTGTTTTCATGTGTCAGGTCAGAGGCACTCAGGTCGGGTATCCTTATGTAGTAGCTGGAGAGACTGCAATTTAGGACTTTAACCACAAAAATGTTAATAGAGAATACTGAGCTCATGTTCTAGAATGAGAAACCTATGTGGACAACTTGAGGACACTAGTACAGAAAAAACTACCCATGATATAGTATGGGGTATACAAGAGCCTGATATAAGCTGCCATTTCACTGTCCCTATGGGTGAAAACCCAAGGCTAGAAACAGCCCAGAGAATGGATTATATTCTGGTTCTTCCTGGAAATACTGCTGACTTCCTTCTGAAGATACCTTGCTCTTCTTGCCTACACATGTCTGGCCTCACATTACTGTTTGTTTGCAGAAAATCTCCAGCTTCTGCTATGTTTTGACCAAAGTTTACTTTATGGAACATCAATGGCATTCCCCAGTATTCATAAGGAGATATGCTTCTAATTTATTCTGGGAAATAGTTGCCCTGGCTTTCTGTTCGAGGGACCACCCCTATCTCCCTACCCAGTGTGCCCAGAGCTACATTTACAACTCATAAACTTAACCTGGGCTTCTAAACTCCCTGTGGTCCATCCATTATTCAAGTTGTTGGGAGGGATTAATGAAGGGGATTATTCTTAGCCTGCCACCTCTCTGGTAGGAAAAGTAACTTCTCGAGGATGGTTTGAGTTAAAAATGGATTCCTCCACCAGGTGGAAACATGGCCACTGTGTCAATTCATGGTAACTCTGTTGATGCTCCCCCTCTTTCACACTCATAAGGAGGTTCATCTTGTACTATTCACAGCTACTCCAGCCTTCCTCTTCCTCCTGACTGTGGCAAGTAGTCTGATTGGCTCATAGGCATTCATTCCAACATGTTGACAAATCCTGAACTATGTGCTGGGGATAACAAGGTGATTATGACACCAGTTACTGTTTTTGAGGAATTCAAAGTCTGGATGCAAAAAATTTAAATAAATAAGAATACATGGGAGTTGCTTTCAGTGGATAACAAGGAAAACGGTATTCCAGGAAACATGTGCAAAGGCACTGGGGCCTAAAAATACCTCTTGTGCTCAGGGAACTGGAAGACACCCAAAGTGACAGAACTTGAGGGAACCAAAAAGAAGCAATGGCTGGAAAAGCTGTAGGCTCAGGCTGTGGCTAGGATGTCTACTAAGTTGCATGTAGGTGGAGGAGAGCACTGGGTTCTCCCGAGCAGAGAGTGATATTGTCAAAAGGGGGTTTCAGAAAGACCCATCTGGATCCATCCATCTAAAGGGGAAGTCCTGAACCAAGGTCAGACCAGAAGCCGATGCCTAGAAGAGAGCTGTGAAAATGCAAACCCATGGACAGCTATTTTTGGGAAGGAAAATTCTGACACAGGCTAGTTTTGAAGACAATCACTTTTTCAAGACAAGTTTGGATTCCCTCGTTGGGTCCCCTTGGTATGATAATTAAATGACCCCAAAGCCCCTGCCCAGGACAAATTCAGATCCCAGTGGCCTCAGAGAGGGAGGGATATGTGACAACCACAGTCCATTAAGCCCTATGAAGGGTGATAACTTCTACCTTTTCTTCAGTCTCCCATGCCTTACCAGGATTGAGTCTTATCCCAGGAGCTTCTGAATGAGCTGGAGGAATTGCAGACTCATTAGTTTCTGAAGTGTGCCCATGGTGCCTGGTTGCATTGGCAGAAACTTTAGAAATGTGCTGCCCATTAGGACATTTTAACCAACATGACATAATTTAGTCACACTGATCTGGTCAACTGGTTTCACTGCTGACCTTGGACAAAATCCTTTCATTCTCTGGGTATCAGTTTCTCTGCCTGAAAATGGGGAAGAGAAAAATAAATTGAAGATCTTTCTACCCTTAATTGCTTACAGGTCTAAACTCTAGGTTCCTGGACTCATGTCCTTCAGGGCTGGTGGCTGTGACTGATTGGCTCTCATGACCAGTCCTTTGGCAATATCCTACTGTGAGCATGTGTCATGTTCTTGAAGTCAACTTTCTACAAACTTACTGGCAGTGTTCATTCTTGTTGACTCAAGAGGGCACCCATGTTAGGCTCTAGAGAAATTTTGTACGAGGACTTTGTACATGTGGTGAGGATGCAGGTTGTGTTTTTACTTGTCATTGGAAAAGAAAAGAGGGAATATGGGTGTGTGTGGATAGTGGATTGTGAAAACTTGGCCAAGGAATTGGGCGTGGTTTCCAATACTTGGAAGATGGACTTTCCTCCTAGGGTCTTCTGTATTTCAATTCTTGAGTTTTATACCATAACCATTTCTTAAATTGTAGTGTTTCTTAGGTTTTCCTCTTAGCTCTCTTCTCATTCCAGAATCCTCTCTGGGTTCCATGACTTTCTCGAGGCCAAACTTCACTCCCAACTTTTGAATCTGTTCCTTGTCTTCTGGGAGCCTCCTGTTCTATGTCCTGCAGCTCCTTTAACTCAGCAAGTTCCAGCCTGAATTGATCCCCTTTCCTGCCAAACTTGCTCCTTCTGTGTTCCCTGTTTCAGGAATGACACTGCTCTCCACCCAGGCACCATGGGTAGAAGCTGGGAGTCATCCTGGACTCCTCCCCAATCCTCATTCCTACATTCATCAATCACAACATCCTGTCTGTTTGGCCCCTGAAACATGTTAGAGTCTACTGTGTTCTCTCCAGCCCAACAGCTCCTTTCCCAAGTTCAGTTGGTATCGAGTTCAGAGACAATCCTCATCATCTCCTGGTTAATTAAAATAACCTCTTTCTATTTGGTTTCTCTGTCTTCCAGTTTGACTTTCCCATTGCTGCCACAGTGTTTTTCCTGAAACCCCAATTCCAGCCATGTCTATCTTTTACTTAAGATATTCCATGAAGTCTTCATGACTTACAGATAGAGCTCAAATTCTCTTGCTTGACATATGAAGCTAATGAACTCTGGGTTTGCTCTTGTGCCCAACTTTCTATCATGACATTCCATAAATGCATGTTATTTCAGCCACAAGGGAGCAACCGATGTTTCCTGGATGCACCTTCTCCTTTCAAAGCTCCATGCCTTTCCACACATAGTTCCTGCTGCTTGGGTTGCCCATCCTTCCAGCCCTTTTTTTACTTGACCCTGCTGATCTATGACCCCTGTTGACCTCTCAAACCTCACTCCTTACCACTATTCCCCTACTTTTGTGCAACTTTCACTGCTGACACCCAAGGCAGTCACCTTACCCCACTGAATGGGCTCCTTAATACATGTCAGGATGGCTGCCAGAGGTGGCCATGACTATCTACTCCAAGGGCTTTTGAGATGGGCCAATGAATCCTTCTCACCAATGCCCTATTTTGCAATGCCCTATTACACATCTGATGTGTAATGTGGCCTTCTGGGTTGATCGTAAGCCATGTGGCAAGGGGTAGATATTTCTTGTGTAAATAAAGCCACTCTTCTTACTTCTTCCATAAGCCCCCACCTGTGCTCCCACTGATGCCTGTGAATGAAAGACAGTAATGTGGTCAACACTGAAAGAGATCACATTCTAAAAATGCAGTGATTGTAGACCAGAGAGTTCCAGACATGGTTGGAAGATACATTTTTTCTATGTGTAAAATTCTGAGTGGCAAATTTGACATAAGTGAAAAATGAATTATCATTCACATTTTCCTACATATTCTGAGTAAGACTTGCATTTGTAGTCTTAATCAATGAAGCTTAGTAACAACTTCTTGAGTCACTGGAAGCCAGTATTCATAGGTGGCACAGCAGATGATGCAGCATTGTGAGTAATGATGTAACTGGCATTAAAAAATGCTACTAGGGAACTGCATAGGCATGGAAATATATATTGTTCCCGAACAAACAGGTTCTGAAGTGCCATGGCATCATGAGTAAATATAGCATTGATACTTTTTTCTCATAGTGGGGCATATAAAACTAGCCAGAATCAGTATATGTGAAAATAAAGTACACAAAGAGATGTTATTAGGATTCTCCAGAGAAACAGAACAAATATACAAGACATATATATTCATATATATGTCACACACACAGGTATTTTATGTTGGGTTATCTCAAAGAACCCTCTAAATTTGGTAGCTTTCTGTCCATCTGCTTTTAAGGGATGTGAAAACAGGAGTTTCGACAAACGGGTAAAACTGTATGTTTACTAAAGGGAAAAAACCCAAGAAAACCTCAATAAAAGCATGCCCACAAGGTACTGCCGCAAAGATATCCAGTTGTGAAGCTCTGTAAGAGTGAGCAGGAATTATTACCTTAATTTTAGAGATAAGGCTCACACTGCTAGTAAGAGATATAGGTAGGATTCAAGTACTCTAAATCTGATCTCAACATCCATGTTCCTTCCATTGTATAGTCCAGAGATGAGTGAACTAGAAAGCAATGTGACTCCATAGCATCATCTCTGATGGGTGTGGGTGTTACAGACACAAATATTAAGAAAGCGAATACAGCAAAACCCCAGGAGAAATGACCCATGTTTATAAGAATCATGTCAGAAAGCCTAGGCTCAAGAAGAGTGAAGGCTTTTGAAAAACCACTAAAAATAAAAATAAGGATTTTTATTGCACTGTTTGGAGATACATCGTGGGAACAGGAGAGTCCACAGCATGGGCATGACGGTGTAATGTTGAGAGTAATCAGAGAGATCACCAAGCTGCTCAATTCATCAAGGCAAATGGCCTTTAATCTGGAAAGATTGAAACTCAAGATAAGAGATAGGAGAGATGCAAACACCTCACTGCTCTTAATTAATTCAGCTCTTCAGTTCTATATGAATTATAGCCCAGGGTTCTGAAAAGACTTGCACAATTCTTTGTGGAATCCCTGTCAGCCTTATTTGAAAAATGGGGAGGGAGAGGGATGCCAGAAGACTAGGGATGGGCATGTCTTATCTTGATCTTTAAAACCTGGATTCTAGAAATTGTGGGTTCAGGCCAGTTTCTGGCAAAGAACTAGAAATGATTACTTAAGTGGTATATGGGTTATGTGTATTTAGAAAGAGAAGTAGGGATCAGTAGGAATAAGAGCCATGATAGATTCACCAAGAACTAGTAATTCCAAAATGTCCTTATTTCTCTTTTAAAAAATAAGCTTCCTAGGCTGGTGCTGTAGATATTTGCTATTATCATAATTATGTCTCCACCATTTGGACTTATATAGGGGAACTTGCCCCTTAATGGATCTTGGTGAGATGTGGAGCCCATCTTTTACCATAAAACAGAAAATGTCACGTGCTCCATTTCCCAGCCTCTCTGGCAGGACTCTGGCAGGTGTTCAAGGTTTCAGAGCATCTGCCAGAGTTCTCTGGCCAGAGAGGCTGGGAAATGGAACATGTAGAATTTTCAGTCCTCTTCTGACGTACCTCTCCCTCCAAGTTTTTCAAATAAGACTGACAGGGAAACCACAAAGACATAACATAGAGGCAGCCACCTATGACTTCAAGTTGGGTTTAAGAAATGCCAAAGAGCAGTGACTGTAGGTGAAGAATCAAACCTATCAATTGAATTTCTAGGGGTGATGGTAGTAGCAACACTCAAGGCAGAATCCTCTGTCTATGCCAGTGGGTTTTGAGGGACACTAGCAACAATTTCTGCCCAGATGGGTTCTACCATATAACTTGGGGGGCTGTTCTTGGCTGCCTGATCTCTCACTGGTTCTCCATCCCTCCAGAGGCTTTGCAAGGTTCAAAATAACCTTTTATCAAATGCCTTCTATGCCTAAACTAGCCAGTCATTTTCTGTTGCTTGCAACAAATCTCCCTGAAAGGATGGTCATATCTGGTAAGTCTGGGTAATGCCAGACAGAGTATCTTGACTGTAGCAAGATTTGTCAAAGATCCTCATGTTAAAATTAAGAACAAGATGAAGAATAGTGGGCTGCAAACTATTGTAGCGAGGTGAATAGGACGTTTATGTCTCCAAATGTTGAGTAATTTTTCCAGGCTGGTCTCTAAGGACCTCTCTAGTGACTGCTATGGCAGGCAGAAAGATTCTCCAAAGACGTCTTTGTCCTAATCCTCAGAAATGTGAATGTGTTATGTAAGGTTACACAAGAAGGGGAATTAGGTTGCCGATGGAATTAATGTGTTAACCAGCTGTCCTTAAAATAGGGAACTTATTCTGGATTATCTGGGTGGGACCAATATAATTACATGGGTCCTTATAAGTAGGAGAAGGAGGTGGAAGAGAGAGTTGGCGAGGGGGGTCTGAGACATGCCGTATTACTGGTTTTGAAGATGGAGGAACGGGGCTGTGAGCCAAGGAATGTGGGTAGCTTCTAGGACTTGAATAAAACAAGAAAAGAGATCTCCCCTAGAGCCTCCAGAAGGAACACAGCCCTGCTGACACCTGGATTTTAGCCTAGTGAGATCTTCATTGAGCATCTGATCTACAAAACTGTAAGATAATAATTTGTGTATTTTTAAGCCATTAAGTTTGTGACAGAAGCAATAGGAAAGTAATACATATTCCTGTGTTTCTGCAATTGCCTTTTCCTGGTATGACATTTTATTTATTTATTTATATCTCATTTATTTTCAAACTATACTGGGAAGAGTCCTAAGGTTCCATAGGGGTGTCTCACCCCTTCATGGCACAGGGGTGCCATGAAGAAGAGGAAATAGGGACAGGAAAGGCAGAGGCAATGGGACCCTGGGATGCCCGCCCATGCTGCCATCAGAGCCATACTGCATCTATTTTGAATATTGGGATTCTAGGAAAAAATGTTCGAAAGCCATCACTGACATCATAGAGAAAAGTTTCACTTTAAATAATAAAAAATAACATTTATTGATCACTTATATGTGCCAGATGCTGTGCTTAGCAGCTTATATAATATCTTATTTAGTCCCCATAATAGCTAAAGGAGGTAGGTATCATCTTTACAGATGGGGAATCTGAGGTTTAAAGAAATTAGGTAACTCAACCAAGTTTCCACAGCTTGCAAATGGCAGAGATGATATTTTAACTTAGACTATCTGTAACTGTCTCTAGAGTCTGCACCCTTGGGCAAGTGGGTGAAACTTCTGACTGGAAAACAACTGAGAGGAGTACCACATTGGTATAATCCAGAAACCAAACATATTTTTTATGGTGGAAGATATTTATGTGGGAAAGAGGCAAAAGCCTGCATTTGGATTCCAGAACACAATTACATCACAGTGTGGATATTTCAAGAAAATTGATCAGGTTATTTGCTCATTTATTGCAGAGAAGTGTTTCCACTGGGTGGAAGAATAACACCTTCTGAGTGTGTTACAAATCTGAGAGTCTAGGATCCTGTGATAAGAAAGTTCTTTACACAGCAGAATGGGCTGTCTCACTACATCGTGAGTGCCTCGTCACTGGTGGCGATCAGGAAAAGAGCTAGTGTGCATGGGGACAGGTTGATTTAGGGTCGTTTTTAGATGTAAGATTCTACCATCTAAAGGTTGCTGAGCATAAGGCCAAATGTCTCAAAGCCCTAGTGTTTGACTTTAAGCAACATCATCTTCCCTAGACTCACCTGGCAGAAGAAATCCTAGTCTGATAGATTCAGCTTCAGGGTGGGACCCTCAATCCATGGGGCTTGGGTTTTATCCTAGAAGAAATGGGAATACACAGCAGGTGTTTAAGCAATAACCTGATATTAACATATTTGCATTTTTGAGAGGTAAGTATATCAGGGACAAGAAATTTGATTGAGAAAAGCAGCTGTTACAAAGGCCCAAGTGAGAGAGACATTTCTAGGCCAGAGCAGATGGAGCCAGAAGTCTTGGGCTGAGATGGGGAAGGGGAGGGTGGAGTCCAGGACAACACCCAGGTGAGGGCTGGGCTGGGCGGAGCTGTCCAGAACAGGCGGTGCTTGTGCCCGCAGGCTGCAGGAACACTAGGGCACAAGACCGTCCACAGGGAAGCTTGTCTGGGGAGGAGCACTGTGGGAAGTGGGTCATAGTCTTGGATGGCTCCACAGATGGATTAGTCGGAAGTGGATCAGGAGCTGGAGGTCGGGCGTCAAGACAGATGGAGCCCTGTAGTCCCTACCCCACCTGTGATTTAGGAAACAGGTGAGGACAAATGAGAGTCTGGCTATACAGACCTCTGGGTGGACTGGAGGCCGCAGAGAGGGAGATGTCATTGCATGGCTGTGAATCCCATTGACCAAGAAGCCCAGCATCACTACCCTCCCATTCCCCATCCACTTGGTGATCCCATATTTACCAGACATGAAGGAAAAACACAATTCTGGGAGACTTCGCCAGCTGCCACTTCCCCCTGGACTTCAGACTAAACTAGTTCATTCTCTTTAGAAATTCAACCACATCTACCTATTACTCTAGGAAAATCATGTTTCCCCCTAGTTAGTGTTTTGATATGTTAGTCTCTTTTAATTCTACTTATTAACACTCTGCCTCTCCTTTCCTGTACATGAAACTGAGGCTTAGTTTCATTATCTATAAAATGGAGATAATAGTAGTGACTGTTATTATATAGATAGGTAATGCATATTCAATTCTTAGCACATAGTACATATCCAGTGCAAGTTAGTTGTTGTCAGGAAGGAGATGCTAAACCAAATGAGGAGGAATCTGGCTACTCTCATGGGATCAGATGAGTCTGATACAGGGTTTTTTGGAGAGGAGAGTAGAGAGAAGAAAGAGGCATAAAAATGGAAGCGAGGCCAGGAACACAGGGTAGCAGAGTCAAGAGGGTTAGGATGACTGTTTGGGGGATGCCAAGGCCAGAAGGCAGGGAGTAGCACAATACCACATTACTCAGATGCACCTGCTCATGATTTTATTCAGCTGCTGAGTCTGACTCTCAGGTAACTCAAGTGTGCTGGTCTTAGGACAGAGCCATCTACGTGTGTATATCTATGTGCACTGTAGCCACCTGTAGAGTCTGGAAAACCTAGTTCTAATTTTAGTTTTTGGCATTTACATACTGTGTGATTTTTCCCAATCTACTTCTCCTCTCTCCATGTAAATGTCTTCAGCTGTAAAATGAAGGAGCTGGGTCACATTGTCTCAATGATCGCTCCCACCTCTGACGTAGAATGCTGAGCCAATTCCATCTGGTCCAGTATTCTCCCTGACAAAAAATGTCAACCTGAATGATAGTTTTATATGACCTTTATTGAGGGTCTACAATTTGCCAGGTCATGGGCTAGGCACTTTTACATCCATAAACACATTTGGTCTTCAGAACACATCTACCATCATGGGTTCTGAGTGCCATGTTGACAGTACCAATAGTATATTATCATCTCTATTTCTTTTATGTCTTATTACATTGGTTGAATGCTATCATTTTCCTTATGCTCTTTAGTACTTTCAACACCAATTTTCATTCTCTTTCTGAGCCCTAAATTGCTTTGGGAAACTGTCTCCCTGATTCTCCTGTCCTCCTCCAATTCTTTCCTTTATATTCCCAGGGAGACAGATCTTGTATGGCATAGATACATTTCTAGTCATTGTCAGGCTATTGACTGTGCCATAATTCCAAATACCTTGAATCAGGGTCCTCCTAGTACATAGAAAATTGTGGTTGAGGATAAGCCTTAGGCTATGGAGCTGGTGAGGGCTGGACAGGGCCAGAGACCATCCAAGCAGACTGGGTTCCAGTGGGCAATAATAATAATAGCTAACATTAATTGAACTTGTTATTTTTCTGGCATTAGGTTAACCAGTGGTTCTCAAGCAGGGCTGATGTCAGGAGATTTTGAGAAATATCTGGAGACACTGAGTTGTCACAACTGAGCAGGAGGTGGGCTGCTGGCCTATAGAAGATAGGGGCCAGAGATCCTGCTAAGTGTCCTACAAAGCACAGGATACTCCATACAACCAAAAATTATCTGGACTGAAATGTCAATAGTTTTGAAGTTGAGAAACTTTGGGTAAAACTCTCTTTGTGTGATTATTTCATTTAATCATCAAACTAAGCCTGTGAAGCAGGTACTACAATTATTATTACCATCCCTATTTTACAGATGGGGAAACTGAGGATTAGATGCATAAAGCGATTTGTCCAAATTCACCAAACTAGAAGATGACAGAGTTAGGCTATGGTCCCAAGTTTGGCTGACTCCATGTGCACACCATTACTTTGCTGGAGACTAAAAGGTCAGGTCAACTGAGCATGTAGGTCAGGACAAAGAGTATGGTCTGGGGATTGATTCTTAGAGGTATCTCAGGAGTCCAGGGCTCCCTTTAGCCCAGTAACTACCCAGCCTTGCTGCCTGTGCAAGAGAACAAGCAATGTTCTCTGAGCCCTTACCTGTTGGGGGCAGAGTCTCCCAAGGGTCCTTGGGTTGATCTGGGAGCTGACCTGACCTTGATTGTTCTTAGCTGAGCTGAGCTGAGCTGAGCTGGAGAAGGCAGGGCCACCATCCCAGTGTCTTAAGCCTCCCAGTCCTATAACTCTGACCTCTGCAGCTTTGGAATCAAGCGCAGGGAGGAGCCTGACTGACAGCTGGAGACACATGCTCTCAGTCAAGTGAGCAATGCGGCAACTGGCCAGGAGGCAGATCTCCTCCTCCAATTTTATCTGCAAACGTACTCAGAATATCAGCACAATGGGGAATCCACAAATGCATGCATGATAGTAGGACCCTGATAATGAGTGAAAGAATAAATAAAATGGGTGAATACATACATTTTCTATGAGGTCAAGCCTTGAAATACAGTGAATGAGCTGGGCATGGGTGGAAGAGGGGAAGGCAGGGCTGGGCCAGTGAAGTGATACATTCCTGGGTGGGATGGTGCCAAGTCCTCAGGATGGGCCAGCAGAGCAGCAGCTGGATCTGCATCTTATAGAACACAAGCCATGGGGGACTGCAGGGAGGTTGTGTTCTGAGCACTTTGTAGGCTTTACTAATTTCTGGACTTCATTGTTGAGATCTGTTGGCAACCAGGCTTTAAACTTAGTAACCTCCAGCCCCAGAGGAAGCAGAGCCTAGAGCCATCTGCCCCAGGACCTCCCCTGGGTTAAGGTTGAGGCCTCAGTTGGACTCACCAATTTGACTTATTATTATTAAGGTGGGAATAATTCTCAATATTCTGATTTCCCCTTCTAGGTCCTTTCAAAGACTATATTTATACAGAAAAAGTGGCTTCATGAAATCCAGGGAAACCGGCTCGAGTCACAGCACTCTGGGATCTTTGTTGTTTTGTTTCCTCTATGGAGAAAGGAGAGGAGGGGACGAAGGGAGAAAAGAAACTGAAATTCACTAAAGGTTTATTTTGGGCTGAGAACTTGTCATGATTACATAAGGGAGGTGGTGAAGTGCTGTGCCTCAAAGCGTGTTGTCAGGCAGACCCGGGTTGCCAGCGACTTGGGTAGGTGTCTTCATCTCCCTAAACCTTAGTTTATTCATTGGTAACGTGGGGATATTTGTATCTACTTTCTAGAGTTGTGATGAAGAGTTGATGAGCTAATGCACAAGATGTGCTTAGCCCAATGGCTGGTACAAAATAGGTGATCATTAAGTATTAGCCAGCGATTATGATTTTGAATCAGATACTCTTAAGCCCCTTGGGAAGTGGGACTCACTGTCTCCACTTTACATATGAGGAAGTCGAGGCTCGGAGGGGTTATTGCGATGCAGCTTTGCTCTCAGTTCCTCTGGCACGTCGTGGCTGACCTCCAAGGCCAGGTCAGGTGCCCCTTCTCTGTGCTGCCCTGGCCCCTGCACTTCCATCTCAGCTTTGTTTACACCACAGTGTGAGCCTGTTCAAAGTTACAGCCCCCACCACTCTGTAGTCCATGGGCACAGGCTCTGGGCCTAGAGGCCCGTTCTCTGTTGCATTCTCAGCACCTAGCAGGGTGCCTGGTATGTGGTGAAAACTGCCACTATATCAGCTGGCTGATAGGTAATTCAGGACCATTTGCTTTAGTGGTCTGAATGATTTGCTTCTTTCTCATAGCAATAGTGTGTGTGTGTGTGTGTGTGTGTGTGTGTGTGTGTGTGTTCATAGGAATGATGATTAAAGTGAGTGTCTGGGAACATCCCTTAGATCTTACCAGGTCTCTTCTCTTTGGCATATTGACAATGGCAAACCCCGTTTGTTTTACCTATCCTTGCTTCCCACCTCTCTCCGCCAATTTCTAAGGAATCCAGGATGCAACATAAAATTCCCAAAGAGAGACAGTAAATGTGTCATCCATCTAGAAGGGATTGGGAGTCAGTTACACGCTATGTTCGTGCAGAAATATGTAAATTACAGTGGGTTCTTGCAAGTTACATGGAAACAAGGGCAGATTCAGCATGGGGTTCTTAATCTTTCAACGACTCAGTTTATTTCTTCCACTTTTCACTCCTAGCTTATCTACCCCTCCCATCTCTCATGAGGATTGCTAAATATGGGACTTTGGCCAGCTGCTGGAGGGTGAGCTGAACTCCACAGAATAGCTGTTCCTAGTTCCTTGATTCATTCATGCATTCACTCGTTCATTGTTTTCAGCATCTATCCTGTGCCAGGTACTGTGCTAAGCATTGGGCATACAAAGCAGCACAAAGGGAGACAAGTCTCTGCCCTCTGGAGTTTATAGTCATATAGTTATGCCAAGAATCCATAATTATAAACAGATATAAGTGTTTTAAAGGAAAAACTATCATTCTTTGGAGACTTGTCCTAGACCGGATGGCCAGGGAAGACTTTCCCATGGAAGTAAAACTGAGCAGGGATCTGAAGAATGGACAAGAAGGTGGCTCATGGTTGGTAGTGGGAGATGGTTTCATACAAAGTAACCAGTATGTGCAAAGTCTTTGTAAAGAGAGTTGGAACTAAAAAAGAGAATTAGAACTAAAAGGAGGCCCTTAGGGTGAGGACATGGAAGTTGGAGGACCACAGAGTGTGAGCCAGGCTGAACAGATGGGCAGTGGTAGACTATATGGGGCTTTACAGGCTAAGGTGAGGGTTTACCCTCTATTCTAAGAAAAATGGAAGGCATAGCAGGCACTTAAGAAGCTGTAGGACATGCTTATTATTAGTTTTTAAAATATTGTTCTGGCTGCTGCGGGGAGAATGAAGGATGTCTGAGTAGATGTGGGGAGACCAGCAATGAGACAAATGTGATTGTCTAGGGGGCAGACAATAATGACTGTTTGGACACAGTGGGAGTATGGAGATGGGAACCAGAACATGGGCTTAGAGGGGAGGATGAGGAGGATGTGGGACTTGAGGCAAAGGGAATTGTCCACGGAGACTTCTAGGTTTCTGGTTTGGTAACTGGAAGATGTTGGCTACTCAGAGACATCAGTGACACTGACAAAGGGAGAAGTTGGGTGGGTGTAGGGAGGAAGATAATGAACCTGCCTTGTACCCAGATAATGAACCTGCCTTGTACCCAGTGAGTCTCAGACCCTGTGGGACATGCAAGTGTAGCTGCTGGTGGGCATTAGATATATGTGTGCATCTCTCCCATGCTGGGGTCTTTAGAGAGCCAATTCCAGAACTCATTTAAGCTGCTTTATTTCTTTGTTGTCAAGTTTTGATCAGGCCATAGTTAAGGCACCTGAGTTCCATTTCTTTCATAGTAAAGTTTTTGAGTGAGAAAATTTGGTCCTACCAATAAGAGGGGAACCTGGCTCTACTTATCACCGTGGTTAAAGAGATATAATGAAAAGCCAGCTTGAAAGGGCTTCACCTGAGCCCTAAGACAACATATTCTCTCGAGAGGCCTCTGAGCCTGGAGCTGGGAGGGGTTTCTCTCACCTGTGTAGAGGTGGTAGGCGGGTTCTATTGAGTTAGAGGTGGCATTTATCTTTATTCTGATTAAGTACTTACCTATCTTTCTTTCATAATTGTTAGTAGTGTCGTTCATTTGTTTATTGATTCCTTTAGCCAACTTTTATTGAGTATACTGTTTTGGATGTTGAAGATGTACAGAGAGTAAGCTTGGGTCTCAGGTCTCATGGAGATTGCACTCCAGTTGGGGAGGTAGGCAATAGTCAAGGAAACAAACTTGCAAACAGTGTTAGTTTTCAATGACATTGGGGAAGGGCTCTCTGAGGGGTCACATTTGAGGGGGACCTGGTGGAGCCAGACAGTTATGCAAAAGTCCAGATGGTGATTGGGGGCAGCTGTGGGATCAGCCACGTGTGGGTCCTGTGAATGCATTTTTGAGGAATAGAAAGAAGTCCAGGGTGTTGGTTCAGCAAGTGACGGGGAGAGTGATAGATGAGACTGTGGAGGCCACAGGGGCAGATTGTGTAGGACTTTGTAGGCTATGGAAGAGTTTGCTCTCAGTGCATTGGGGAAGTACTGCAGGTTTTAGAGCATGAAGGTGATCTGCCCTGATTTGTTACCTAAAAGGATCACTCTAGTTACCATGTGTAGAACGGATTGTTGAAAGGTGAAGAGTAGAAGTGAGGAGTCCAGTGAGAAGGATGTTGCAGTTGCCCACTGGAGAGGTACTGAGGGCTGGTTCCAGATGATAGTGGCGGTCAGTGGCTCTCAAGTTTTCATCTATGGGCTCAGATGAATAACAAATGTCTTACGCCCAGAAGGACTCTATAATTCTGTCATCAATTGCTTGCCCTAGTACCACTGTAACTATTTTCCAGAACTAACAAGGGTGAGTAGGGAGTTGTCCCTTGGTATCCATGGGGGAATGGTTCCAGGATCCCTTTCAGATGTCAAATCTGAGGATGCTCAAATTTCTTACATAAAATGGTGTAGCTATTTGCATATAAGCTGCCCGCATCCTCCTGTATACTATAAATCATCTCTAGATTACTTATAATACTTAATACAATGTTAAGTACAAAATAGTTGTTACACTATGTTGTTTTTCTATTTGTGTCATTTTTATTGATGTCTTGTTATTTTTAATTAATTAATTTTCAAATATTTTTGGTCAGAGGTTCGTTGAATCTGTGGATATGGGACTCTTGGATACAGAAGGCTGACTATAAATAACTTTTTCCATTAAGCAATCTGTATGCTTGATTTATCTTTTAGCATCATCGTTGTTGTTTTCACCAACAAAGTCATTGAACAATAAATGGTTTGTGTTATCTTTGGGGATATCCAATAACAGAGATAGAAAGATGTACAAGTAGATAGTCCTCTAGGCATGCAGGTGAGTTTGCAGTCTAGCTTTAACTGATAACAGATATCTAGGTCTTGGGAAACATTCCTGTAAGTTTGAGTTGCATTTTCAAATGCATGAAAAGCCATGATTTGTTTAAGAAAAGCTAAATAGTTCACTCTGCCCAGAACATAGTTTAGGTGCCACAGTAGTGATTTGGCGGTGGTGATGAAGGTGGAATATCTGGAGTAGAAAGTAGAAAGGCTTTGATAGGTAGAATTTGGCAGCAGTAAAGAGCTAATCAAGTCTTCAGTAAAGAGAGTGACATGTTCAAATGCATGCTTTAGAAGGATCATCCTGGCTGTGGGGAGGAGAATGGATTAGAGAGGGTGAGGCTGGAGGTGGGGAGCATGAATAGGAATAATCCCAGGGAATTATGTGATGAATGTTTAGATGGTGGAGATGGCAGGGCCTGGTTGGGTGTAGAGGGAGCAGGAATGAGGCAGAGACCGGTTGGGAGAATTCCAAGGTTTCTGGCTTGAGTGACTAGAGAGATGGCAATGATATAGCAATAGATTGTTATAGCTACTGAAGTACCTTGTTTCTATGTTTTATAAAATAAAAAGGAAGATACTGTCAATTGCAAAAATTATTGGAGTTCTCCCCCTCACCTCCTATATCTTCGCCCCTCTGAAATATATCTCTGCAGCTCCTGCCATCAAAAGTTGGAGTCTGTTTCCCCACGCCTTGAATCTGGGCTGGCTCTATGATCCACTTTGGACAACAGAATTTGGTGGAAGTGATGCTATGCCAATGCTGAGGTGAGGCCTCAAGAGGCCTTGTGGGCTGTGACTCTTTTGGAACGCTGCCTAGCTGTCACGTGAACAAGGCTACTGCATGATGAGAGACCATATGGAGCCAAAACATGCCTTTCCAGCTGAGGCCCTCCTAGTCCAGCCAGCCCTAGATGCACAAGCTGGTGACCAAAGATACATGAGTGAGTCCAGATGAGAAGTCCCTCGTTGAGCCCAGCCCAATTGCTGATCCACTGACTTGTGAGGTACATAAATGACTGTTGTTTTAAGCCATTATGCTTTTGGGTGCCCTGTTAGCAAAAGTGAAGTGATGCCGGTATTTATGAAATAGATGTAAAGCTTTACTGAACTCTCCAGTGTGAATGGAGGACTAAATTAGAATAAGAAAGCCTCTTGCTTAACCCTCTCATAAAATTCTCAGGATATTTTGTTTAGTGAATCAGTCAGTGTGCATTTTTCCAGAAAATGCATTATACCCCTTTGACGACCTTAGTTCTTATCCCTGTCATGATGGGGTTTTGCTAGCTTTGGGTGACATAGGGTGATCCACACTCCTGGTTTGTCTGGAACTCTCCTGAAAGTCCCACATCCTGGGAAACTCTTCAGTCCCAGGTGAGCCTGGACAGTTGATTACTCTACATCTGCACTTCACTTTGTTGTTTGCAAGTCAGATGTGCCCACATTCACCTATGGGCTTCTGATGACAAGGCAGGCTTTAATCTGGCCTGTTTTACAGATGGTAAACCTGAGATCCAGCAGGTTCAAGGTGCCCACCCAGGATCACTGAGCTAGACGGCAGAGAAGAGAGGAGTTGAACCCAGGTCAGCCTAATGCTGTTCCTCCCCACCTGCTGCTTCCAGGGTGGTTACACCAACTCTTTATTACTGGGCTGTGAAGTGAGGGGCTGCATCTCAGGTCCATTCCCCAGCAGCACAAATGCTTTTCCATTTTGATGATTTACAAACACCAGTGAGGTCTGACACCAAGAGAGAAGAGACTCTGGCTTATTCTGTAGCTCACACTTTGTAGAGATGACTTGGGCCACTGGCAGTCTTGACCTAACCCTCTGAGGCCAGAAGAGCTGCCACCCCAGATCTGCAAATGGCAATATAAGTGAGACTCAGCTCCAGAGAAAGACCTTGGAGAATCCAGAAAAAGACGAGACGTGGGAGGGGAAAGGGATGGGAATAGAGAACTGGTTTCATCTCTTTTAGGAACCTTGTTGATGCTTTATCGTGAACTCTTTGTTTAAAAAAAATCATTTTTCATACATTCAGAATTCCAAGCTGCTGAAAATTTCCTCCTGTGATGAGACGCATTCAGAACAAAACGTGCAGCCTGATTTGTCTTTCCCCAAAATCAAAGGCAGTATTCTAAAGAGACTGCATTTGCCACACAAAGGTGGCAGATGTTTGCTGAGATTATAGCTGCACAAGCGTTCCGCACGTTCAATCTTGGGAGCATTTCAGTTTTTGAAAAGAGAAACAGTTTTGTGTCATTCCTGGATGCCCAGGAAGCTTCTGGTACCTACAGTGTGGAGCTCTGGTGGGGTGTGGACAAAGGCGGGTTTGCTCACCTGGCTTTCCATGATCTGGATGTCTTGCAGAGCAGTTGCTGAGTAAGACTGGGCTGAAGCACAGTGTGGTAGGAAGTCAGCTCATCAAGTATTCCTTAGCACCTATGTGTACCCCCATAATGGTGTTAGGTCCTCCAGGCAGGGATGTGTGCCCTTCAAGGTGCTGCAATTCTTATTCTTGCCCTCATGGCCTTTGTAGTCTGAAGGCTTTCTAGGCCCACAAACTTAGAAAGTTGATTTTAAAGTTGAGCTAGTTTTTAACTTTCCAAACATATTTACTCTCATTCATTCCCCTCTCTTGATTTCCTATGCTGGAGATCTGACAGTTTCCCAGATTTCTCTTTCCCCCATCCCTGGAATATAATCAGTCACAGAATCTTAAATCTTCTATCCCCCAAAATGGAACTCAAAACCCACCCTCTTTTTCCATCTGCAATGCAGATAGAATCCCTTCTCCTCACCCCCATCCACTGGAAACACCCTTGTCACACCTCCCATACTGTCCCACAAGTACCCAGGGAGCTACTGGAAGTTAGAATCAGCTTTGCTTTCTTAGTAAGCTAGCACAGGGTCAGCATGTATTTGGCATTCACTGACTTTTTTGAATGAACAAATGAATGAATGAATGAATGAATAGGTAATGATGTAAATGATGGGCTATTCCTCAGCCGTGTCCCTTTAGATTTCTCTGTCTGTTGGTCTCTGTTGGTGCATATCTCTCGCCCTCTCTTTTTTAAATTAATTTATTTTTTAACATGGCCAACCCCTATTTATCCTTCAAGACCCAGTGCCCATGTTAACTCCTCCAGGAAGCCTTCTCTGAGACAGTCTGCCTGTGTGGCTGATTCACTTTTTCTTTTCTTTTTCTTTCTTTCTTTTTTTTTTTTTTTTTGAGACTGAGTCTTGCTCTGTTGCCCCGGCTGGAGTGCAATGGTGCAATCTCAGCTCACTGCAACCTCCACGTCCTGGGTTCAAGTGATTCTTCTGCCTCAGCCTCCCAAGTAGCTGGGACTGAGGCACGCACCACCATGCCTGGGCTAATTTTTGTATTTTTAGTAGGGCTGGGGTTTCACCATATTGGCCAGGCTGGTCTCGAACTCCTGACCTCGCAATCTGCCTGCGTTGGCCTCCCAAAGTGCTGGGATTACAGGCTGATTCACTTTTTCTTCTGTGCTTCCACAGAGCTTGTGCTTGTGCACATAAGAATCAATATTTCAATGTCTATATGTATGTTTTTTCTTGTTTGTCTCTTCCAGGGATAGCAAGTAGATTTAATTTCACACTTTTGTTTTGCCTATTGTTGCTGCTTGAAACAGTGTTGAGCTGGAGACTGAGGGTAGCTTTTCATCATTATATTGTCTGATTTCTGTCTATCAGAGGGAGTGGGCTTATTTCCTCAGCAGCAGTAACTATGAAGAACATGATGTTAGTAAGAAATCTGTGTGTGTGGATCAGCCTGCCAGCTGCTGTGGCTTCTGAAACTTTAAGCATGGTTGGTTCAGAGGGGCTAAAGCCTATTGATCTCAAAGCTTGGATGGAGAAGGGGCTTGAAGCTGTCCTTCAGCCTCGATTCTGTTCCCTGTGCTAGATGACTGATAGAAGAGGAAGTTCTCTGCATTCGCAGCCTCCTGTATGGCAAACAGATGCGAGGCATGAAACGTTGTGCTCTGATGGTTAAGGTCATGCATGGACTTTGGGTTGGACTGAGTTGAAATTCCCACATCACCACTTACTTACTAGCTGTATGATTTGGGGCATGTTACTCAGCCTCTTAAAACTCCTGTTTCCTTAATTAGGAAAAGAGATTTGTATAAAAGTCAGCCTTTATAGAATCTCTATTATATGCCAGGTGCAGTGTTTTATTTTTATTTTAAAAATTATTTTTAAAGACAAGATCTCGTTCTGCTGCCCAGGCTGAAGTGCTGTGGTGCGATTGTCACTCACTACAGCCTCAAACTCCTGGCCTCAAGCAATCCTCTGACCTCAGCCTCCCAAAGCTCTGGGATTACAGGCATGAACCATCATGACCTACCTTATTGTTATTTTTGATTGTGGTTAAAAAACCTATAACATAAAATTTACCATCTTAACCAGTTTTAAGTGTATATTTCAGTATTTTTAAACACATTTACATTGTTGTGTAATGGACCTCCAGAACTTTTTTATTTTACTAAACTGAAACTCTATACACATTGAGAAACTCTCCATTTTCCCCTTCCCTCAGCCCCTGGCAACCACCATTCTAATTTTTGTCTCCATGAATTTGACTACTTTAGATACCTCATATAAATAGAATCATATAGTAGTTGTTTTATTATGACTGGCTTATTTCATTTAGCATAATGTCTCAAGGTTCATCCATAGGGTAGCATGTGTCAGGATTTCCTTTTTTAAGGATGAACAGTATTTCATTGTATGTGTATCCATTCTTCTGTTGTTGGACATTTGGGTTGCTTATGCTTCTTGGCTATTGGGAATAATGCTGCTTTGAGCTCTTGCTTTCAATTGTTTGGGATATATACCCAGAAGTAGGATTGCTGGATTATATGATAATTTTAATTTTATTTTTTTTTAGGAATCATCATACTGTTTTCCATAGCAGTTATACTATTTTGTATTCCCACCAATAGTGCACAAGTGTTCTAATATCTCCACATCCTTACCAACATTCATTAATTTCTGCTTTTTTAAAAAAAAGTTTAGCCATCTTAGTGGGTGTAAGGTGATATCTCATTGCAATTTTTATTTGCATTTCCCTAATAATTAGTGATGTTGAGCATCTTTTTATATGCTTTTTCTTTGGAGAAACGTTAAATTAAATTTTTTGCCCATTTTAAATCAGGTTTCTTGTTTTGCTTTGTTTTTTGTTGAGTTGTAGGAGTTCTGTATATATTCTGGATATAAACCCCATAACAGATATATGATTTGCAAGTATTTCCTCCCATTCTGTGGGTTGCCTTTTCACTCTGTCGATTGTGTCTTTTGATGCACAAAAGTTTTGAAATTTGATATAGTCCCATTCATTTATTTTTGCTTTTGTTGCCTGTGCTTTTGGTGTCATATCCTGGGAATCCTTGCCAATCCCAATGTCATGAACTTTTCTCCCTGTTTTCATCTACGAGTTTTAGAGTTTAGAGTTTCAAACATATTGAGTTTCAGTTGTATCTTGGGAATCCTTGCCAAACTCAATGTCATGAAGCTTTTCTCCCTGTTTTCTTCTGAGAGTTTTAGAGTTTCAGAGCCTATGTTTAGGTCTTTATTTTGAGTTAATTTTTATATATGGTATAAGGTAACGGTACAACTTCATTCTTTTGCATTTGAATATCCAGATTCCCCAGCACCATTTACTGAAGAGATTGCTCTTTCCTCACTGAATGCTCTTGGCACGCTTGTTGAAGATCACTTGACCCACATGAGAGGATTTATTTCTGGCTCTTTATTTTATTCCATTTGTCTATGTGTCTTGTCTTTATGTCAGTACAACACTGTTTTGATTACTGTAGCTTTGTAATATGTTTTGAAATCAGACCTCCAACTTTGTTTTTCTGTTATAAGGTTGTTTTGACTGTTCAGGGTCCCTTGAGATTCCCTATGAATTTTAAGATGAGTTTTTTCATTTCTGCCAAAAAAATGCCATTAGGATTTTGATAGCGATTTCATTGAATCTGTAGATTGCTTTGAGTAGTATTGACATTTGGACAATATTAAGTCTTCTAATCCATGAGCAAGAGATGTCTATCCATTTATTTGCATCTTCTTTAATTTCTTTCAGCAATGTTTTGGGGTTTTCAGTATACAAATCTTTTGCTTCTTTGGTTAAGTTTATTCCTAAGTATTTTATCCATTTTGTTTTTTTGAGACACAGTCTTGCTCTGTTGCCCAGGCTGGAGTACAATGGCATGATCTCAGCTCACTGCAACCTCTGCCTCCTGGGTTCAAGTGATTCTGGTGTCTACCAAGTAGCTGGGACTAACAGGTGTACACCACCATGCCCAGCTAATTTTTGTATTTTTAGTGGAGACAGGGTTTTGCCATGTTGGCCAGGCTGATCTTGAACTGCTGACCTCAAGTGATCCTCCCGCCTTGGCCTCCCAAAGTGCTGGGACTACAGGTGTGAGCCACTGCACTTGATCCATTTTATCCTTTTTGATATCATTGTAAATATAAATGGAATTGTTTTCTTAATTTCTTTTTGGATATTTCATCATTAGTGTATAGTAATGCAACTGATTTTTGTGTGTTGATTTTGTATACTGCACCTTTGGGGAATTTGTTTATTATGGGGGAATTTGTTTATTATTATTAAACATTTGTTTAAATGTTTTACTTGTGTAACCTCATTTAGTCTTTAGGGCCGCCCAATGAGGTAGGTATCATTACTACCCTCATCATACAGATTAGAACACTGAGGCTCAGAGTGCTTGGGTAACATGCCCCAGGTGACCTGGTTGGAAAGGCTCCTACCAGACCTTTCCTGGATGGAAACTCAGACATCCATTACTTTTAGTCATGATACTTATTAATCACTTTTTGATAAGGAGTTTTTAAGATTTACATGAGTTAATCTATAAAAGTGCCTCACATAAGACTCTGAATGCTTAATAAGTGATAGTTTTTTTTAATACTTAAATAAAACTTCATTGAGCATGCAAAATGAAAAGATTCACAACATTCCAAGTAAAAATAAATTCAAAGGAATTCTCACCTGAAACATTCTGGCAAAAATATTTCAATTATGAAGATAATTTATTTTTATATTAGAAGCATCAAGGAAGAAAAAATGCTCCTTAAAAAGAATATAAAAAATTGGCTATCTACAGACTTTTCTTTTGTTCTTCTAGATGGAGAAGCCGCTACGAGGTTTTGAAGGGAGAAATTTGGAACCTAAAAATTTTGAAGACTTCATAGTAAAAGCAATGAAGTACAAGCAATAGATAGACACTCTTAGAGATCTAGAGACTTGAAATAGAGATGTAAGACAAATCAATGCTAAGAATATGAGAATGGGGGACTTCTGGTATGAAAGGGCATGTAGTTCTTCTTTTACAAAACTTAGACCCCAAGATTCAGCAATTCAGCTGGATGCTATGTTATCAGGTAATAATAATTCTGCACCCTTGAGCTTAGTCCTCACAACTTCCCTCAGCTGCTCTTCTGCAACTTCACTGAGACCAAGAATTAGATTTCCCTATTTGTATGTTTCTTAATACAAGTTACATCACTTAATTCAGAAAAATAAGGATCAGGAGAACCAAAGTCATTTGTGGACTTGCATGGGTCTCACAATAATTGAGTAGCATTGTGGAATTCCTACTGAGTTTGTCGAAATGCAGCCTTGGCCTGACACCAGAGTCCACTACACCAGAGCACAGCTGGGACTGACAGAGGCTTCTGGACCTGTGCTGCCATTTCCCCTGGCGCTTGGATTTTCTGTGTCTTGAGGGCAATGGGCTGTACCAGGAGGCATCCACAGATGCCTGCCTTTCTCTAATAATTTCTTCTGGGCAATACCAGAGTAAGGCCGAAGAGTCCTGACTTGATAGTCCCTGTGAGGTTGCAGTGCAGAGTAGGGGCCCAGCCTTCCCAGGCATGCCCAGCCCCAGAACCTTCCTGCCTGGCGCTTTTCTTTAGGGAAGTCTCTCAGATCCTTGGTTAGAAAACCAAGAGTGAGCACATCTTCCTCTTTCAAGATAGCTCTTTCCATTGGTGAAAAGGCCAAGACAAAAGGAAACGCTGAGGTAGAAAGGGCCCTGACATTTCACACTCATGTTTCTGGCCCTGCTTTTTTTAGAAAAGTAACTCTTTCCCATGGTTAGGGGAGAAGTCAGACCTTCCTGTTCCTCTTGAGCAGGGCATGAAGCAATTTTCAGCCCTGATGTTGACACCAGGTCATACCCCCACACCTTCTCCCTGGGCCAGGCTCTTTGGACTTCTGAGCTCTGGCCTTTCCAATAGGAAAGTGACCAACTGGCCACAGAAACAAGATCTGCATAGCTTTTGCAGAGGAAAAGAAGTAGCAGGGAATAGAAGCAAGGACTCAGACCCTTGGGCTGCCCAGCTTCGCTTCTCTCCCAGCTCGGCTTCTCTCCCAGCTCCATTGCTTATTATCTGGGAGGAATCAGACAAGTTACTTAACCTTTCTTAGTCTTGGTCTTCCCACTAGAAAAGTATGGAGATAGTGCTATATGCACAAGGGGATTGTTTATAGGAATAAATGAGAAGATCTACACAGAGAGTTTAGTGTAGGGCTTGGAACATAGTAAATATTCCACAGACATTAATTACTCTCAAGATTATTGAAGGTTGTATCTAAATCCTTAGTTTGAGCAGCCATTTGAATACACAGTGTACAGGAGGCAGGATTGTGCACCTAGAGAGGGAGGACTCTGGATTCAACGAGATCTGGGTTCAAATCCCCACTCCAATAATTACCAGTAAGCAGAATGAACATGGAAAAGTTAATTCTCTTCTTTGAGCTTGATTTCTCACCTTGTGCTTTCCTTGCATGGTTCTTGTTGAGGGCTGGTGGTGGGGAGATTATGTGAAATCATGTATGCCAGACACACAGTGGATGTGCAATAATGGTTCCCATTATTACTAAGGAATCAAGTCAAATCCATTCAAAGGATGGCCTGAACCTTTATGGGTCTGATCACCATTAAACATGTGAAGGCGGGTTAGTCCGCTGGCATTTTGTGTGTGGAGTGAATCAAAAGAAAAATTAAGGTCAAAATGGCTTTCTTCATTTGATCATTCACTTTTTCATACCCCCAGTGCCTGGCACGGTGTCTGGCTTATTTTAGGTCATCAATACATATTTGCTAATTTAAATAAAGCTTTATTAATGCCAACATATTTTGTATGGGCAGGGCTGGCTCCATGGGCAGCCATGTTGGCATGGCTATGCTTGGGAGGGCCCCATGACATCTTCAAAGTCTTAATAATTTTTAAATAAGGGCCCTTCATTTTTATTTTGCACTGGGCCCCACAAATTATGCAATAAGTCTTGTGTACAGGCAAATAAAATGCAATGTAAAAAGGCTGATATTTTCCTTCTAAAAATTCTCCATTGGCTCCTCATTGCACCTAGAAGAAATCCAAGCTCCTTATATGGCTTACCAGTCCTTATATGACTTACATGGTCTCTGTAGTCACACACACCTTGATTCCTAAACTCCAGCCACCCAGGCCTGCTCATTTAACAGTCTGAGCTCTCTACCTGCTCCCCATTTGGGTCTCAGCTCCTAAATCACTTCCATAGCAAGATCCCTCCCTGACCATCCTCCTAGCCACTCTGTCTTTTTAAAAAATTTATTTTATAATTTCAACTTTTATTTTAGATTTGGGGGTATATGTGCAAGTTTGTTACATGGGTATGTTGCGTGATGCTGAGGTTTGAGGTATGGATCTCACCACTCAGGTAGTGAGCATAGTACCCAATAGGTAGTTTTTCAACCCCCAGGCCCCATTTCCCTTCCGCTTCTAGTAGTCTTCAGTGTTGAGTGTTCCCATCTTTATGTCCATGTGTACTCAATGTTTAGCACCCATTTATAAGTGAGAACATGCAGTATTTGGTTTTCTGTTTCTGCATTAATTTGCTTAGGATTATGGCCTCCAGCTGCATCCCTGTTGCTGCTGCAAAGGACATGATTTCATTATTTTTTATGGCTGTGTAGTATTCTTTTTTTTTTTTTTTTTTTTTTGAGATGGAGTCTCACTCTGTCATCCCAGGCTGGAGTGCAGTGGCGCGATCTTGGTTCACTGCAAGCTCTGCCTCCCGGGTTCACACCATTCTCCTGCCTCAGCCTCCTGAGTAGCTGGGACTACAGGCGCCCACCACCACGTCCTGCTAATTTTTTGTATTTTTAGTAGAGATGGGGTTTCACTGTGTTAGCCGGGATGGTCTCGATCTCTTGACCTCGTGATCCGCCCGTCTTGGCCTCCCAAAGTACTGAGATTACAGGCAAGAGCCACTGCACCCGGCCACGACTGTGTAGTATTCTATGGCATATACATACCACATTTTCTTTATGTAATCTGCTTGTGGTGGGCCCCTAGGCTGATTCCATGCCTTTGCTATTGTGAATAGCCCAATCCATTTTCTTAGCCTGCTTTACACTCTTCGTAGCTTCTGATGCTTTCTGAAAGGAGTTAGAGTTTACTTTTATGTTGACTTGTTTATTTTCTGTTTCCCCCACTGTACTAAACTTGATGGAGCAGCCATCTTCCTGTCTCATTCCCTCCCTTGTTCCCAAAGCATTGCCCAGCCCTCAGCACACAGTGGGTGCTCTGAATACTTATGGACTGAAGAATGAATGAACTTGGCAGTTCTGGGATTTTAATCTTAAAATGCCGATCCTTCAGGACTTTCTCCAATGGGAAAGTGAGACCAGAATTGGCACCATATACCCTAGTTGGGGATGAGTGACCATTTGTCTCCATAGCCTCCCAGTTGAGCAAGATGTCCACCATTTCCATGTTCTCCTGGTAACACAAGCTGTGAAGGGCTGGAAGTTGGGGCTTGGCTCCTAAGCCCAGTCTCCCGGGTCAGGTCCCTGCAGTAGGATCCAGTCTGCAGATGGAGATGTAGAAAGGTCTGGATAGCTGGTGTGAACCAAGAGGCAGGAAACAGGAGATTGATAGCAATGAAAACATTGGATGAGAAGTCACTTAACCCAATGCCCCATTTTACGGAAAAGAATATTGAGATTAAACGAGAGGAAGAAACTTATTTTGTAATAATAATAATAACAGCAAAAATCCAACCCAACTCAAACCAATCCAAATAAAATCAATGAAACAAATGAAAAGAAAAAAAAACAATGAGAGGCAGTATAGTGTAGCATTAAGACCTCAATACAAGCATGATATTAAATGAGTTAATACTCCTAAGGGGCTTAAGGCACAAAGTTCCTGGCACAACAAGTTTGCTATATAAGTATTCACAAATTAAAGGCTAAATCTATTGTGCTCTTTTGCTGTTCCAGGAAATTTGCAAGCCTCTTACTTACACAATTTCATTTGATTCTTCCAGTCACCTGTTGAGGTAGGTGCTATGATGATTTGTCCCCATTTTACAGATGATGAAATGAAGGCCCAGGTAGCAAAGCTGGGATGTGGCCCCAGTCTGGCTGACTCTAGGGCTGGGTTCTTGGCCACTACCCTGGATTGCAGTCAAGGGTACAGCTGGCCTGGTACCTCTGTGCTCTTTCCCAGTGCCAGGCCTGAGACTGGCCTGAGTGGGAAATACTGCTGATTCACATGTGCTCTGCTGGGAAGCTGCCTTACTCATTGGCTCGTTCATGCTGCAAGCATTCCCTGCATCTGCCTTGCTCAGGCTTTGTGCTGGGTGCTGCAGACAGGTGAAGTCAGGTGTCTCCTGTTAGGACAGCAGGCTTCCAGGCTGGAGGGGCTGGCAGAAGGTCGGACACACGTTGGAGAGCTGATGAGTACAGGCTTGCTGAGCTTGCTTTTCTCCAGGTCCTTGGCCACCCCTACGTAGGGAGTGCAGCTGGCCTGGGTGTCAGGAATTGTTGGGATCCCAGATATACCAGAGCAGATTGGGCAAACCTTTGAACCTAGGTGGCCTGCTCAGCCCTCCATGCAAAGCCTCATGTGGAGGGCTGGGATAGAGAACTCTGCTGGCTTTGGATGTGTCTGAGAGCCCCACCTGCCAGGGGGCCAACTGTGCTGTAGGGAGGGGATAAAGCCCTAACAGGGGCTACCCCTGGGAGCCCAAGAGCCTTCAGCAATGATTCCAGATTCATATCCCTTACCACTTTCTGGCTTCTCCAGCCTGGAACCTCTGGGCCTGTTCTGCTCCCACCCCTGTCATAAGCACCCCAACAAGACTTGTGGCATTCAACATGGGTCACTCAAGATGAGTGTTCCCTCTTCAGTCCACAGGAGGCATGCCCAACCCTATTGACCTCATTTGCCCATGCATTCATGCATTTATGCCTTCATTCAACAAATAGTTATTGGATTCCTATTGTAGGTTAGGTATTGTGCTGGTTTCTAAGAACACAGCTGAGAAAAAAAGAGTCATAGCTTCTACCCTCAAGGAACCCACATTCTAGAAGGCTCTCATAAAAAGAGTAAAGCAAGGATGAAAAATAATTACATTTTAAGAAGTGCACACAGGTGATATAAGTTGGTGATATGAATTGGCGCTGATTCATATTAGCTCATGAGAGCCAATTGTTAAATTTTCAGGGGTTTTTGTGAGCTAGTAGTTAAACACAGCCATTATAAACATTAAATTATATAAATAATATGTATTTTAATAAATAATATATAATATAATAAATAAATAATATATAATATAATAAATCATATAAATTATATAAAAATCAAAATGAAAAATGAAATGCATGACTCAATTATTTTACTTCTATTGTATCTATACGATGAAAATAATATATAATAGTTTGTGCATTGTTGTACTTCTTTGCCTAAAACCATATTCAGTGACCACATGTTGCTAGCTTGATATTGACCATGATGGGAATATTTACATTATGAAAATTAGGAGACACAACAAATGAGGGCTTTTGTTTTTCTTTGAGAACGATTTGTTAACATTTACTAGCACGTTCCTGGGATATGGGAGAGAATACAGGGGGATTTGACCTCAGGTAGATTCATTTATCGGGGAGATCTCACTAAGGGGGGGGATAGTTTTCTGAGACCTGAGGTTGAGAAGGAGTTGACCATTGTAACCATGTGTTGCAGAGTTTCATGCAAAGTCTCTGGAGCATGGTAGTTTCTGGGAATGGAAAGGGGACCAGTATGGCTGTTCATCAGTACCTGTAGCTATGACATTATGAGCAAGGGGGAGGGAGGAGGGAGATGGGGTTGGAAAAGCAGGCAGGGGCCAGGGCTTAAATTGACTTGTAAGCCATGGGAAGGAGTCTGAAGTTTATTTCAAGCCATGGGAGGGGTGCACAGCTGTGAGAGGGCAGCACAGCCTGACTCCCACCTCCAGTGCACTCCACATCTTTCCTCATCCTGCCCCACAGCTTTCTCCAGAGTTACAGGGGAGGGGATGGCAGGAAGTGAGCCCTCTTGGGGGCAGCCTTCAACCATAAAGCCATGGAGACTAGTGGATAAAGGTCCCAGCTTCCTGTTTTTCAGGTGGAAAATTCTGGGAGGCCTTCTGTACACTTCCTAGAGATCCTGGTACACCCAAGCCCCCTTTGCCTACAGTAAGGATCTCAGTAATATTCCCATATACAGTCTGAGCATCCCAAATCTGAAAATCCAAAATCCAAAATGCTCCAAAATCTGAAACTTTTAAAGCAGAAACATGATGCTCGAAGGAAATGTTCATTGGAGTATTTCAGTACTCATTGGAGTACTTCCTGGGGTCATCTCCCAAATCAACTACCTGTACCAAAGGCCTTATCGCAGGCTCTGCTCTCCAGGGAACCCAAACTAAGACAGGGTGATGTGAACACTGTGCACACAGAGCTGGCAGATGGGGAATGGGTTGGAGGGGCCATTTCTGCCCACTCAGTTTCCTCTACCCATGCCTGGGTCCCCTGGGTTCTTTCTGCAGGGACCCCTTTATCCCACATCCTGGAATCAGTCTTGACTAGGGACAGCCTAGTTTCTGCCCTTAGGCTTGAGTGGGTCAGCCAGGAGGTGATCAAACCCAGCACCACACTGTAGGGGCCACTTCACAAGCCTGGCTGCATCTGTCAAGACCCTCAGTCCCCTCCCTTTTTGGTTGGTCTGGCTCCTGATGCAGATTATCCCTGGCTCCTCCTGAAGGTGTCCTCATCCTGTCCTCCCACCCAGTTCTGCCAGACTGCTGCCTGGATCTGATGGTTTGTCGAGCCCTCTTGAGCTCTGACAGCCCCACAAGGTGGCTTAGCTGTTCCCCAGCCCTGGTCATGTGCCTAAATTAGGCTACAGTCAGTATATCCCACAGATCCCTGCCATGCAGAACTGATCTCACCTGTCCCAACCTGGGCCAAATAGGACACCAGTGTGGCCTCTTCCTCAGTTTCCCCAGTTCAGCATGGGTTAGCAACAACCATGCACTCACTCAGCAGCCCAGGCTTCAAGAAACACTGCTGCTGCAGTGCGACAGTCTGAGACTGAGCCTTCACGGAGGTCAGGTGATCTGTCTCACAGAGCTGGCTTTATACACCCCTGTCTGAATCCTTCCCTACTTGGCAGCCCAAAAGGCCATCTCCTTCTCCTAATGCCCCTCACTTTGCATTCCCCTGCACAGGCTATCCTTCGGGACCCAAATTGGCAAGGCAGCAGACCCTATTCCTTACAGGACGTGTTTCCCTGGCTTTATGACTGGGAAACCTGACCATTCTCCCTCCCTCTCCCCTAGGGACCTGGCTCCCTTCCTCACCATGAGCCCCTCCTGCTGCTCCCTTCTGAAGCTCTCCAGAACATTCTGACTCACCCTCTGACTCATGAGGAGTGTATTTCTGTTCCCATGTCCTGCACCTTAAGGCCCGGAGATCACAGCTGTTACCTCTGTGCATGTGTGTGCCTGTGTGTGCACCTGTGTGTGCATGTGTGTGTGTGTGCCCCTGTGTATGCATGTGTGCATGTGTGTCTGTGTGTTCTTGTGTGTGTGTTTGAGTGTGTGCATGCATGCATGTATGTGCCTGTGTGTGTTTGAGGGGGGCACGTTTTTCTCAGAGAGCTGGAGAGGGCGATTCTCCTATCCCTTCTCTACCTTACGTATACATCCCCTGACCCCTCAGGAGCAGACAGCCACCCTCACAGGCCCCTGGAGATGTGGATGGTGGGGTTGCCACAGAAAGCCTTATGCGAATACAAGTACAAGACAGTACAAGATGATTGTACTATCCAAGGTGCTTTTTAGCAAAGAAAATCCAAGTTGTTGACTCCATCCACTAAACCCTGAGTCTGGAATCTCTACATTGTTGAGCTGGAAGGAACCTAGGGGCTAAAGCTAACTCCTCATTTGTTACTTTGGGCCTAAAGATACCCAGATTAGTAAGAACCATGCCAAAAATTACCCAGCAAGCAAGTGGGCAAGCTGGATTGGTATCATAGTTAATTTATGCCCTAAGCCAATATCAGTCAGCCATTCGTCCTCTCCCCTAGCCACCCTCCACTATCCTGCTAGACCTGTGCCATCCAATATGGTGGCCACCAGTCGCATGTAGTTATCAAGCACTTGAAATGTGGCTAATCCTAATTGACATGTGCTGTCAATGTAAAATATGCATCAAATTTCAAAGGCTTAGTATAAAAAAGAATAGGAAATAGCTCATTAATAATTTTTTATATTGATTACATGTTAAAATAATATTTTGGATATATTGCATCAAATAGAATACATTATTAAAGTTAATTTCACTCATTTATTTTACTTTTAAAAATGTGGCTACTAGAACATTTTTAATTGCATATGTAATTTAAATAGATAATGGTTCATGTTTATGGCTTATATTATATTTTAACAGGAATTGACCAGCCCTTGGGCCAAATCTGGCCCACTGCCTGTTTTTGTAAATAAAGTTTTATTGAAATGCAGCCAGGCTCATTCATTTCCATAGTCTATGGGTGATTTTGCTCTGCAATGGTAGAGTTGTAACAGAGACCCTATGTTCCACAAAGCCTAAAATATTTACTCTATGGTTCTTTATAGAAAAAGTTTGCTGGCCCCTGCACCAGACCATCAATTTCCTGAGAGTAGAGATTCTGAGCTTCACACAGGATAAGTGCTTAATTAATACTAGTTGAATAAATGAATTACTTGATTAATTTTTGGAAGGTAAGTTTGTTGAAATTCCAAGCAGAGGACATAGTGTGTTGTCAAGGCACAGAACCAAGAAACAGCCCTGGGTGTTCTGATAAATGTCTGAGGTGGCCTTAGATACTCACATCAGCCCCCTCCTTGGTCCCTGGCTTCCTGTTTTTTTCCAGGAAATCTCCATTCTGCCTATGCAAACCCCAACAGATCACCAACCAACTCTCAAATCTTCAGTAGCCTGGCCGCTGCCTTTAGGATGAAGGCAAAGGTTGTTAGCAGGGCCTTCCGGCTCCTCCTGCCCCGCCTTGCCCAGCCCTTTAGCCTGGCGCTCTGCCATCTCCTCTCCCCTCCAGCACTCCGGCACTGCTCCTGCAGGCGCCCCACCCATTCTGGTCTTCGTGCCTTTCTTCATACTTTTTCTCTGCAAGTCACATAGCCACCCTTCCAGGCTCAGATCCAATATTTCTTCCTTGAGACACAATGTGGCATTTTGCCAGTTTTGGAGTTTCTTTTAAATGATTGTTCCTATAAGATAAATGATAGGAGGTAGTCGGTTCCCACAGCACTTTGTATCTTTCTTCACTGTAACACTAATAATTGAAAGCAGGAAATCTCACTTTTTATTTGGTATTTGCTGTGTGCCAGACACCACCCTCAGCTCTCTCCATGGATTGCCTTTTAAAATTCTCACCACAGCTTTATGAAATACGTGCTGTTTTGCTCCCATTTAACAGATGAGGAAACAGACTCAGAGATGGCCCTGAAATTCAAATGCAGATTGTTGGATTCGAGAGCCCACAGTCTTAATCTAGGGCCTGTGTTCCTTCCTGAGACTAGGTCCTACTCTCCCACGCCTGGGGTCTCTTCCTTCCAGAGAGGTCCTAGAATCCGCCCTGAATGGGGACAACCTAGGCCCTGCTCTGAGGCCTGCGTGTATCAGCTCATAGGTAAGGCTAACCCAGCATCACAGTGTAGAGACCTCTCCAGAGGCCTCCCTGCAGCTGCTCAGAGAGGCAGTCCCCATCCTTGAAGGTCTAGGGCACACAGTTAAGTATATGTTAACTCTTCCTCATTTTGGGTCTCAACATAAACCATGCTTCCTCATGGAAGTACTCCATGATTGCCCAGAATACGATAGATCCTTGGATATGTGTTCTCACAGTACCCAGCTCTTCTCCTCCCCTAACACTTATTAATTTTTTTTGTACTGACTCTTTTATCGTTGGTTTCCCCCAGTAGACAGTAAGCATCATGAGTGCAGGAACTTTGTTCATTGTTGTATTTCTAGCAATTTTCTCAGTGTCTGCCTGTTACTAGGCACAGTGAACATTTGAGTGAATGAACAAAACTCTACTTGATCTCTTCACCTGGATATCAGCCTCACAAATCCACAGGGAAGCAGAAAAGCATGTGAGGTTCGGTCCCTATCCCATTCCCTCTGCAAGGGACTTAGTGTTGAAGACACTGGTACGTGTTGAAAGGACACAATGGGAGATTGATGATCACAAGGCCGGTAATGTCTGACCTGTGAGCAGAACTTGAGACAGAAAGCAACTTCCTCTGCCTCAGCCAAGGAAACCTACCCTCCTCCCCACACCAACCCCATGTGCCCTCTTGGGCACAGCCTGTGGCTGACAACAGAGCTGAAGGACAGTGGGTAGGTAGGTCCCCTGTCTGGGGACAAGCAGACAGGCCTGTGGCTTGGGCAGTGAGTCAGACAGACTCCCCACCCTGACCCCACCCCCAGAGAGTGAGGGAAGCGAGCTGCTCAGTCACACACAGACAGCTCATGGAGGAGGGACACAGTGGGATTCCAAATCACTGCTAAAGGGTTTCCCCCATTCTTCCTCCTGCTGCTCTAGTGGGTGTGGCTTGAGAATTTCAGTTTTCACCTGTTTCAGGGAAGGCAGTGGCCCAGGTGAGGCCTGCAGCGGTTGGAATTTTTATATTTGCCCTGCACATCCCACAAATATCTCAAGGCTCTGTTGGTGGGTGGGAGGGTTGGTCTGCCCTAGGACCCCTGAGAATCAGGTCTCACGTGCATACCTGGGTCTAGGGTGAACAGCTTATTTTCGCTTGCCTAGGCCTGCCTTGTTTTAAAAACTAAAAATTGGAAGGGCGCAGTGGCTCATGCCTGTAATCCCAGCACTTTAAGGCAGGCAGATCACCTGAGGTCGGGGAATTTGAGACCGGCCTGACCAACATGGAGAAACCCCATCTCTACTAAAAATACAAAATTAGCCGGGCTTGGTGGCACATGCCCGTAATCACAGCTACTCAGGAGGCTGAGGCGGGAGAATCGCTTGAACCTGGGAGGCGGAGGTTGCGGTGAGCTGAGATTGTGTCATTGAACTCCAGCCTGGGCGACAAGAGTGAAACTTCATCTAAAAAAAACCCAAAAAACCTATAAATTCCACTTCCCAGAAACTCCCCAGTCTCAGGCAAAGGAGGCTGGTTGGTCCCCCTTCCTGGGTTCTTTGCACTTCATTGATTGGCTTCAGTACCAGATGCTGTGTCACTAGTTGCTGGCTGGCCACTTCTTCATCATATCAGTGCATGGCCATGGGCTTCTTTTGAGGCTCATGGTTGGGCTTAGGGACAGGCAGCAGCTTGCTTGACCTGTGAACCTGGGCAGACCACCAGGGGCTAGTGTTAACTGTTTGACACCCGGTATAAAGACCACAAGAAGTTCTGCTGAAGTTCTTGCAGATGGTGGGGTGGGAGACGGACCCAGGGCATCTAATCTACCAGGTTGTGATGATGGCCACATAGAGCTGGCCTGAGTTTTGGGACGTATGTCCGTGCAGAGCAGAATAAGCTACATCAGGGGATAGAATAGATATATAATGCAAGACACATATGCCATTTTAAATTTTCTAGTAGTTACAGTTTAAAAAGAAGCAGGTAAAATTACTTTTAATAATAGTCTATCTAACCCACTTATCCCAAATATGATCACTTCAACATCCAATCAATAGAAAAATTTTTAATGAGATCTTTTAAAATGTTTCTCTCTTCATTCTAAGTTTAACATCTGGTATGTATTTCACGGGGTCAGCACATCTCAATTTGGACCAGTCACATTTCAAGTGCGGCTTGGCCACATGTGGCTCTGTATTGGACAGAGCAGAGCTAGGCACTTTTGCAGCAGGGAAAAGGGATCTTTATCCAGACAGGGCTTCCAAGGTCTAAGCAGGTCCATTTTGAGGAGATATTTGGAGTCTACGCAGATGAAGGTAGATCTGCAGATTTCAAAGTCATCAGTTGTGCTGGTGTGATATTGAAGCTGTCTGGGGATACTGTTTGGGGGCTGTAGGTTGTAAGGGGGAAAAGGTGGTTTTATCATAGTTCACCTTTGTGGTACAGCCAGATCAGTAGGAGGAATGCCCGCAAGTGTGGCTGGGGAGGGCTCTTTCTTACTCTTAGACAAAAGGTATTGTCAGCCTACAGTCTTTGCAAGATTTAATCTTAATGGAGCAAGCCTCCAATAGGCCCTAAAGAGGCTCTTGCTAGGAAACCTTGACCATCCTTCCCACCACTCCTTTGTCCCTGGAGGAGCAGTTTGTGGATTGCTTTCTGGGTTTAGTTCCATCTTAGAAGGTAAGAAAAGCTCCATTGATTCTTAAGAATTGTTTTTTCAAATGTAAATGTATTTCTTAGAGCTGTACTTCATTAGTTTTTGAAAACTGCATTTCCTTCTCTCAGAAAAATGGACACTCACAAATATGCATACACTTTAAACTACAATTCTAGGAGGGACCTGAGGTTCCCTGAAGCATTCTTTACACCCTAGATTAAACATTTCCAGTTAAAAAGATACAGAGCTCTAGCTGGACACAGTGGGTGATGGCTGTAATCCCAGCACTTTGGAGAGCCAAAGTGGAAGGATCACTTGAAGCCAGGAGTTCTAGGCCAGTCTGGGCAACAGAGCGAGACCTCATATCTACAAAAAATAAGATAACTAGCTGAGTGTAGTGGCACACACCTCTAATCCCAGCTACTGGGGAGGCTGAGGTGGGAGGATCCCTGGAGCCCAGGAGTTTGAGGATGCAGTGAGCTATGATTGTGTGATTGCACTCCTGCCTGGGCAACAGAGGGAGACTCTGTCTCTAAAAATATAAAAAAATAAGTAAATACAGAGTTCTGAGTTGAGTTTCCAGAGTGTGTAGAGCAAAAAAGATGGGAAAGACAAGTCCAGATGCTGGTGAGCATGTGGAGCCGCCAGAACATCATGGGTGGATTGTGAATGGTTCATCCACTTTAAAAAATGACTTGACAGTTTCTTAAAGAGTTAAATGTGCATCTAGCCTATGACCTAGTAATTCTATTTCTTGATATTTATCTGAGAGAAATGAAAACATATATCCACAAAAAATTATTTACAAAAATATTCATAGCAGCTTTAATCACAATAACCTAAAATTGGAAATGGTTCAAAATATTCATTAACAGGATAATGGGTAAACATTTATGGTCTATTTATACAGTGAGATACAACTCAGCAGTTAAAATAAACAGATTATTGATCTGTTCACAACAACATGAATGAATCTCAAAAATATCCTGCTGAGCACAAAAAGCCAGACACAAGTGTTTATCTGTGTGACTCCACAAATGTGAAGTTCCAGAACAGGCAAAGCTAACTCGTGGTGAGAAATCAGGGCAGTCGTTGCTTCCAGGGAGGAGGAATTGCTGGAAAAGGGCAGAAGAGAACGTTTCTGGGTGTTGGGGACGTTCTATGGGTTTCAGTCAAACTGAAAGACCGGTGTGATTAAAATCTGTGCACATCACTATATGTAAGTTATAACAAAATAGGAAAGAAGCCAGCTAAGGAACTGAATTGTTATCTATGCACGTAAAGACCTGGTACTCATCTAGCCATTCTTGGTGATGGTAGGTAGGTTCCCTGACAGTGGGCCAGCCCCGTTCTTTCAAGTAAAGGTGATGTGTGTCCACTCACATACAAGATTAGGTAAAGACTGGTAGATCCTTGAGGATGGGGACAGGGCCTTATTCATCATGGTGTTCCCAGTGCCCAGTAGGAATGGGCCCTTTACAGGTGCAAAGGAATTATTTGTTGTATAAATGAATAAACAAATGACTGAATTACTCATGGATGGTCTGAACGATGGTCCTGGCACTGGAAGAGAGAGTGGGTCATTGAGTTTTCACACTAGAGAGCACTAAGTAATCAAGTTTTCTCCTCTCCTCCTCCATCCCTTTTTTCCTTCCTTCCTTCCTTCCTTCTTCCCTCCATTATTTCTTTCTCTCTTCTTTCTTTTCTTCCTCCTTCCTTCCCTTTCTCCTTCACCTCCCTTTCTCCTTCCCCTCCCTCCCTCCCTTCCTTCCTTCCTTCCTTCCTTCCTTCCTTCCTTCCTTCCTTCCTTCTTTCCTTCCTTCTTTCCTTCCTCCTTCCCTTCCCTTTTCTTTTCTTTTCTTCCCTTTTCTTTCTTTCTTTTTTCTTTTATTTTCTTTTTTTCTTTCTCCTTCCCCCCTTCTCCTGGAAGAATATCTATTGATCTAGGGTCTTCTTGTTCACTGAGTCTTTAAGGCAGTGTCTATGGACCTATGAACTGTTCTGAGATCTATGAAAATAGCTGGGATATAAAAAAGTAAAGAAAACTGCAAAGTATAAAAAATTAATTTTAATTAAATGTACATAAGACACAACAGTTTGTCAACAAATTCACTTCAACTCTAGTTATATAGAAGTTTCATGTAGTATAAGATATGAACATATTTTAACGTGGTTTAATGATGATACAGCAAAGTAACCTCCGAAAGAAGAGGAATTAGGGACACTAAAGGCCTTAGAATTAACTGTGCAATGGATTTACACTTGATGTAAGAAACTCACTTTCAGTAACATATAAGAAAGTGGGAGAGGGCAGAGGAAGAGTGGAAGAATAGAAGACTCTGTAGTTATAAGGACCTCATTTATCTTTTATGAAAAAATCATTGTAATGACATGCAGTTAAAGATATACATTTGTGGTAGGCAGAAAAATGGCCCCTTAAAAACGTCCATGCCTTAATCCTGTGAACCTGTTACTTGACATTGCAAAAGTACTTTGCAGAGTGATTTAAGATTATGGACCTTGAGATGGGGTGATTATCCTGGATTATCCAGGTGGGCCCAATTTATTCACATAAGTCCTTGAAATTGGAGAACCCTTCCAACTGTGGTCAGAGGTATATGTGAATAGGGAAGAAGGGTCAGAGATGCAACCTTGCCGGCTTTGAAGATGGAGGAAGGGGTCAGGAGGCAAGGGATGTGGTGGCCTCTGGAAGCTGGAAAAGACAAGAAAATGGATCTCCCCTAGAGCCTCTAAAATGGAAGGCAGCCCTGCTGACACCTTGAGGAGCCCCTTGAGACCTGTTTTGGACTTCTAACCCAGATAACTATAAGTAATAAATATGCACTGTTTTTTTGGCAAACATATAAATATAAATTTTAATTTTAAACCTGATAAAGCTTTGAAATTAGAAGATTCTTTTTTTTTGAAATTTAATTTAATTTAATTTTAAGTTCCAGGGTACATGTGCAGGATATGCAGGTTTGTTACATAGGAAAACATGTGCCATGGTGGTTTGCTGCACCTGTCAACCCATCACCTAAGTATTAAGCCCAGAATGCATTAGGTATTTTTCCTGATGCTCTCCCTTCCTATGCTCCCCCTTGCCCTGGCAGGCCCCAGTGTGTGTTGCTCCCCTCCCTGTGTCCATGTGTTCTCATTGTTCAGCTCCCACTTACAAGTGAGAACATGC